>NC_000005.10:168185566-168488596 GCF_000001405.40 Homo sapiens | reverse complement strand
GGAAAAAAAGCACTTTTTTCAGTCCATAAACTTACTTCCACATTTCCCCTCTCTACCAAGGCGTGGCATAGACCATGGGAATCATTAATGTTCCCTTTGATGAGCTGTGTTTCTTTCTCCTCTGAGATTTTTGCTGACGTTAGCATATTATCCTTAATAAGAAAATATTGGCCAGGCATGGTGGCTCACGCCTGTAATCCCAGCACTTTGGGAGGCCTAGGCAGGTGGATGACTTGAGGCCAAGAGTTCAAGACCAGCATGGCAAACATAGCGAAACGCTGTCTCTACTAAAAATACAAAAATTAGCTAGGCATGGTGGCGCATGCCTGTAATCCTAGCTACTTGGGAGGCTGAGGCAGGAGAATTGCCTGAATCCCAGAGGCTGAGGTTGCGGTGAGTCGAGATCGTGCCACTGCACTCCAGTCTGCTTGACAGAGCGAGACTCTGTTTCAAAAAAAAAGAAAAAGAAAAAGAATATATTAACCACACATACATGTGTTTTGGGAGACAGGAATCGGAGTAAGTATATAATGGGATATGCCTCATGTCTCATATCCCTAGTTCTTTTCTTTGGCTCGATAAACACTCTGATTTAGCAAGAGTAGTTAAGTTTCAGGTTGACCAACCTGCTTTTATTCCCAAATCCTATGACCTGGGACTCTTAAAAAACCCAAATGTCCTTTGTCACATTCAAAATAGCTCAAGGGTCTGCCTTTCACCCTTTCTGGGACTAAACAATTTTCCCATTTCTTCCTGTTTCCAGTGTCTTAGGTCCTAGACTAGACCAGACCAGGCTTTGTAGTTTAACATCTAAAACTAAAGACATGTCAATTCAGAAAGAAATAAAGCTTCCAACTTAAACTGCAAAACTCAGGGGGAGTTCCTCACCTGAAATTTCAGAATACTTACTGGGAGATAGCTACAGCCAAAACCAAATTGCCAAAAATGAGCATACATTATGTTCCAGGAGCTGAGCTAAAAACACTTTTCAGAAATTACCTTCATGATTATCACAACCAAGTGAGGCAAAGATAAATACATACCGATAAATAAATGGCTCAGAAATGTAAAGAGCTTGCCAATTTACTTGACTAACTTGTACTTTGTGACTGCTGATTAAGTATACAGCCGTAACAGGACAGAGTACTGTGAACTATCTTCCTACCATCCCTCCCCACCTGGGCATAAAAGGTAATGGAACTGTTCCGCTTTCACTTTTTTTTTTTGTAGGGGGACGGAGTCTCACTCTGTCGCCCAGGCTGTGGTGCAGTGGTGTGCTCTCTGCTCACTGCAAGCTCCGCCTCCCGGGTTCACGCCATTCTCCTGCCTCAGCCTCCCGAGTAGCTAGGAATACAGGGACCCCCCCCAACACAGCCGGTTAAGTTTTTTTGTATTTTCAGTAGAGACGGAGTTTCACTGTGTTAGCCAGGATGGTCTCGATCTCCTGACATCGTGATCCGCCCACCTCGGCCTCCCAAAGTGCTGGGATTACAGGCATGAGCCACCGCGCCCGGCCGCTTTCACTTTTATATGGTGTGGCTGCTCCTTCCCGACGAATGCTGAGGGCACAGAGCAAGCTCCGCTGGTCTGATAATGAATCACCCCATGGGCTTATTAGGAATCCTCTCGCTCAGTAACCCGGGAAGAACTGCGGCTGAGCTGCAAACCAAGACCCAGAGCTCTGAATGTATTCCCCCCTTGTCTATCTCCCCGCATCCCCTAAATCGCGTGTGTATGCAGAAGAGGAGGTGGATTGTAGGGAGAGAACTGTTCTGAACATGCCAGGCTCCAGCCCACCGAAGACGCTGGTTTGGGGGAGGCCTGGGAGAGGGTGGGGACCCTCCATTCCGCTGAAAATCACAGTCACACGGGCTTTGAAATGATGGGTGCTTCCTCTCTCAACCCTTCCTGTTCCCACAGGGACCGTGCCGCTCCACTCTGAGAGGACCAGGATGGTCCTCGCCTAGCTGTCCCGCCCCCGAAGCCGCTTGGGCAGGAGTCAGAGCCTGCTCCATCTCTTTCAGGCCTTCCCGCCGGTCTCCTGCGTCCAAACCTGCTGCAGCAGCCGCGCGGAGCACTCAGACACCAGTACGTCCATCCTCCCATCAGCGTCTCACTCGCCAAGTGGACGGAAGCGGAAACGGTCAGCCTCTCCCGGAAGCGGAAACCCCCTCCGGTCCGCTGTCCCGTCGGACTGGGTGCTGGCGCCTCTGCTGCCTCCTGGCGGGATCCAGTAGACACTGCGAGGAGAACCCGCGGGGATTTCGGTCAGGAGCGAGGCCGCAACTCAGGGACGTTTGGGCGAGGGGAGAGGAATTGAGCAGACACTAACCAGAGCTGCTCTGTGCTTGGATAGACTAGGACAGTCACTGACCTAGAGCTTCTGGCTCTCAAAGGCCTCACTTTGCCCCTTTGTGAAATGGGCACAAAACTAACAAATCCATTCATTTATTCAACAAACATTTATTGTGTACTTTAAAATGCCAGACAGTATTCTAGGCTCTGGGGGCACAAAGAAAACAAAACAGACACGATCTCCCCTCTCACGGCAGACACATTTTAGAATGGAGAGAGAAAATAGACCAAAAAAGGCAATAATCTCAGGTAGTTTTAATTGCTAGGAAGGCAATGTGATAGAGTGACTTGGGTGAGAGAAGACATCTCTAAGCAAGTGACATTTGAGTTAAAATCTTATTTATTTTTCCAGTTTTATTGAGGTATAATTGACAAAGATTGTATATCATAACGATGTACAACGTAATGTTTTGATATATGTATACATTCTGAAATGATTACCACAACCAAAATAATTAACATAACCTTCATCTCATACAGTTATCATTTGCATGTGTGTGTGTGTGTGTGTGTGCGCGCGCGCGCGCGCGCGTGTGTGCTGTGAACATTTAAGATCTATTCTCATCCTGGGAAACAGCTAAGACCTCGTCTCTACAAAAAAATGGAAAAATAGCCGGGCATGGTGGCATGTGCCTGTAGTCCCTGGTATATAGGAGGCTGAGGTGGGAGGATCACTTGAGCCCAAGAATTTGAGGCTGCGGTGAGCCATGATCATGCCACTGTACTCTGCCTGGATGACAGAGTGAGACCTTTTCTCTCTCTATTTAAAAACAAACAAAACGAAACGAAAACGAAAACTGCAAGTATACAATATACATTACATCTCTAGAATCTATTCATCCCGCCTAACTGAAACTTTGTAACTTTGAGCAACATCTCCCATCTTTCCTACCTCTGAAGCCCTGACAACCACCATTCTATGCTCTGCTTCTATGAATCTGAATTTTTTAGATTACACATATACATGGGCTAATGTAGTATTTGTCTTTCTGTGCCCGGCTTATTGCACCAACATAATGTTCTCCAGGTTCATCTATGTTGTCACCCATAACAGGGTTTTCTTTTATAAGGCTGAATAATATTTCATTGTATATATATTGAGTTAAAATTATAAACAGCAAACCTGGGATATATGTTCTAAGAGGGCAGGGACCTTAATTATCTTGTTCACTCTTCTCTATGACTCCAGAACTTAGAAAGTAGCACTCTAAACGTTTTCGCTTCCGTGCCTCATAAAAGTATTTTAAAAATTCATATCCCAGTGTATACTTTTAAAAGTTGACATCGAGCTAGGCACAGTGGCTCATGTCTGTAATCCTAGCACTTTGGGAGGCTGAGGCAGGCAGATTTCTTGAGCCCAGGAGTCCAAGACCAGCCTGGAAAAAATGGTGAAACATCGTCTCTACCAAAAATACAAAACATTAGCCAGGCATGGTGGTGTGCACCTGTAGTCCCAGCTATATAGGAGACTTAGGAGGCAGGATTGTTTAAACCCAAGAGTTTGAGGTTGCAGTGAGCCATGATCTGGCCACTGCACTCCAGCCTGGGCAACGGAGTGAGACTCTGTCTCAAAAAAAAAAAAAAAAAAAAAAAAAAGACATCTAAAAACTCTTTTCACAACTTCTGGGAATGGATTATTTTCTGGCATGATGTTTCATAAGTGCTCTCACTATATTTTCGTCAAAACTGTGGATTTGCAAGTTTAGCTTGTCCAATTTATGGAACATGTCGGCCATATTGTTTCATTGGCAAAGCCAGTCCTCTTTGTCCAATTAAATAATCCAAATTATTTTACTTAATTTTTAACAAGCTTAAAGTTTGCCTTTATCTTTTTTCCTTTTAAATTAATTAATTAATTTTACCCAGAACTATATAAACTATCCTTTATTTTGTAAATCAAATAAAAGTGTTAATATACCAGTCCTTCCTTATCCGTGGGAGATACATTGCAACACCCCTCAGTGGATGCCTGAAACCGTGAATAGTACCAAGCCCTATATATATACTATGTTTTTTCAATCCAGTAATTCAGAGGGCTAATAAGTGACTAATGGGTGGGTAGTGTAGACAGCATGAATTTGTTGGGCAAGGGGGGATTCATATCCTGGGCAAGACAGAATGGGACGGTGGAGATTTCATCATGCTACCAAGAAATGGCATGCATTTTAAGACCTATGAATTGGTTATTTCTGAATTGGTTATTTAAGCCTATGAATTGGTAATTTTCCACTTAATATCTTGAGCACATAAGTAGGGGGGACTACTGTGCATGTTCCTGAAATGGCATTTGCAAAATTATGACAGTAAGAGAAATTTGACATCTTGCTTCACAGGCTGTCTGTCTTTGCTCATTTCTGGGCATGGGCCAAGCTAACTTTGTGGAAAATTTAGTTTATAGTTGAAATGATATTAGCCCTTCCCCAAAATCAAAGTGTTCTTGTAAAACTAATGCAAGGCAACTAAACTATGAGAATGAGAGGGACTTGAATTCTAAATAATTGTCAGCCATTATTCTGGAGGTCAGATTTGCAACTTCTGCAATAACTCTTGCAGATAACATTACTATTGTAGAACCTAAGATTGGCCTTTTGAGATGTCTTTTCAGGTTTGTGCATTTCTGACAACCGGGTGGCCCCACCTGGACCCACCAGTCAGTCCTGTGGCCCCTACCCAGGAACTGACTCAGCACAAGAGGACAGCTTCGATTTCTTATGATTTCATCTCCAACTCAACCAGTTAGCATGTTCCCTACCCTACCCCACTGCCCAGCAAACTATATTTGAAAAACCCCTAACCTAGGAGCCTTCAGGGAGATTGATTTGAGTAATAACTCCGTCTCTTACACTGTGTGGCCAGACTTGTGTCAATTAAACTTTCTTTATTGCAATGCCATGGTGCCCATGAGTCAATTTTGTTGTGCAGCAGGCAGGAAGAATCCACTGGGTGGTTACATCACTCTGATACCTTATTTCTAAGTTCTGAGAAAGATGGAGGGAGGGATGGACAAGCTGGTGGATAGACAAAGGGATAGGCAGATAGATCTCTATCTTCAAGATAAAGGAGGAAATAAAAACAGTCAATCATTTTACTAAGCCCTCTTTGTTTAGCGCTCAAGGATATGCCCTGTGGAAAAATAGGTTCTTCAATGAGAACACTTGGACACAGGAAGGGGAACATCACCCACCGGGGCCTGTTGTGGGGTGGGGGGAGGGGGGAGGGATAGCATTAGGAGATATACCTAATGTAAATGACGAGTTAATGGGTGCAGCACACCAACATGGCACATGTATACATATGTAACAAACCTGCACGTTGCGCACATGTACCCTAGAACTTAAAGTATAATAAAAAAATATATCTATATATATATATAAAGAAAGTGTTTTCAAAAAGAAAAGGAAAAATATGTTCTAGAAGTGTCCCTTGTTCAATTCCTGTTAGTTTACACCCAGGCAATGTGGAGTCCTAATTTAGGGAGGGGGAGTTGGGCTGGTAAGGATGAAGGAAAGCAAAAAGAAAAGGCAGGTAAGCTATAAGTCTACCTTTCTTCGTGGTTCAGGATACATAGTCCTCCTGTGCAAATTACTCACCATCTTCCTGCACCCAGCTATTACCAGACACCTCAGCTGATAGAAAAATGCAAGTTAGCTCACTGCAACCTCAGCACTATCAGTACTGCACAAAGCCCTCTTAACACACAGCCCAAGCACCATTCTGTCAAATCCCGAGCAAACGTTTGTTTCCTGGCAGTCAGCTCCTCTCTTGCTGATTTGCTTGTTGCACCCTTGCAACATACTTTCCTGCTTTGTCTAATAAATCTGCCTTTCTTTACCTACAACTGTATTGATGAATTCTTTTTACCACCTGCGTGACACGGGCCCCAGAGAGTCGCTACCCACGACAGGCAATGGAAAAGGGTGCTATGCTTTTCTTTGTGGAAGGGGAGATGTAAAAGGAGAATTGGAAAACTGAGTTTGCAGGCCAATCAATTTTAGAAAAGAGTATACAAAAATTCAGGATTTCCCTAGTATATCTGGGCCCACAGATCCCTTTGAAGGGTCTTCCCAACTGTGCTATATGCACCTCAGGGTACAGGACTTCCAAATCTCCCAACCAAAAAAAGGGGGGAATTGGGTACTAGCCCAGGTGGAGAGACTGGCAAAAGTGAGAGCATATAGGAATTTGTAAGTTGTACAGGACTTCCTGTACCCCGAGGTACGTATAGCCCAGCTGGGAAGACTGTTCATCTTGTTGACCTAAAGGAAGAAACTGAAGCAAAATTAATATAAGTAGAGAGTCTATTTGGGCCAGGGTTGAGGTCTACAGCCTGGGAGTCATGGATTCAAGTTGCCCTGAATATATGCTCCGATTAGCAGCCGTTACAAGTGGATTAAAGATTAAAAAAAAGATGAAAAAGTTAGGATGCAGTTCCTAAGCTGCTTACCAAGAATTTACAATGGTTCATTAAAATAAGCTATCATTTGTCTATACATTGATCTTTGTACCACAAACCCCAGGAACGTGAAGATAATAGGTGAGGGTCACATTGTGTAACTTGTGGTAACATTGTGGGTAATTTATCAGCTAGTCTGAAATTACAGAAAACGAAAGAGAAAACAAAATGCCTCTAAGCAATTACCCCCAGGCATGGGTGCCGAGGATGTGACAGGTGTCTCCTGCTCCTGTCTGGGCCTAACCAATTTTGCATATCTCACATTCCTCAGACTGCTCTGAGCCACTTTCTCAATGTAGAGCAGTGCTTGACACAGGGCATTGCTCTAAAAGTGTTTCTTAATTGAATGAGTAGGAAGGTTCTATGCAGTGAGACTAGCAAATGCAAATGAGGCAGGAGCTAAGTTTAGAGTATGGTCGATGATGGACTGCTCATGTGATGATGGTACCATAAGATTATAATGAACCTGAAAAATTTCTATCACCTAGCGACAACCTTGATGAGTCTGACCCTGTGTAGGCCTAGGTTAATGTGTATGTTTGTGTCTTAGTTTTTAACAAAAGAGTTGTAAAAGTGGGAAAAAACCTCTAGAATAAGGCTATAAAAATGTTTTTGTACCTTTGTACGTTGTTTTGTTTTAAACAACTGTTATTATAAAAGAGGCAAAAAATTAAAAAATTAAAATGTTTATAAAGTAAAAATGTTACAGTAAGCTAAGGGTAATTTATTACTGACGAAAGAACATTTTTAATTTTTTATTTCTATTTTTGTAGAGATGGGAATCTCGCCATTTTCCCAGGTTGGTCTTGAACTCCTGGGCTTAAGGGATCTTCCTGCCTCTTCTGGGTTTACAGGCGTGAGCCAACATGGCTGGCCAAAATTTTTAAAGTAAATTTAGTGTAGCCTAAGTGTACAATGTTTAAAGTCTACAGTAATGGACAGTAATATCCTAGGCCTTCACATTCACTCACCACTCACCCACTGATTCACTCAGAGAAATTTCCAGTTTTGCAAGTTCCATTGATGGAAAGCCCCTATACAGGTGTTCTTTTTTTAATCCTTTTTTTTTTTTTTAATTATTGTTTTGAGATGGAGTCTCGCTCTGTCACCCAGGCTGGAGTGCAGTAGCGCCATCTTGGCTCACTCCAACCTCCACCTCCCTGGTTCAAGTGATTCTCCTGCCTCAGCCTCCTGAGTAGTTGGGATTACAGGCATGCACCACCATGCCCGGCTCATTTTTTGTAATTTTAGTAGAGACAGGGTTTCGCTATGTTGGCCAGACTGGTCTTGAACTCCTGACCTCAGGTGATCCACCCGCCTCAGCTTCCCAAAGTGCTGGGATTACAGGCGTGAGCCACTTCACCTGGCCCTATTTTTTATCTTTCATTCCCTAATTTTACTGTACCTTTTCTATGTTTAGAAACACAAATACGTCCATTGCATTACAGTTGGCATTACAGTATTCAGGACAGTAATGTGCCATACAGGTTTGGAGCCTAGGAGCAATAGGCTACACCATATAGCCTGTGTGTGGAGTAGGCTCTACCATCCAGGTTTGTGCAAGTACACTCTCTGATGCTCACACAACAAAATTGCCTAATAGCACATTTCTCAGAATCTGTCCCCATCGTTAAGTGATACATTACCGCATTTGAAAAAAAAAAGGCCGGGCGCGGTGGCTCACGCCTGTAATCCTAGTACTCTGGAAGGCCGAGGCGGGAGGATCACGAGGTCAGGAGATCGAGACCATCCTGGCTAACACGGTGAAACCTGTCTCTAGTAAAAATACAAAAAATTAGCCGGGCGTGGTGGTGGGTGCCTGTAGTCCCAGCTACTCAGGAAGCTGAGGCAGGAGAATGGCGTGAATCCGGGAGGTGGAGGTTGCTGTGAGCCGAGATCGTGCCACTGCACTCCAGCCTGGGTGACAGAGCAAGACTCTGTCTCAAAAAAAAAAAAAAAAAAGGAGGGGGGGATTGGGTACTGGCCCAGATGCAGAGATTGGCAAAAGTGAGAGCATATAAGAATTTGTAAGTTGTTGGGGCTCGGAAACCGATACCCCAAAATATGGTGCTTTGACATACTGAAGCGAAGAACACTCAAGGTTTCTCTGACCTTCTCCCTCACCCCATCTTTCCCAAAGAAGTTACAGTTTCTTTATCTGCCTGAGATCCAGACACACTAAGTAAGGCACATCAAGGACGACTCTTTTTTCTTCCCTTTCCTGTAAAACCAACAGTGTAGCCACACTTGAACAGACCTTTTCACAAGATAATGTACACGTTAATATCTGTTCCCTAATCCATCCATTCTCCCTAAAAATCCCCTCAACAGAACTCCTCTTCCCCCACTCCCATAATCTGTTTTGCCAGGATGACATATACACTTAGGCACCACCTTGCGGGGTGAGCAATTAATTACTCAGTGGTTGCACTGAGTAATACACAGCAAATTTGTAAATACCCTGTGTATATACCCTGTGAATATACAGCAAATAAACTTGTATGCCTTTTTACCCACTAATCTGCCTTTTGCAAGTTGATTTTCCAGTGAAACTTCAGGAGGCCAAGGGGAAAGCTTTCCCTTTCCCTTTACCCACGTAAAGTCAAGGCAGGGGTTTTTTATTTTATTCTATGCACAATGGGAACCATTAGAGGGTTTGGATGAGTAGATGGGTGGTGAATTTTTGTTGGGTGGTGTTGGCTGGGCACGGTGGCTCACGCCTGTAATCCCAGCACTTTGGGAGGCTGAGGCGAGCGGATCACGAGGTCAGGAGGTCGAGACCATCCTGGCTAACACGGTGAAACCCCGTCTCTACTAAAAATACAAAAAATTAGCCGGGCGTGATGGCGGGCGCCTGTAGTCCCAGCTACTTGGGAGGCTGAGGCAGGAGAATGGCGTGAACCCGGGAGGCGGAGCTTGCAGTGAGCTGAGATTGCTCCACTGCACTCCAGCCTGGGTGACAGAGCGAGACTGCGTCTTAAAAAAAAAAGAAGGGTGGTGTTATGGGCTGAAATGTATTCCCCCAAAGTTCTTAAAGTCCTAACGCCCAATATCTCAGAATGTGACTATTTGGAAATAGGGTCTTTAAAGAAGTAATAAGTTAAAATGAGGTCAAGAGGGCCAGGCAAAGTGGCTCATTCCTATAATCCCAGCACTTTGGGAGGCCAAAGTGGGCAGATCAACTGAGGTCAAGAGTTTGAGACCAGTCTGGTCAACATGGCAAAACCCCATCTCTACTAAAAATACAAAAATTAGCTGGGTGTGGTGGCATGCACCTGTAATCCCATCTACTCAGGAGGCTAAGGCAGGAGAATCACTTGAACCTGGGAGGCAGAGGTTGTGGCGAGCTGAGATCGCGCCACTGCACTCCAGCCTGGGTGATGGAGAGAGGCTCCATCTCAAAAAAAAAAAAAAAAAAAAAGAGGTCATGAGGATGGGCCCTAACTCAACATGACTGGTGTCCTCATAAGAGGAGATTAGGACGCAGATACAGACACACACAGAGGTAAGACCATGTGAACACACAGGGAGAAAGTGGCCAAGGAAAGAGTCCTCTGAAGACACTGACCCTACCTGCCAGGACCTTGATCTCAGAATTCCAAGAAGTTCAGGTCAGCAATGATAAATCAAAATGGTAGCAGAAAAAAAAATGGATAGATTTATGATATATTTTAGAGACAGAATTGGCAGAACTTGCTGGTGGATTAGGAGTCTAAAAATGAGGACATGGGTTAAGAGTGTCAAGTGGCTGGGCATGGTGGGTCACGCCTGTAATCCCAGCACTTTGGGAGGCAGAGGTGGGCAAATCATGAGGTCAGAAGTTCGAGACCAGCCTGGCCAACATGGTGAAATCCCATCTCTACCAAAAATACAAAAATTAGCCGGGAGTGGTGGCGGGTACCTGTAATCCCAGCTGCTCAGGAGGCTGAGGCAGGAGAATCACTTGAACCCAGAGGTGGAGGTTGCAGTGGGCTGAGATCGCACCACTGCACGCCAGCCTGGGCAACAGAGTGAGACTGTCTTAAAAAAAAAAAAAAAGAGTCAAGAGAAGAATGATGAGGTTCATAAATTTGGAGAGGACAGCTTTATTTCACATAAAGAGTTGCATGCTGCAGGTGGCCACTCTGACAGGCTGGAAAGTGTAGCCTCCAGCCAGTAGCTGAAAACATGCACTTTGAGGGAAGGGCAGAGGAAAAAAGAATGTGTGCTGAGCAGGTGGCCAAATATATATATTTAATAAGCTGTAGGAGGGGTCACTAATATCTATGAAAGGAGAAACGTGTGCCTGCGCAACTGAGCTTCATGCCCCTTCATGGGACCCCTGTACAAAACATGGTGTCCTTACCATGATCTGAGGGTGGAGCTTCTGGGCCTCTGATGTCAAAAGGCGAAGGGGAGGATATGAAAACCCTCCCTGCACATCCGTTGTAAACTGGCCAGAACCATTCAGTGGTGGGTGGCCTCTTATCAGGAAGGAATGCATGTTGGTTGTTGTGGTGAAATGGCAAAAGGGAGGGGGAGTTGGTGGAAATCAGCGGTGAAGCCAGGCTTTCCAAAGGTCTGGTTTCTGTTTAGATTTTAGGAAAGAATGCCTACTGGAAGCTAGGGAGGGCGGGGGTATAAGGAGGTGTGTCCCACCTCCAGATGCCGTCCCGGGCTCTCCTTGGCCAACAGGATAGGACATCCATTCAGTCCGTCATGGGGCTTAGGATTTTGGTTTTACTTCTCAAGAGAAAATGAACTGACTAGGAAGAAATGAAAAAAGCTATGGGGAGGGAAAGAATGACTGGAACCTTAAATTTTCCTTCTAGTGGTAAAGTTTTAATGACCCAGCTCTGATCACACACTACTTGTTTCCATAGGGAATAATGTTGATTTCCCCATCAATCTGTAAATGCTGTTTACTAGTTTTTAACTTTCTAAATCAACTCACAGCAGAGGAAGCTTTAGGATTACATGATTACAGAGCAGTGCGTAAATGTGATACCCTTTTTTAAACTATATAAAAATAATAATGTAACTAAGAAAAATTAGAAGTTGTGGCTGGGAAGGAGAAAGGGTAAGTATGTGCCATAATGTCCTCATCTTTATGGTGATGAGTGGAGAGGTCTTACTGAAGATGATGAATAAAAATAATACAGGCCATTTTTATTTTATTTTATTTATTTTTGAGACAGAGTCTCACTCTATCGCCCAGAGGTGGAGTGCAGTGGCACAATCTTGGTTCACTGCAACCTCCGCCTCCCAGGTTCAAGCAATTCTCCTGCCTCAGCTTCCCAAGTAGCTGGAACCACAGGCCCACACCACCCCGCCTGGCTAATTTTTGTATTTTTAGTAGAGAAGGGGTTTCACCATATTGGCCAGGCTGGTCTCAAACTCCTGACCTCAGGTGATCCACCTGCCTTGGCCTCCCAAAGTGCTAGGATCACAGGCATGAGCCACCGTGCCTGGCCTACTGAGCATTATTTTATTTTTAAATTTTATTTATTTATTTTTTTAGAGACAGAGTCTCGCTCTGTCACCCAGGCTGGAGTGCAGCGGCATGATCTCGGCTCACTGCAACCTCTGCCTCATGGGTTCAAGCAATTCTCCTGCCTCAGCCAAACGAGTAGCTGGGACTACAGGCGCATGCCGCCACACCCGGCTAATTTCTTCTGTATTTTAGTAGAGACAGGGGTTTCACTGTGTTGCCCAGGTTGGTCTTGAACTCCTGAGCTCAGGCAACCTGCCCGCCTCGACCTTCCAAAGTGCTAGGATTACGGGAGTGAGTCACTGCACCTGGCCCAGACCATTGTTAAAAAGTGGAAACCACCAGATAAACTACTGTGAGTGGTAGATTGCAGAGGGTGGGGGTGTCTTTTATTGTATATCTCATACCCTTCTACAGAATTGTGAGAATTTTTTTTTTTTACTGTATTGCCAAAGGATGAATTATAGCCAATTTAAAGATCTCAGTTGGCTTTATTGCAATTCTACAATTGGGCAATGCTTCGGTCCATGAAATAGAATCAGTGTTCCAAAGCGCTGAGCAGAATAGGCTGGCTTCATAGAGAAGGCCTGAAGGAAGCAGAAGCTAAGAACAGGATGTATTAGTCCTTTCAAAGTTACTTTTCTCATAAGATAGGGACATAATAGAATAATAGAAAAATAACTGCGTAGTTAACGACAGTTTCCTTCAGGCTACCTTTTTGCCTGTAAGGATTAAGGCAGAGGGAACTTCTTCATGACTGAAGGACTGAAGGCTTCAAAGGACCTGTCTGGGAAATTGGGTGTTCTCTCTCTCCCGATTTCCCTGAAGGTCAGGTAACTTAGTTTAGGTTTGGTGACATGAAACTTGAGCATGGGTGACTCCATTCTGATTTTTAGTCTGGTCTGTTGGGGCCTGGTGCAGGAGCTTAGTCCAAAACCATGGCCTCCTATCATTTTTACTTAATGATGTGTATCAATTACTTACATAATAATTGAAAACTAAGTCTAATTTTTTTCAAAAAAGACACTAGGCTCCCATCCTGAGGCTCTGGGAGAGGGCACGCTCTTTGAGACAGAGTCTCACTCCATTGCCCAGGCTGGAGTGCCGTGGCACGATCTCGGTTCACTGCAACCTCCGCCTCCCAGGTTCAAGCAATTCTCCTGCCTCAGCTGTGCACTCTCCTATGCACAGTGAGAATGCCCCCAAGCACACGGTGACTCTCCTAGGGAGGGGTGGGGCTGAGACAAAGCCCTGACCTAGGAGGAGGCAGGTCCCCTGATCCTTGAAAACCTCTCTTTTTCCCTCTCCCTCCTATCACAAGGGTGGTGGGAAGGCCCACCCAGGGTGCGTGAGCCACTGCGCCCGGCCCCAGATGTTTTCATCATCACTATTTTTGCCATTTCTTTGTTTCACCTAAGTACATATTTTTCTTTAAATTGATTCACTTTATTAACTTAAATATTTACTTATCCTCATCTTAAACAGTAATATCTGTGAAAGCATGGGTTTGATGGACAAGTTATATATTATGTATATTAAAACAAATATGACTATAAATATAAAAATTCACCCATGTACCACCTAACATTATCTCCTGTCACCAATCATACACTTATGCCTCCCTCTGGGGAAACAGTGCATCCAGTCACTTGTTGTCATAGCAGCCTGCAGAGAGGGTTGAAAACCATTTGGAAGTGTGTGCCCACATTCGTGTTGGTACTTGGCAGGATTGGAATTAGAACTTTGGTCTTAGCTTAATTCACTCACTGAACAAGTGTTGGAGGGTCTGCCATCTGTCAGGGACTGTCATGGCCCCAGGGCTAAAATAGTGAACAAGATATGCATGGTGCCTGCCCTGTGTCTCCAACATCCTAATAAACAGACAGATAAAACTAAAGAATCAAATACATAAATGCAAATGGTAAAAAGTACTGCAATGGCAAGCTTGTGTTCTTTTGTTACTCTAATTAGCTTCATGTATATTTATCAGCTACTCTGTGGTTGGTTGCAAATTTATTACTTACCACATTCTCCTAAATACATTTATTCAGGCCAGTGCCATGGCTCACGCCTGTAATTCCAGCATTTTGAGAGGCTGAGGCGGGCAGATCAGTTGAGGTCAGGAGTTCAAGTCTAGTCTGGCCAACATGGTGAAACCCTGTCTCTACTAAAAATACAAAAATTAGCCAGACGTGGTGGTGTATGTCTGTAGTCCCAGCTACTTGGGAAGCTGAGGCAGGAGAATCACTTGAGTCTAGGAGGCGGAGGTTGCAGTGAGCTGAGATCACACCACTGCACTCCAGCCTGGGTGACAGAGCGAGACTCTGTCCCAAGAAAATAAAAATAAAAAAAATACATTTATTCAGTCCCAAGGGCCCTGAGAAAAACCTTACCAAAGGTGTAGGCCAAACTCGTAAGGTTTAGTTATTCCCAGAATCATCTAGAATATAACAACTAGAAAATACTCCCTACTAGAATATAACAATTTTCCTACCATCCATTAGCAACGTACATCTCTCCTCTACCTAATCTCATTGAATCTTCACCTCACTCAATGAAGAAGGGAAGGCATCTCATCTTGCTCAAAGTCCTGGAGTTGGAGGTAGGTGCAGTGTGGACATGGCACTCAGGACTTCTCTTTTCCAGAGTCTCATCTTTTTCTACTGCCCTTCAAGCAATGGAGACGGAGAGGTATGTTACAGTTTTACCTGGGAGTCTAATAGTGCATTTCAAGAATGAGGGCAGTAATTTATCTACTGACATATTCATACATGTGCGAAAGGATGTATAGACAAAGAGAGAAATTAGGCACTGTCAAAGCAAGTGACTGGTGACAACAGACGTGTCCGTCAATTAACTGATGGCACATCCATTCAGTGGAATACTACATAGTTGTATGAATGAGTAGATATCTTATCGAGATAAGATACCAGACACCTTTTTTTTTTCCTTGAGATGGAGTCTTACTCTGTTGCTCAGGCTGGAGTGCAGTGGCGTGATCCCGGCTCACTGCCACCATGCCTGGCTCTTCAGCGAATTTAAACATTATGTGTGTGTTAGCTCCCAATCACTTCCGCTTCTTTATGCTGTGGAGTCACAAGTGTGTTTGGGGGCAGGGGGTGATGTCCTGAGCTGGATGGGAGGGGGGTCTGCACCCTGGCACCTGACAAAACCAGCTTTTAGTACTTCTGTTCTACACAGAGCCTTTCCGGCTTCCTGATTAGAATGACAAAGATGTAGAGACTAAATACACCTTTGAGGCAGATTTTTCATCACATCCATTCATTCAATTCATTTCACAAATATTAAGAACCCACTCTACATCAGACCTAACAAAAACAAGGCAAATGAGGTCCCTGCTTTAAGAACTTATGCTCCAGGGTGGAGAGGGATCTTGAGGGGTGAGGCTCCAGCTGAGACCTGAAGGGTGAGAAGAAGCTGGCTATGTGAAGTCGATGTGAAGACATGGAGGAAGAGTGCACCAGGCAGAAGGAATTAGGACTGCAAAGTGCTGGTGGAGGGAAGGAGAAAAAGAAAGGCCAGCGTGGCTGGAGACTGCTTAGCAAGGGGATAGTTAACTAGAAGAATCTTAGTCATTAGCCTTCTTGAGATACAGAAAGCACATGTGCATATTGCAAAAAGGTCTGTACTCAAAGGCAACCGTTGCCTTTAGGAGTGGGAGGACCAAACCCAGTGAGGTTTGCTGTCTTTTTTCAGAGTAGTATCCTAGTATCCTGCCTTTCTCCCCACCCTGTGCAGAGAAACCACAGGAATTTGTGACTTCATTCTTCAAGACCAAGGATTCTACGGCTCTACAATTAGGGCCTCATGTGGTGTGCTGTGGTAACGCCACCGTGAAACAGAAGCTGGAGCTGAAAGAAAATAGAGATTTTGGAGTTGAAAGATGGAATTAGCATCCTAGCTGTAGCCATTTATTATTTATGTGAGCTTGAGGGGGTCATTTCACATTTCCCGGCTTTGTTTCCTGAAGGTCCTGGAAAAGACACATGCACAATTATAAGTGAACATTTATTTATTTTTAAATTTCTCTCTAGGCAAACAATGGAATGTATTGGTGGTTTGCTGGTGAACCGTTTATAGAGAATTCAACTCCATCCATGGCTGGAAGAGGGTCTGCTGCCTTCCGCAGAGGTGGTCTGGTTCTCCCCACAAATGCCCCGACAGCTGAAGTGATGCTGAGATGCACTTCTTCAGGCAGGAGGATTTGCTCCATGTAGCTTTTCCTATACACAGGGAGGGCGTTTACAGCTCTGCTTCATAGCAGCGGATGCTGCAGGGGTATGAGGGGCTGACCCTTGCTGGGACAACTGAGCACAGATGAATGTGTCACTGAGAAGGAATTCCATAACACATGTGACTTTCAAAGTTTTTATTGAGTCCAAATGGACTGCAGATACAGTGAGGATGCTGCTGCCTTTTGTGCCAATGAATTCAGGCTCCAAGATCCCCAGGACACCCCCATTCTGTCTCCATCTCTTGCATCTGCTTTCCTTTGCAGGTTGACCTCATTTTCCTAATCCCATTGCCCCCATGAAGCTGGAACCATGGCCAGAGGTAGCCTTGGGAAGAGAAAATCTCATCTCTAACCTTTGAGTGGAAAATGCTAAGGAATGGTTCTGAATGGCTCAGCTGGACCCCATGCCTCTCCTTGGTCTAATCATGGGAGCCAAAGGGATGGGTCACTTACAGCCAGCTTGGGGCATTTGCCCCGTTGCTGTGGCCAATGCCCTTAACAGAAGGGCAGAAAAGATCATGGGGTCAGCAAAGAGAGCAGCCTCCTCAAAGCTCAGAGGAGTGTAGGCACAGGTGCCACAGAGCAGCACGAGACCATCCTTGTGCTCTACAACCTAGTACAATTGAGTTGGGGAAGGTGTTGATTGATACTCATATGAAGACATTACGAAGTAAACCCTGAATGTGTCTGGTGGAATTCAATGGAAGGAGAGAGAACATCAGAGATTGATGTGTTCAGAGACGTGAAGCCACGGGGCAGGAGGAAGCCCTGGGCCAGTGGTGAGAAATCGGGCTGGATAGCAGCTATACAGGGGGGCCTGGAAGCCACAGGGGGAAGAAGAGTAGATTCTACACCACTATAGGTTCCTTATACATGAGGAGAGACAGCCAGGTAAGGAGTATGCTGGGGAGAGGGGGAAGAGCCTCAGCAGCAAGTGAAGGTGGCACCACTCCCTCCATCACCGCCCATGGGTTCCCAGTAGCCTGGAGAAGGCCATGAATTTCAGCGTTCCCTGTGTGACTCACCAATAGGATGCGGGCCTCACCATTTTGCCTGTCTCTGCCTGGGTTTCACTCACTTTATACCAGTGGGGCTCTCAAATTGCGGTGTGCATAAGACTTACAGAGGGAACATGGGTAAAACACTGGCACTGGGGACCGTCCCAGGGTGGGCGGGATAGTTCAGTGGGTCTAGAGAGGACCTGACAGTCTGCATTTTATTTTTATTATTATTATTTTTTTGAGATGGAGTTACGCTCTTGTTGCCCAGGCTGGAGTCAATGGCGCCATCTCGGCTCACCGCAACCTCCGCCTCCTGGGTTCAAGCCTTGGCCACCCAAGTAGCTGGGATTACAGGTATGCGCCACTACGCCCAGCTAATTATGTATTTTTAGTAGAGACCAGGTTTCTCCATGTTGATCAGGCTGGTCTCGAACCCCCGATCTCAGTTGATCTGCCCGCCTCAGCCTCCCAAAGTGCTGGGATTACAAGCATGAGCCACCGCGCCAGCCAGTCTGCATTTTTCTTTTTTTTTTTTTTTTGAGACGGAGTCTTGCTCTGTCACCCAGGCTGGAGTGCAGTGGCACAATCTCAGCTCACTGCAAGCTCTGCCTCCCAGGTTCAGGTCATTCTCCTGCCTCAGCCTCCCGAGTAGCTGCCCGCCACCACGGCCGGCTAATTTTTTGTATTTTTAGTAGAGACAGGGTTTCACCGTGTTAGCCAGGATGGTCTCAACAGTCTGCATTTTTAATAGGCTGCCCCAGGTGATTCTGATATAGCTGGTGCAACTTGCTTTGCTGAGTGGTGCAACAGACTTTGAGAAAAGTTGCACAGGGTAATGTCAGAGAGGAAGGAGGAAGAGATTTGTGGCTGTTGCTATTTGTTAGAAACTGACTTCTGATTGTCTGCAGTAGACCCTGCAAAGCTCTGAGCTGGGTAGGAATAGGGGCCACAGGAGCAGCATGAAGCACAAGCTGTAGCACCTACCAGCCCCTGGGTTGGGGACGACATGGGATGATGCTCATATGAACAAACTGTGAAGTCATCTCTCTCTGGGTGGGGTGGAATTCCATAGAAGGAGACAGTACAGAGAGCATATCCCCAGTCTAACTTGGGGATGTGGATTCCCAATGAGCCGAGCAGTCATTTTAATTTAATGAGCAAATGAAAACAGTGGGCAAAAGAAAAAATAAATGTTTCCAGGACTGCGGATGGGTGGGAAAGAAATGACTGGAAAGGGGAGAGTCAAAAATCAGGGAAACAGATGAAGTGAGGGGTAGGAAAGAAAAAGAGAGCAAGAGGAAGATTCTTTTTGAAAGGCCACTTTATTGATGGAGATAAAACTGAATGGAGTTCCCCACAGCCCTCCCCTCACTCATGTTAGTGGCTTCACTGGGCATCTGAGACCAGCGTGGCCTGTCACCCACATAGACTAGGCTGCTTAGCCCACCCAGCCTATCACACTGCCCGCTCCACGTTGGGCAGCCACATAAAAACACGTCACAGCTCAAGAAGATCCGTGGATGCACCTCTGAATCCCCCCCAATGGTTTCTGTGCATTTTTTTAATATTGTACAAAATATGTTAACTAGGAAAAATTAGCTGTACTGTGACAAGTGCGGGACGTCCTATTAGGATTACCGTCCCCCAGGCATTACTTCTTATTGCAGTAAGACCTCTAAAAGGTGGAGCTGTACAAACCAAAAAAAATCTAAACGATTTTAAGAAGAGCAGCAACTCAATACTGCTTTAGTTCATTTAAATTTTCTTTCCCAAAAATACACTCCTAAATATACAAACTATACAATCTTATTATTTTAATGCTGGTTTTTTTTGTTTCTGTTTTTGTGTGTGTGTGTGTTTTGTTTTTGTTCTGTTTTTAATAACAACAGTAGGACCCAAACTAAAAAGTCGGTTCATCTTCAAACCAACAAGAGCACTAGAGGACTTGTGACTCAGTACCTTCATATAACACCACATAAATAACTTTAGCCACAGTCAATGTTCACAGCCTGGTCAGTGGAACAAAGGAAATACTTTTCTGGCGATTAGACGTCATCTGCAGAGAGAGCTGGGATATTCATCCGAGGCCGGGTGAAAAATGCCATCTTCTCCCTATAAGAGAGGCCATCCCTTTAGAGCAGGGGTTTTCAACCTCGCTCTACAGAGATTCTGGGCAGGATAATTCTTTGTCGTGGGAGCTGTCCTATACATTCGCTGCAGAATGTTTAGCAACGTCCTTGGCCTCTTACCCTCTAGATGCTGGCTGTATCCTTGACCTCCAGTTATGACAACCCAAAACGTAAGCTCATTGCCAAATGTTCCAGGGGGAAGGGGAGAAATCACCCCTGGTTGAGAACCACTGCTTTAAAAGACCATTAGCATGAACGATGACTCTTAGTTCAAATCCAGTCAGAGGCTTCTCAGTTTAAAAGGACCCTTGGGCCACTTCTAATGTTTGTTTGTTTCAGATTCTCAATTTGTTAAAAAGTTAAGAGATGCCCAAAGATAGTTGTACAAATATACATTTTAAATGTTTATATTCCACAAAGGAATTTTTTTTTTTTTAAAGCACATACACAAACATGTGTACCTTGTTTGAGAGGACATCAGAAGTCTAAACGCTAGGGCCTCTGTGGATGGGAGGCCCAGGCCAAATGGCATTCGGGACCCTCCGAGAATACACCCGGGTCCAGCATGGCAAGATAGCACCTCCCTGAGATCCTAGCAGGTGGCAGGCAGAGCCAGGGAGGCCCAGCGAGCATCCATCACCCCTAGGTTTATTTATCATTCAGCCAACCCTCCACAATTACCAGTAAGGAAAACACTACGAGGAAAGGCTGGAGCAGGTGGCTCATTCATTAAACAAGAGGATCTAACAAATTAGCTCGAGTTGTGTGGGGACTGATAAAGACAGCCAAGGGAAGAGCGCTGCAGAGCTCATGGATCGCCAGGGATGGCTTGGCGGAGGATGAACATCTGTTACAGGGAAAGCCAGTGCTCTGTGAGCAAGGGATGAGAGCAGTAAGACCACAGACAGAAGACTAAGGCCGTGGGTTGGCTGAGAAAGGGATGGGGGGCTGCCGGGGCCCTCTGCTTACCTGAAAGACTGAACTTCTGGGGGTTCCTTACAGCTCTGGCCTCGGAGCCTGTGCACATCCTTGGCAGCTGCCCTCATCATCTTGTCTGTCTGAAGCTCACCCTTGTGCTCCGCTCGGTCCATCTGCTGGGCAAAGCAAGCAAGGCCCTGAGTCAGTGGAGGGGGCCTCCAGAAAGGGGCAAGGAGAACTCGCTATCACAACAGAGGGGGCTACTGTAGGGACGGCACCCTCACTCTTGCTCCATGTGGGATCCACTTCATTCAGAACGATAATGGGAAGTGCTCAAATCATCTGTTTGAGTGACTAGATTTTTGGGGCCAGGAAACGGAATAACTGTGGATCTGAGGAATTGAGGAGATGAGGGCTGCCTGTTGAAATGTGCGCTACCTCTAATCCTCAGGCCACCTAGGAGGGTAGATGTTATTACCTCTATTTTACCCAGGGAACTTAGGCTCCAGCAAAGTAAGAAATTTCTTTAATGTCAGACTACTAAGAAGTGGTGGAAACTCAGTCCCAAGCCATGCAGTAGTTCTTAAGAGGCTTGGGTATAACACTATGCCCCTTCCTCCTAATGTAAACGTATGTAAACACTTTTGAGAACAAACCACAGACAGCCCTAAAATATCCACGTACCATATACTTGAAAACATTGCACAAAGACAGAATTTTGGTAAATAAAGCCATCGTTTTTTTTGTTTGTTTGTTTTGAGACGGAGTCTCGCTCTGTCGCCCAGGCTGGAGTGTAGGGGCGCAATCTCGGCTCACTGCAAGCTCCGCCTCCTGGGTTCACGCCATTCTCCTGCCTCAGCCTCCCAAGTAGCTGGGACTACAGGCGCCCGCCACCATGCCCGGCTAATTTTTTGTATCTTTAGTAGAGACGGGGTTTCACCATTCAAAGGATGGTCTCAATCTCCTGACCTTGTGATCTGCCCGCCTCGGCCTCCCAAAGTGCTGGGATTACAGGCGTGAGCCACCGCGTCCGGCCTAAAGCCATCATATCAATGGTTCTTTGTTAGAAGTCATAGATGCTAATTTTTTTTTTTTTTTACTATTTGAAAGGTCAAGTTTTCTAGTTTGTTTTTCTTAAGTCAGGGCACATATTACTTCTCAGTCTTTCGAATAAGATCAAGTGTTAAGGTAGGGCACATAGGCACTTGTTTTCTGATCTCTTTTTGCCTTGGTTACCAGGAAGCTCAAAGATAAACATAATATCTAACTATAATTAGGCTACTTTAGATTTGGGATATATTTATTTCCTCTCCTCCTTCAAGCCTTCCAATTTTCTGTTTTCCCCTCAATGTTCTTGTTATAATCCTGTTTATAAGTAAACAGGGTATAAATAAGAAAGAAATAAACTTTTCTGGAACTTTAGAACTGCCAGAGTCAGTTTGAAGCTCCCATATCAGTCCAGGCCTAAGAAGTCCGGCGTCATCTTCCTGCCCTAGGGCATCACCACCTGTATTCAGCACTGAGATTTCAGCTGATGGTCCTGAGAGTTCAGGTAGGCACCCTCTGTAAGGTGCTCTCAGCAAGGCTGGCTGTGTGCACAGAGAACTAGCAAAAGTCTTTTTTGCCGTGGGTGGCGATCACAGAGTGGCAGGTATTATTTTTCATAAATGAAAAATTTATGAAATTTTTCATATTGGTCCTATATTGGTCCTATATTGGCCCTTGCATATTGGTCCCATATTGTTTATTTCTTCATGGCAGTCTGGGACCTGTTGGCTTAAAAGCCTGCTGGTGCCAAACTCAAATTTTTACCCTTCCAGTTGTTTTAAATATAGCTCAAATAAGCAGCTTTTAAAGCCATATACAACCTTCCTGTTTTGCATACCCTGTGAAACTGTACCCAACATTTGTTAGCCATAGATAGATAAACCCTGGGCCTATAAGAGACCCCAAGCTGCTGCTGTGCTTTGGAGTTCTCTGACCCAGAGACTCCCCATCGTGCTGCAGAGCTACCTAACCTAGATGGTCCCTCTTCCCGAGCTCTCCCCTAGGAGTTCCCTTGCCTTCCTCCACACTGGGCAGTAGCCCCCAGCACCTTTGGAAGGTCTCATGCTGTGAGGGACTTCCCCTGCATGCAAACCTGTCAAAGCGCAGTGCAAGCTAGGCACGCTGGCTCATGCCTGTAATCGCAACACTTTGGGAGGCCGAGGCAGGTTGAATGTTTGAGCCCAGGAGTTCGAGACCAGCCTGGGCAACATGGTGAAACCCCATCTCTACAAAAAATACAAAAATTAGCCGGGCATATTGGTATGCACCTGTCAACACAGTTACTCAGGAGGCTAAGGTGGGAGGATCAATTAGAGCCTGGGAGGTGGAGGTTGCAGTGAGCCATCATGCCACCACACTCCAGCCCGGGCGACAGAGAGAAAACCCATCTCCAAAAAAAAAAAAAAAAAAAAAAAAAAAAGCCCAGCTGATATAAAACTTTGTGTGCTAACACCATTTTGAGGTTATATCTTTCTCCTTGATCAACCCCTAAATCCCTTAAACTCATTATAGCAGGGCAGAGGTGCCAGCCGACTTGTACTCCAGGGCATCCTTGTTAGCAGAAGGCCCTGGTGTGACCAGCCCTTCTCCCCCTTTGGCAAGGGCTGCCCTGTGGGACTTCCTGGGCAGGCATCGAGGCAGGTCAGTGTCCTATTGTTACTCTTTTAAAGTGCGTGCTGTGGCACAGACTGGGTACCCTACGTATTTCATGAAGAACTGCATGATGAGTACATGTGTGAATAATAAGGGCTTGCACACAAAATCACAACAACAAATGCAGTAAATGGGCCTTGCAGCCAGGTGAAAGGTTCATAAAGTTGAGTGTGCAAAGGGATTCCTGGATCCCTCTCCTGATGGGAACGAGGGATGGGTGGAACACCCTCAGTGGAACCTGTGGTGGGAATTGTAGGATGCATCATGAGCTCTGGCCTCTCTTCCCCGGGGCAGTGCCCCCCGACTCTCTGGGGCAGAGCGCAGGGCTCCCCTGCCTTCGAGGCAGAACTCACCCGCTTCTCCAGCATCCTCAGCAGCAGGCGGAAACGCTCGTCCTCACGCAACCACTGTGGCAGCTCCTTCTCCCCGTGGCTCTTGGCTTGTTCCAGCTGCTCCTTGAGCTCCTTCAGCACCGAGATCTCCTGGGTCAATTGGCTGTGCCAGGTTCTTGTCGCCTGCAGGTCTAACTCCAGGTCCAGCGAGGTACGGATCAGACGCTCGGAGCGCAGCGACTTGACCGAGGAAGGCTGTGGGGGTGGGGACGGCTTCTCTTGTTATTAGAGCTCTGCCCAGTGAGCCCACCCAGCCTCTTCCTCTGACCCTCAAATACCCTCTCTTGTAGGCATCCACTCCTTCCGAATGGGGCTTGCCCTTCCCTGGGAAGCCTGTTTTGAATTCTCCCACTCAGCTCATGTTTATTGGGCATTTATTATGTCCCAGGAACGGCACTAAGCACTTCATTTCCATAACCTCGTTTCATTTTCACAAACCTAGGAGGTCCCGAGGGTTATCATCTGCACAGATGAGGCATGCAGAGGTTAAGTCCCACAGGATATGTGTGGTAAAGCTGAAGCTCCACTCCAGGAAGCTGGCTGCAGTCCCCACCCGCCCTCTCTGTACACTGTGCCAGCTTCAGTACTCTCAGCACCCTCCATATGTACGTTCTCAATTATTGATTCCTGTCACTGTACTGTTCTGAAGTTGTTTCCCCAATACAGGTCTGTTCCTGCTTGAGGGCAGAAGTCATGTCTTCTTGACTTTGTGTTCCTGTAATGGGCCCCTATTGTTTCTGCTTGTCCACCATTTGTTTCCCCAGCCTTAGAGTAACAATGCCCTCACCTTCCCTTGGAGACCTCCTCCTCTGCACTCAATCCACCTGGTTTGTGTGGGGCATCAGGGATAGGAATGTGACCTGAACCTGGCCAGTCTGCATCTCAGTGACAGGTTCAGAGGTAAGCATGTTATCAAAGCCCAGCCATTAATACTCAATTCTGGCACTTTGCTGAACTACTTGGAAAAGAGACAATGTCTTTACACAGAGGTTGCTAAGCCTTCAAGATATAAACCTGGGACTGATCATGGTCATCTTTACTTGTGGGGTGACCTGTTTGAGAATTAAGCTGTACAGAGGGAGCAATGCCATGAGAAAGGGGCTGAGGCCTGATGACATCATTTCAACCTCTGGATCAAGCCATGCCTGAAGGTAGTCCAACATCCTGGATTTTTTCATTAAATGAGACAATAAATTCCCTCTTTCATTTTTAAGCTGTATTTGAGTTGGGTTCTTCAGTTATCTATACGTAAAAGACCCTGATTAATACAATCATTAACTCTCCTCCCATCAAAAATCACTAACGATTAAAAAACAATAATTCATGACTGTGGGAGTCAGAATTCTAAAATGGTTTCTCAAATCCCATTGCTAATATACACGCCCTGTATAATCTCCTCTCCTTTCATCAGGTAAGCCCCTAAAAGATGGCCTGGGCTTTTCCTGGCTGGGCTCTTCTGCTGGCCTTAAAGAAGTAAATAAAGCATGTTGTAGAGACCGTCACAGGGCAAAAACCTGAGAGTGACCTCTAGGAGCTGAAAGTGCTCCCCTAAACCCCCAGCTGACAGCTAGCAAGATAATACAAAGTAATAAATTCTGCCAACATCTGGAGGCAGTGCCTGGATCAGATGTTTCCTTAGTCAAGCCTCCAGATGAGTATGTGGCCATTTAACACTTAGAGGTTTCAGCCTGCTAAAACCCTGGGCAGAGCTCAGCTAACCTGTGCTTAAGCTCCTGACCAGCGGAAACTGTGAAGTAAGGCATTTGTATTACTTTAGGCTGCTAAGTTTGTGGTGATTTATTATGCAGCAATAGAAAACAAATACAATGACCAATACAGAGATTTCAGACACAGTATAAGAAGCATTACCATAAGACCTAGTCTCATTTTGCACGGCTGGCAAGCATACTATTAGGAATATAAGACAGCTCTAGGAAGAATTTCTAGAATGCTCTTCTAGGTTGAACATGGTCTGCTCTGCACTTATAAATGAGCAGGATCAAGGAAATCCAGCTGAGTGATCTACGTGGCTCAAGTTCTCAGAGCAACAAATAAAGATTCTTTTGCTTCGTCTGTCCAGTCTCAGAAGTTGGGCAGGCTGCGGTAGAGACAACACAGCTCAGGTAGTGCGTGGAAGCAAGGAGCAGTGCCCAAGGGCCCAGGCCCAGCCTCTGGATTCTCCTGTTCCTCAGGACCCGAGGGAAATGTGGGCTCAGACCCACCATCGGGGCTCCCTTATTAAGTCATTCTCTTGGTTAAGGGGAACAGGGGATGATGAAGGGGACCTGCTCCTGTAGGGCCTGCCTTAGAAGGGAGCTGTGGGAAACGCAGGGGGAGCAAGTAGGAGATCAGTGGCATTTCTGCAGGAGTGGACCATGAACATCTGCTCCAGAAGCCCCTAAGGAGCTTTGTTAAAATGCAGTTTTCAGGGCCCACGCCAGCTGCCTGAATTAAATGGTCAGAAGTGTGGCCTTGTAATCTGCATTGTCACCAAGCTCCCCAGGTAACTTTTGGTGCTCCAGAGACTGCAGTACAAGCCAGCTACAGAAGAGGGGGTTGGGGTGGGGGACCCAGAGTGGGCAGTTGGTTGTCCCTGTCACCTGAGGCCATGTCCACTTTCTCCCACACCCGCACACTCTGCCTTCCCTGTGTAGCCTCCCCTGTGTTGCTGTCTCTCTCCTCTCTCCAGTTCCCCCTCAGACTTGTTAAGGTGTAGGATGTTAGGCAAAGGACCAGATTCTGGCTGTCAGCAGGCAGTGCAGGAAAGGTGGGGGGCCTGCCCCTACTGGGGGCTATTGGCACTATCTTTTCCATCCATGTTCTCTTTTGCTTTCTCTCTCCTTTTTTCTTTCTTTCTTTTTTTTTTTTGAGATGTAGTTTCACTCTTGTTGCCCAGCTGGAGTGCAACGGCGCGATCTCGGCTCACTGCAACCTCCGCCTCCCAGGTTCAAGCAATTCTCCTGCCTCAGCCTCCCGAGTAGCTGGGATTACAGGCATGCACCACCACGCCCAGCTAATTTTGTATTTTTAGTAGAGACGGAGTTTCTCAATGCTGAGGCTGGTCTCGAACTCCTGACCTCAGGTGATCCACCTGCCTCGGCCTCCCAAAGTGCTGGGATTACAGGCGTGAGCCACCACGCCTGGCCCCTTTTTTCTTTCTGACATTCTGGCTCCTGGTTTCTTCTGGTTCTGCAAACTCATTAGACAGAACTGCTTTAAAGTTGTGTTGAAAGCCCAAAGTCGGGAGGGCCCCCTGCATCTCCTGCAGCCCTTAATGGTCAAAGACAAATCAGGGGTCGCTCCTTTGCCTACCCCCACCCCATCCGGATGGCTCAGCTCAGTCTCCACTAGGAAAGGCGAGACTTCCGCAAGGCAAGTCTGCAGCCTCTTCCCTGTGGGCTTCCCGCTGGTCTGAGGGAAGCCCATTTGCACTTCCCTGCTTCAGGCTGGTGCTCAGAGGCACCCAGCTTCTCTGTCACCAGAACCTGGACGACAGACACACTGAGCAGAGTCTTGCATGAGGAAGACTCCTGTCAGATGACGCGCTCTAACTGATGACTGTTGGGTTGGTTAATTCTTCTTTTTTTTTCCTGAGACAGAGTCTCACTCTGTTGCCCAGGCTGGGGTGCAGTGGCGCAATCTCAGCTCACTGCAACCTCTGCCTCCTGCGTTTAAGCGATTCTCCTGCCTCAGCCTCCCAAGTACAGCCTGGGACTACAGGTACACGCTACCACGCCCGGCTAATTTTTGTATTTTTAGTAGAGATGGGGTTTCACTGTGTTGGCCAGGCTGGTCTCAAACCCCAGACCTCAGGTGATCCTCCTACCTCGGCCTCCCAGAGTGCTGGGATTACAGGTGTGAGCCACGGGGCCCGGCTGGGTTGGTTAGTTCTTACTGACTTTGATTTCTATCTAGGAAGGCAAGGCCAAGTGTACACACTCCTCATCTAACCTATTTGTCATAATAAGACAAATACATTTACCCTTCAGCACCTTCCCCTGTGGCTACACAGGCCTCATAGTTCACAAACATCTGTTCGCAAATGCTTGAGAGAGCAACATTTTTCTAGCCAGTGGCTGAGGAGAAATGGCCAGACATTAGGAGATGTGTGTGCAGGACACAGGGCTTGGGGCAACGAGGGAGGAGCAGGCAGAAAAATAGCTTTGAGGTGACTCTCTTACCCGCTTCATCCGGACGCTGCGTCGCTCCAGGGAGTTTCGAACAAAAGGTGGCTTTTTGGACAGAGTGGAGCTGTCACTATCACTCCGATTCAGCTGCAAGAGAAAAGTCATGGAATCTTAAACATGGTCAGAGTGCATTCTGGAAGGTGCACTGAAGCCTAGAGGGAGGTCAGGTTCCTCCACTCGGCACAGTCCTTCCTCTCCTTCTGCAAACACCCAGGTTTCATTCTGACCTTTCTTTTCTTTATAAGTGAACATTCGTTAAGCATGTACTATGCATGATGCATACTGCTTCATCTCCATGCTAGTATCTGCACGATGCTAAATGCCACGAATATCCCATTGAACCTTTCCAACAACCCCATGTGATAGGAGCAAATCCATTTTCACAAGTGAGGTGACAGAAGCTTAGGGGTTGCAGAACTGGCCCAAGATTGGCGAGCTGGTCAGCCGCACAGCAGGGCTGGACACTGGCCAGCGTGACTTCAGAGTATACTGCCCTCTTAACCTTCTACACAAAGGGCCATTTGCATCAACTCTTCCCTGGTGTCTATGGAGCCTGCCTTTACTGACTCAAATGGAGCCACTGTCAAGATGGATATTTAAAAAAGAAAAAGACAGCTTAAAGGCAAAGCCTCAGGGACCATATCCTTAGAGATGATGGGGCAGATCGTAACTCTCCCCGTGGGCATCCGCTCGATCACTGAGTTATCTATACTCCCCCCAGAGGGCTAGTATTCCCCATCTAAGACCAGAAATCAGGCCTGTAGTCAGGATGGGAAGCTTCTATATTGAGAATGTGTCCCACCCCTAAGGAGCGCAAGGGAGAGTGGGTAGGATGACAGCACCCCCTGGGAGGTGGGAGCAGAGTGGGGATTTCTTTCTCGAGTCCTATTTCCAAAATCGGTGGGGTTGTGACAGGCCGATGCTATTGTGCTTGTGTGTCTAGCAGCTGTCAGTTCACTGTTGCAGGTCTCCTGAGAAGCTGTTTCTGTGGTTATTGATAATTAATTGTGATAATGATATTAATAGTCCTGCTAAGCTGACAAACACAGCAACTCCAGGGACAGACTGATGAAATAGCCACTGGGCTAGGCAGGGCCTCAACAGAACCAGACGCTGAATAGTAAAAATAATGACTGCCACATGGATAGAGCACCTGCTACGTGCCAGGTGCTTCAGTGACAGTTTCATTTAATCCTCAGACAATCCTAACATGATGGGAACTGAGGCCCAGAGAGATTAAGAAGCTTGTATAGTTGAACAGCTGGGGAGCATCAAAACCAGAGTTCAAGGCCCAGTCTGTTTGGTTCCAAGGCCACCAGCTCTCCTGGCTCCAGCCTGTAAGTAGGGCTCAGGGATGAAACTAATGTGCAGGTGGAAGGGTGTGCCATCTTGACAACTGGGGTAGATTCATATAAACTGGTTGCATGTGGTACCAGAAGGGGGCTTTCTCTTTCTTTCTTTCTTTTTTTTTTTTTTTTTTTTGAGACAGGGTTTCACTCCTTTCGCCCAGGCTGGAGTGCAATGGTGCTATCTCGTCTCACTGCAGCCTTGACTTCTCGGGCTCAAGTGATTCTCCCGCCTCAGCCTCTCAAGTAGCTGGGACTAAAGGCACGTGCCACTGTGCCCGGATAATTTTTGCATTTTTTGTAGAGACAAGGTTTCACCATGTTGCCCAGGCTGGTCTCAAACTCCTGGGCTCAAGTGATCCTCCCATCTCAGCCTCTCAATGTCCTGGGATTACAGATGTGAGCCACTGTGCCCAGCCTTTTATTCTACATTGTTTTAATCCAGTGGTGGCACTTGAAGGATATGTGTCCTACCGACCAGAAATGGGTATCAGGATAATTGATCCTTAAGTTGTAGTTGTTTACATGTTAAAGACTATGTTATATAAAAGAAAGACAGAAGCTACATTAAGTCCTTGAATTTAGCTTTCTCTAATATAAAGACACTTTAATGCATTTAATCTCAGACATGGTAGAGAATGTTGTCACCTTATTATTACTTGCATTTAATAGCTAGAGAAACTGATGCAGAGAGCAGTGAAATCATTTAGAATCACAGGAAGCTAGTTCAGGAATGAGAATTTAGGATGGGCTGTGTCTATTTGGTCAAAGTCAATCAACCCACAAATGTGGTAGCACTTCAGATGAATACATGGGGGCTGAGGAGAGCTGTAGGAAGGGTAATTCATTGTCCCTATCCATGGACTTCGAGTTCAGTGGGGGAACTCAAGACAGCAAAACTAACCAAGTGACATAGGTGAAGATGAAGATCGAACAAGGGAGGCACCCAGCAGAGGACGCCTTTTGTGCAGAGGCCAGTGGAAGGGGCTACTCACGATCAGACCCGAGGAGGCCAGAGGAAGGCCCTCAGGAGGTGGCTCTGAGCAACAGAGAGGCTGCAGGCTTTGGAGTTGGACTCCCAGCTTTGTACTTAGCAGCTGTGTGACCTAGAGCACAGTGCTTTGAGTTTTTGAGTCTTAGCTTCTGTGTCTATAAAATGGGGTTCACACAACTCACCTTACAGGGCTGTAAGATTAGATTACACAGAAAATATATTTTTTGGCTGTGGGGGCTGGAAGTGTTGCTGATTAGCATTTGAAATCCCATCCTGTGGGTGAGAAAACCCCACCTTATGACTTGGTGGGAAACAAAGCCAACCTCCCACTGATGAAGCTGAAAGTAGCAGAACCTTGCTTCTACTGCCTCCCTTGCAGCTAGAGGCAGGCACAGGACTAGCCTGTCAATTGGATGCAAATGCTCCAGGCCTTGAATCACAACCTGGTGACTTGCACCCAAGTCTATTACTATTGTCTCTTGAATTGAAACAGGCCACTCTTTCTCTCCTTCATTCTACAAATGTGCCAAGTTTGTTTTTATCTCAGGGAAAAGCCATTAATGGTAAGTAGTGGCAGTGGCAGCAGTGACCAGAGCTTCCATGCCAGCCATGGCAGGAACCTGGTGGAGGCATAAATATTGAATGCCAGGGGCAGCAACGGGGCCGGTGGGGGCCAGGTTTTGTGGCAGCATCGGTGAAGGTGTCACCCAATTGGCTTTGTGGTGTGATTTTGGCTGTGGTCTGGCCTTCCTTGCTCCTGCCTGATTTCTGAGGCTGGTTCCATAGCCTTATGATGAGTGTGTGAGCTCCTCACTTTCCTTTCCCCCAAATTTTCCTGCATATACTGCTCACTGTCCATTTCCATTGCTTGCAATGAAAAACCCTGACCGGTACAGGCAGGAAGTGGAATGCTATCAGTTACAGACTGAGACACGCGGAGCTGGCTGTGGAGGGGGCAGGGTGGAGGCACAGCACAGCCCCAGCATGTCTCTGTTGGGAATTTGGTAATGCTCATCTTGTGGGTGCAAAACAAAGGGTTAAATTGTTCCCTGCTATATCTCAGCAGACAGCCTCCATGCCTGCAGAGTTTTAGAGGAAATGATAGGAAAATTTTCACAATGTTGTACTCTTGGCTACATCTTGTAGCCTTCAGTAAGTTTTATACAAAAAGACCTAAGCTTGAGCTGAAGTGGGCCAACTAGAAAGCAAAGAAGGAAAAATATATGACTTTGCTAAAAAAAAAAAAAAAAAAAAAATGCCCTTTCTACCTGTGGAGTGTGATCTCCGTTGGCTGGGAATCTCTTAATTTGTGATTTTGCAGGCTTAGAAACGGTATAAATAATAAAATATGGGAAGTGGAAGCATAGTGCTTGGTGTGTTACAGATGCTTAATAAGTGGGACAGGTGCTTTCTGTTATTTGAAGATGCGAATCCTGGAAAAGGGTCACTTAAAAAACACTGGGGAAAAATGCGTGAGGCTTGAGTCTATAGGTGGAAAAGATAAATATTTCACCAAAGTTCTTCTATCTTATATCTCCCATTTAACAAAATTACAACCACATTCTATCCTGATGAAAAAGAACGAATGAAACACTAATTTTTTTTGGTGGGATTTTTCTGATGAGTGACATTCTTCTCTTTGTGTTTGATTTCTACTGCACGTTCATAATGGCAGTAATTTTACAAAAAAAAAAAAAATTGGCGGAGCATTATCCATTGTCTTAAGGGCTTTTCTAAATCATTCAAATTATTCATGTTTTCTTTTTGAGATAGAGTTTTGCTCTTGTCACCCAGGCTGGAGTGCGATGGTACGATCTCAGCTTACTGCAACCTCTGCCCCCCGGGTTCAAGGATTCTCCTGCCTCAGCCTCCCAAGTAGCTGGGATTACAAGCATGTGCCACCATGCACTAATTTTTTGCATTTTTAGCAGAGACAGGATTTCACCATGTGGGCCAGGCTGGTCTCGAACTCCTGGCCTCAAGTGATTTGCCCACCTCAGCCTCCCAAAGTGCTGGGATTACAGGCATGAGCCACTGCGCCCAGGTTTATTTTATTTTTAACTGCCCTTTAATTTAAAAATAATTTTTTTTTTAAGATAGGGTCTTACTCTGTTGCCCAGGCTGGAGTGCTGTGGCGCAATCATGGCTCACTGCAGCGTTGGACTCCTGGGCTCAAGCAATTCTCCTGTCTCAGCTTCCCCACTAGCTGGGACTACAAGTGCATGCCACCATGCCCAGCTAATTTTTAACTTTTTCTTAGGCGGAGACAGGGTCTCACTATGTTGAACAGGCTGGTTTTAAACTCCTGGCCTCAAGTGACCCTCCTGCCTCAGCCTCCCGAAGTGTTGGGCTTACAGGCATGAGACACTGCATCTGGCCGCCTTTTTAAAAAGTTTTAAATGTTAGCAGCAGGTTCAATTAAAAAATAATACAAACTGGTAGCAACAGGTTCAATTAAAAAAAACAAAACAAACTGGTACCAGATCTGCTGTAATTTTGCAGCCTCAGGCTGTACACTAGAATTGCCCTGAAGGTGGGAAGGAAATGCCTGTGTATCTAGGGGCCACTGACGGGTCCCCCTCTGATCTCAGCAAGTGGTTGCAGGAGGGCAGGGCAGAGTGTGAACAAGGAGGAAGTGAGTTGTTTGGAATGATAATAACATTGACCAAGTACTAATTACAAAGCCTTTTCTATTGCTTGTCTAAAACAATCCTATGAAGTAGGCCCGTGAACTCCACCTGAGGAAACTGAGGCTCTGAGGTGTTAACATACCCGAAGTCACCCAATAACATGAGAGTAATGGGATTTGCACCCAGCCCTGTGTGAAGCTCTCGGCTACCCTGAGGGGAGCAGAAGAGGGCCGCACGCTCACTTACCCGGCACACGTACTGGCTCTGGGGTCCTGGGGAGAAGGTCTTAGAGCGGATGATGGTGCTCCCTCGAAGAAATGGCCCCTGGGACGGGGTGCCCACTCTCCGGTCCTTAGGTCGCACCACTGTGGGGGATGGGGCCGGGGTCTCCGTGTTGGTCTCTTTGTCCACCTGAGGAAGAAGTCACACCTTGAAGCCACCAGTGTCCACAGAGTCTCAGCCACCCACCAGAGACCACTCAGCTGCTCCTCTTCCCTCCTGTCACCTCACCTTTTCCCACAGACACAACCAGGGTTTCCTTGGCATTAGCCCTGCTAGATGAGCTCAGCCTGGTGCAGCCAGGACAGTACCCAAGGCTAGGTGTGCCGACCCCTACCCCTCCGTGGCACGTGTGGTTGGGGACTGGTGGGAGCACATTCAGCCCCCAAACAAACTCACATGGGCAGTAGAGCTGTCTCAAAGTTTTGAAAGTGTGATGTCCAACAACCTGGATGTCACACTCCCAAAACTTACAAACCAAGTACATTTTGAAAAACCACACCCAAGGCTTCCACAGCCCTGGCAAAGTACTACGGTTGCTTTCATCGAATTCTGAAGGCAATTGGCAAATCTTGTTTTTAAAACCAACCCATCAGGTTTTTACTGCCCGTGCACAGTAGTCATCAGGAAAACATAAACAAACAAAAACACCTACATGCAGGACCTTTGTCAGCCTAAATAGTACCTTTATATAATTTTAAGAAAGGGCACGCCCACTGGCTGGAGAAATTGCAAAATGATGCCCCCTTGGTGTGGAGGAGTTAGAACGAGGGCCCAGGTCCTACTGCACCTGCCGTGTCCAGGCACCTCTGTGCGGTACTCCAGCTGCAGCCTCGCTCAAACACGGCAGGTGCTCTAGCTCTAGGAGTCCTGGAGCCAGCTGTCTGTGGAGAGTGAATCCTGCTGTAATGTGACCCTAGTGCAGCAGGGAAGCAGGGAGCAAAGGGAGTCTGGCCTTTTTCCTGTCGCGCTGTGGGCAGACCCACATAAAGAAATATATTTTTAGAGGCTATCTGCAAGGTTGGTATTATTGTGCCCATTTTAGAGATGAGAAAATGGAAGCTTGAGAAGGATGAAGTCATCTGCCTAAGACTACACAGCCAGGGAGTATCAGAGCCAGAATTCAAACCCAAACCGTCTGACTGCAAGGCTTGAGTTATGTCCAGAGAAGTCATGGAAAATGCAGAGGGCAGAAGAAAAGAGATGGGTGAGTTGGCCTCTCCTGGTTTACTATCACCAGAATGACCCAAAGGCCACTCCATTATGAGGGCTTGTGCCCTGATGCTGGAAGCCAAGACTTAGCTCTGAGTCTTTTCTGACTGCCTCGGCACAAGGATTGAAGGTTCCTTCCCCACGACAGCCCTTCTATCCCCCCAGCCCTTCCTACCTTTAATGCTGGGTACCCATCCATATCAGGTGAGGCTTTCTCGGTGAAAACATCCTCTTCTCCCTCCTCCTCCTCCACCTCCTCCTCCTCTTCCTCGGCTACTGCCTCATTCTCACTGGTCTCCTCATACCTCCTGTGATGACAAAGCACTTTGGTTACCCACCCAGAAGCCGCTCTGCCTCTGTTCACCTGCCTTTAATACACCCAAGGTAGGGCTTCCAATCCTTTTGATGATTGAAGATATATTTTAAAAAGTTTTGGGGGGCCAGGCTCACACCTGTAATCCCAGCACTTTGGGAGGCCGAGGCAGGCAGACTGCCTGAGTTCAGGAGTTCAAGACAAGCCTGGCCAACATGGTGAAACCCCATCTCTACTAAAAATACAAAAATTAGCCAGGCATGGTGGTGCACACCTGTAGTCCCAGCTACTCGGGAGGCTGAGGCAGGAGAATTGCTTGAACCCGGGAGGTGGAGGTTGCAGTGAACCGAGGTCACGCCACTGCACTCCAGCCTGGGCAACAAGAGTGAAACTCTGTCTCAAAACAAAAAAAAAGATTGTTAATGAGGCATTTTCAGTGTATAGTTTGATGAGTTTTGGCCAATGTACTCACCTATGTAACCACCACTGTACTTGAGATGTAGAACATTCCATTCCCCACCAGAATTCTCTCCTACCTTTTCCCAGTTTAATCACCCACTAGGCAGCCATGATTAGCTGTTATTATAGATTAGATTTGACTTTTCTAGAGTTTCATGCAAATGGAATCAGACAATATATGCTGTTTTGTCTCTGACTTCTCTGTGTCTGCATAACATTTCTGAAGTTTATCCACAATGCTGTATGCATCAGCGGTTCATTCCTTTTTTTTTTTCCTTTTGAATCAGAGTCTCACTCTGTCACCCAGGCTGGAGTGCAGTGGGACCATCTTGGCTCACTGTAGCCTCCACCAGTGGGCTCAAGTGATCCTCCTGCCTCAGCCTCCTGAGTTGTTGGGACTACAGGTGTGTGCCACCACACCTGGCTAATTATCCTATTTTTTGTAGAGACAGAGTTTTGGTATGTTGCCCAGGCTGGTCTCAAACTACTGGGCTCAAGCGATCCACCCACCTTGGCCTCCCAAAGTGTTGGGATTATAGGCGTGAGCCACCGCGCCCAGACAGTTCACTCCTTTTTATCATTAATATTCCATTGGATGGCTATATTGCAACATGTTTAGATCTGTTCACCTGCCTTTAAATGCACCCAGGGTAGGGCTTCCAAACGTTGGAACGAGGCGGGTGGTTGAGGAAAAGGAGGAGGAAGATGAGGAAGAAGAGGAGGAGGAGGAGGAGGAGGAAGAGGGAGAGAAGGAGAGTTTAGTTGATGAACATTTGGATTACTTACATTTCCAAGCAAGTATGAATAAAGCTTCTTGTACATTCATGTACAAGTCTATGCATGAATATAGGTTTTCATTTCTGTTGGATATTGCTAGGGTTGCAAAACTAAAACACCACTTACTAGGTGGGTTAAACAACAGAAACTGATTTCTGGCAGTCCTGGAGGCTGGAAATCCATGCTCAAGGTGTCAGCAGGTTTGATTCACCTGAGGCCCCTTTCCCTGGCTAGCAGATGGCTGCCTTCTTGCAGCGTGCTCACACAGTCTGTCCTCTGTGCATGCGCATCCCTGGTGTCTGTGTGTCCAAATATCCTCGTATGAGGTCCCAGCCCAACTTCAATGGTCTCGTGTTAACCACCTCTTTAAAAGCCCTACCTCCAAATACAGTCACATTCTGAGGTACTAGGGGTTAGGGCTTCAATGTTTGAATTTTGGGGGGACACAAATCAGCCCCTAACAGATAATAGAATTACTGGGTCATACGGTAAGTATAAATTTACCCTTTTAAACACCAACAGGCCAGGCGTGGTAGCTCACGCCTGTAATCCCAGCACTTTGGGTGGCCAAGGTGGGCGGATCACCCCAGGTCAGGAGTTCAAGACCATCTTGGCCAATGTGGTAAAACCTTGTCTCTACTAAAAATACAAAAATTAGCCAGGCGTGGTGGTGGGCACCTGTAATCCCAGCTACTCAGGAGGCTGAGGCAGGACAATTGCTTGAACCCAAGAGGTGGAGCTTGCAGTGAGTCGAGAGAGTGCCACTGCACTACAGCCTGGGTGACAGACTGAGACTCCACCTCAAAAAAAAAAAAAAAAAAAAGACACCAACAAATGGCTTCTCCAAAGTGATTTTGCCATTTTAAGTTTCCCCTGAGCAATGTTCTAAGAGTTCTAGTTCCTCACTACACTTGGTGTTGTTTATCTTTATAGTTAGTCACTCTACTACTGGGTGTGTACTTGCATCTTGTTGGGTTTTAATTTGCATTTTCTTCTTTTTTCTTTCTTTGTTTTTAGAGACAGCATCTTGCTCTGTCGCCAAGGCTAAGGCTGGAGTGCCATGGTGTGATCATAGCTCACTGTCGCCTTGAACTCTTGGGCTCAGGTGATTGATTCTCCTGCCTCAGCCTCCCAAGTAGCTAGTACTACAGGCACGTGCCACCATGCCCGGCTAATTTAGTAAATCTTTTGCAGAGATGGGGTTTTGTTTCCCAGGCTGATCTTGAACTCCTGGCCTCAAGAAATCTTCCTGCCTCAGCTTCCCAAAGTGTGAACATTACTGGTGTAAGCCACTGAGCCTGGCCTAACTTGCATTTTCTTGTTGAGAAACTCTTCATGCATTTATGACCATCTTCCCAGGTGAAGTGTCTGTTACAATCTCCAGCCCCTTAAAAATCAGGTTTTTGGCCAGGCACAGTGACTCACGCCTATAATCCCAACAGTTTGGGAGGCCGAGGTGGGTGGATCACCTGAGGTCAGGAGTTCGAGACCAGCCTGACCAATATGATAAAACCGAGTTGCCTCTACTAAAAATACAAAAATTAGCCAGGTGTGGTGGCATGCACCTGTAATTCTAGCTACTCGGGAGGCTGAGACAGGAGAATCGCTTGAATCCGGGAGGTGGAGATTGCAGTGAGCCGAGATTGCAGTGAGCCGAGATCGCAGCCTGGGCAACAAGAGCAAAACTCTGTCTCAAAATAAATAAATAAATAAAATAAAAATAAAAATTGGGTTGTCTTATTATTGAGTTGTAAGAAATCTTAGTATATTTGCGCTATGAATCCTTTGTCTGGTATGTGGACTGCACGATTTTCTCTAAGTCTGTGGCTTGCCTTTTCATTTTCTCAGTGGTGTCTTCCGAAGATCATAAGTTTTTGATTATGATAAAGCCCAAGTTATTGATTTTTTTCTTTTATAGTTTGTACTTTTTATGTCCTAAGAAATCTTTGCCTACCTCAAAGTTGTGAATAGTTTCTTTCTTACACTTTCAGAACTTCTATAATTTCAGGTTTTATGTGTAGCTCTATAACCCATTTGAGATTAATTTTATTTTATTTTTTTGAGATGGAGTCTCGCTCTGTTGCCCAGGCTGGAGTGCAGTGGTGCGACCTCAGCTCACTGCAACCTCTGCCTCCCGGGTTCAAGCAATTCTCCCGCCTCAGCCTCCCGAGTAGCTGGGATTACAGGCACGTGCCGCCATGCCAAGCTGATTTTTGTATTTTTAATAGAGATGGTGTTTCACCATGTTGGCCAGGATGGTCTTGATCTCCTGACCTCATGATCCACCCACCTCGGCCTCCCAAAGTGCTGAAATTACAGGCGTGAGTCACCGTGCCCAGCCACAGATTAATTTTTATACATGATGTAAGTGTTCAAGTTTTTTTTTTCCATATGAATATCTAATTGTTCCAACACCATTTGCTGAAGGGACTTTTGGTGATAGTCCTTAAAACTTTCCATTTCCCTTGGACTCCAAGGTTGGAAGGATTTGGTGTGACAAATAGGCTGCATTTGTTAAGTAGTAATTTATCTCTATTCCCATCTTGACTTCTGAAAGACATACAGAACTGCCCGGCTTCTGATCAGCATGAGACAGTGTTATCATACTGAGCCAAAAGAATCCTAGCCAAAAGCAGAGAATCTGACATCCAGCTAGCTAGCTCGGCGAGAGTGTGGGGAAACATAAAATCTCCCTGAGGATTTTCCCAATGGGGAGAATGCATTTTGGATCTCTACTCGCAACTCTGCAATTAAAACCTCTTCTGTACTTAGATGAGGACTGCGGCTGTGGAGGGGCCTTGGCTCTCCTCCTTGGCCCCAGCAGCCTCTCTATCTACAAATAAAAGAGCTGTTGGCGGGTGCGGTGGCTCATGCCTGTAATCCCAGCACTTTGGGAGGCTGAGGCAGGTGGATCACCTGAGGTCGGGAGTTCGAGATCAGCCTGACCAACATGGAGAAAAACCCCATCTCTACTAAAAATACAAACGTAGCCAGGCGTGGTGGCACATGCCTGTAATCCCAGCCACTTGGCAGACTGAGACAGGAGAATCACTTGAACCCATGAGGTGGAGGTCACAGTGAGCCGAGATCGCACCATTGCACTCTAGCCTGGGCAACAAGAGTGAAACTGTCTCAAAAAAAAAAAAAAAAAAAAAAGAGCTGTTAAACATGTGAACACACAGGGAGACAGGGAGCCCCTCCACAAAGCCCTCTGTAGAAGCCACATTGACCAGTATTTATTGAGGGCTCAATAAGCTCCAGGTGCTACACCTCACAACAGTGCTCAAAGAGATGATCTCCATTTCCCAGATTCAAAAAGTGAGCGGCAGAGGCCTGAGGCCTTGTTCAATGTGGCAGGCTAGTTGTGGAGCCAGGATTGCAAAACAGGTTTGTCTAGATCCACTAAGTGCTCAACCATTACGGGAGTCTCTTCTTTTTGACTGTGAATCTGATCTCAATATTCCAAGATGAGAAAAAAAAACCACAAACCCAACTTAATTTTAATTGTAAAGAGAAAAATAATTAAAATCAACAATATCTTTTCACCTACTGGAGTGGCAAAGCGGAAAAAAATCTGGTAATATCAAGTGCTGGTGAAGGTACAGAAACAGGCATATCCCTGTGGGAAGTGAAAAGGAGAGCAGCCAATTTACATTCTGAAGGCCATTTAGCCTTATCTGTTAAAATAAAAAAATGTACATATGCTTAATTAAGTTACAGCAGTTTGATTAGATTGAGTGTCAGAGAGGCTGTAGGTTAGGGTACTCTTAATCATTGCTGGTGGGAGCATTTATTAATAAAATCTTATAGCTGGGTGCGGTGGCTCATGCCTGTAATCCCAGCACTTTGGGAGGTGGAGGTGGGCAGATCACGAGGTCAGGAGATCGAGACCATCCTGGCTAACACGGTGAAACCCCATCTCTACTAAAAAACACAAAAAATTAGCTGGGCATGGCGGCAGGTGCCTGTAGTCCCAGCTACCCAGGAGGATGAGGCATGAGAATGGCGTGAACCCAGGTGGCGGAGCTTGCAGTGAGCTGAGATCGTGCCACTGCACTCCAGCCTGGGTGACAGAACAAGACTCCGTCTCAAAAAAAAAAAAAAAAAAAATCTTATTTGAGAACTATTCTATGATGTCTATTAAAATATAAAAAACACACACCCTGCGATCCAGCAATGCCACTTCTCAGCATCTGCCCCAGACAAATACGAGTTCCCAAGGAGGCAAATACAAAGATTTTTCCCCATAGTATTGTTTGGTGTTATATTCTCCTGTATTTTCTAACACTCTTAGTTTTATTTTGCTTGTGGATCTTTTAAAAAAAAATCCAGTTTTCTGATTATATCATTTAAAGACATATAAAAACAAAATAAAAAGAGGGAGTACCAGTGACACGCCGGGTTTTGGGTGCCGAGGAAGGACTGTAAATTGGAACAGACGGACAGCCTTTTGGAGACCAGAACCCAAGACTCCAGAGATGAGCAGGCATGGCAAGGCCAGTTAACATCCCAGGACCAAGAGAGGCTTCCAGTCTTGGGGGAGGGGGCCGCAGATGGTTTGCCCCACTACAGCAGCTCTGGGATCCCCAGCCCCCTTTGTAAGACAGCGTCTGGGGGAAGTTTGAATGGCAGGGGGTGTGGAGACAGGGGCCAAAAAGGGAGAAGGGACAGAAGGCGGTTGCTAGGAGATGGCTTGAAAAGTCTCAGCACAAGCTTGGAATTTGGTGGAAACCACTGATCTTGTGCCAGGGTTTTGGGAGATAGGTCCTGGGCCTATTTCTGGCATCAGACCTTTGCCTGTGTGATCCGTAGTAGAGTGTGGCACAGCAGTGTGCCAAGCAGAAAGAGAGAGAGAGGCAGAGAAACAGAGAGGAAAGGAAAGAGAGAGGGAGATGGCCAGGGGTCAGTGGGGAGAAACAGACAGAGAGAGAGAAAGAAAGAGAGAGAAAAGGAGGGGGAGAGAGAGATTGAGACAATTTAGAGAGAACCCTAAACTAACAAAGGAACATACAAAAATTCCAGGAACCTTGCCATCTGCTTTATCACATGAAAAAAATAGTAAGAGAGAAGAGTAAAACAAGAACCAGCAAACTACAGCCAGTGGGCCCAATCCTGTCTGCTGCTTTGTTTTGGACAGTCTAAGCCATGAATGGTTTTTATATTTTAAAATGGCTGAAAAAAAAATCAAAAGGGGAATACTTGGTGAAAAGGTGCAAATTATATAAAATGCAAATTTCAGTGTCCATAAATGACGTTTCAGTGGAACACAGACAGTGTCATTGGTTTACATACTGTCTACGGCTGCTTTCACACTGCAACAGCAGAGGTGAGGGGATGCAACAGAATTCTTACGACTCACAAGGCAAAGAATATTTACCATCTGGCCCTCTCCAGAAATCATCTGCTGACCTGTGGAGTAACAGATATTACGGGAGGGCGCCGCCTGAGACTAAATATATAATTTGAGGCTCTAAGAGAATAATAATACGGAAGAGTTATTGAATGTTTCCTCCAGGTCAGGGTCTGTGTTAAGTGCTTATCATGCATAATTTTACTGAATTTTGCAAAATACCCCATGACATAGTGGCTGTTTTCTAAATCTCTATTTCACAGACGAGGAGACGGAAGTTTACAGCTGTGATATTCAGCCCAGGCTGCACATTAGAATCACCCAGGGAGCTTTTAAATCTTACTAATGCTCAGTAAGGTCTTACCGGTCAGAAACAGGATCCCAGAAGGAAGTTGGCTGAGCTAGACTCCAGATCCATATCTGTCTGAATTTAAAGCACATGCACTTAAGACCAACTTATTTTTCCTTCCAAATGGCAAGACTCATAGGCTGTGGCCATTTCCTACATGGGATTTACCCTGTTTCCAGCCAGTAGTGAGGAACGTTCCTTCTCTTTTTCCTAACAATGATTTCAACCATGTATTGAGGGTCTACTATGTGCTTTGCACCTGATCTTCATTAGTGCCTTTCCCTTGAGTCTCTTTCAGTAACCTCACATAGTCAGTATTATTTCCTCAGTTTTCAGATGAGGTTCAGACAAGGTTAGAGCGACTTGCCCAACAGTGACACAAGGTGTGGGCTTCTGTGGTGCTCGTCACATTCTGCTTCTTGATTTGGTGCTAGTTACAGAGGAGTTTTGCTTTCTGAAAATTCACTCAGCTCTATGCTTAGGTGAATTTTCTGCATGTATTTTACACTGCAATAGAAAGTTTAAAAAATACTTTGCCTAAGGTTACACAAAACATGAAAAATCCAAGTTTCAAACCCTCGTCTATGTCATTGTTTCTTAAAGTGTATGATGAGACCTTTCTCATAATACAAGGAATTAAATAACACTGAATCACAAAGTGAGAAAGTTGTCCCCTTTTCAATGTTCAGACATTTTGATTACATCAGGGAGAAAGTCTCTCTTCGGCAATAGCATGTCTTCAACATTGCTGAAACACTTGCTAACCTTTTTTTTTTTTTTTTTTTTTTTTTTTTTAATAATGGGAGAGAAGGCTCAGGCTTAGCAAGCAATATATCTAACTAGACTTTAATAATATTGCTTTATTTTCATTACACTGTGTTTTCCACAGTTACCTTTTGAAGCAGACTTGGCTCTTGGTCTACCCAGTATCCACTTTCTCCGTTAGTAACAGAAATTTGATTTTTGTACCCAAATAACAGACCTCATTCTCCAGTCTCCTTTGCAGTTAGGCAGGCTAAGTGGCTAAGCTTGGCCAATGAAAAGCAAGCAAAAGTTGCTGTGTGGGACATTCAGGAATGCTTCTTGGTTAACAGGTACACAGGCATGCTCTCTTTTGTCTTTCCTCTTTCCTGATGGTTACCTGCCTGATGGCTGGTGATCCAGCAGCCATCTTGGGCTATAAAGCAGCCTCGGTGATGGAGGTCACATAGTAAAGACAGCAAAGCAGACAGAGGAAAGGAGCCTGGATTCCCAGTAACACCATGGGGCTGACAGAATTGGATAGCCTTGGACTGCTTACTCTTTTTTTTTTTTTTTTTTTTTTTTGAGACAGAGTCTCACTCTGTCACCTAGGATGGAGTGCAGTGGCGCAATCTCGGTTCACTGCAACCTCTGCCTCCTGGGTTCAAGCAATTGTCCCCACCTCAGCCTCCTAAGTAGCTGTGATTACAGGTGCCCACCACCATGCCTGGCTAATTTTTGTATTTTTTAGTAGAAATGGGGTTTCACCATGTTGGCCAGGCTGGTCTCGAACTCCTAACCTCAGGTGATCCATCTGCCTCGGCCTCCCAAAGTGCTGGGATTACAGGCGTGAGCCACCACGCCTGGCCTCTCCCATTATTTTAAAAATTTTTTGAGATGAGGTTTCACTGTGGGTTCAAGCAATCCTCCTGCCTCAGCCTCCCGAATAGCTGGGATTACATTCTTCTTCTTTCTTTTGTTTTTTTGCTCTATCACCCAGGTTGGAGTGCAGTGGTGCAATCTCGGCTCACTGCAACCTCCCCATCCTGGGTTCAAGTGATTTTCCTGCCTCACCCTCCTGAGTAGCTGGGATTACAGGCGTGCCCCACCATGCCCAGCTAATTTTTGTATCTTTAGTAGAGACAGGGTTTCAACATGTTGGTCAGGCTGGTCTCGAGCTCCTGACGTCGTGATCCACCCACCTCGGCTTCCCAAAGTGCTGGGACTACAGGCATGAGCCACCGTGCCTGGCCCTCTTCTTCTTAAGTGAAGAAGAAGTAAACTTCTAATTTATTTCTGTCTAATATTTCTGCTCTCCATTCCTGAAAGTCAAATGCAATTCCCAAGAACTCTTTAATTTATGGCAAACTACACAAATTTTCCATTTAGAGTAACATAAAGTTTCTTTACTTTTTTTTTTTTTTAGCAAAATAAATGTCACTATATCAAGATAAAGAATAACATTAGGTGTGAACTAGCATAGGTGATTCATGGGAAACGAAATGGCAAATTCGAAAGGAATTCTGGGAACCATCGTACTAGGTTACATTGCCTTTTTGCCTGTAGAGAACCCATGAGGAGAGGGGTTCTCAGCCTTCCCAGTGGAACCCTTCTCTTAGTTGCACTGGCATTGGGGGATCTCATTGCTGGGCCTAGGTCCAGGCAGGGCAGCTCCTGGGGCCCAAGGGCGGGCTCACTCACCAGCTGTCTTCCAGTGTCTGTGTGCTGCTCCTGCCCTCCTGCCTCTTCTCCAGCTCCACTGCTGTCTGTTCCAACAGAGCAGACACAGCGTCCTATAGAGACAAAGGTTGCTGGGTCATTGGGTACAATGTAGGTGCCACCCTACCTGCCAGGAATCAGAGCATCTCAGAGCTGTGACCCTCCCAGTGAATTGATGGTGAAACCAAAGACCAGAGTGGTCAAGTGTCTTGCCCAAGGTCACTGATAAACTGGAAAAATTGTCCTTAATTCCTTCAACTAGCAGTTCTCCAGAGAATAGCTCCTGTATGTATGAACTTACTCAGCATCGTGATGGAAGATAGCCAAGTTTAGCAGTGAAGTGAGAGAGAATTAAGGTCTCTGACTGTAAGCAGACCACAGTGTCATCAGACCAATGTGTGAACCATCAGTAACATAACACAGTAAGGATATGACATAGAAGAGAGGTGAAAGGAGATAAGTACTGGCTGTTTGGGAACAGCGGAACAGTGATAAAGCTTGGGAAGTTGCATTCAGGGAGGGCTTCCTGAAAGAGGAACATTTATACTGAATGGTATCTACAGTGAAAAAGCCCATGTGACTTGAGGAAATTATTTAAACTCTCTGAGACTGTTTCCTCTAATAACTGCTAGAAAGGGTTGTTATGAAGATTAATTGAGACTCTACATGAGGAACACAGAAGAATACCTGGCACATAATTGGCACCCAGTAAATGGTAGCTAATACCAAAGCAAAAACTGGATCCTGTAGTTTTCTGAGCACATGGTTAATTTGTGGTTACCCTTGGTAGTGTGGGCCAGAGCCTGAAAAATTCCTGACATTTTCTTGTAAGAAGGGAAAGAGGGAACTAAAATCAACTGAAGGCCTGGTATATAGCAGGCACTGTGAAAGATGGTTTATGTGTAGCATCTTATTTAATCTTTACAACCATCCTGACAGGTGGGAATTATTATGACTCACTTGAGAAATGGGAAGGAGAGAACTAGTGTGTCTAGGGTTGATGTTACTTACTCAAGGTCATGCTCTAGAAAGGAGAGGAGTTTGTTTTCGAGACCTTTATCAGCTCACAGTCTCCTTTTGGAGTGAGAGACCTGGGTTTGAGACCTAGCTTTGCTGATGAGATGTACATCTTAATGTAATTTGGTTATCTCTCTGAGCCTTGGTAAACTGCACATAATAAACAGAACAGTGCCTGATGCAAAAGGAAGTACAGAAAATGATGATGATGATGATGACGATGAAAAAGAAGGTGGGGATGGGAGGGAAAGGAGAGGAGGAGGAGAAAGAGACAAAGAAAATAGACTTAATTTCTCTATTTGCTACCCTTATCTTTACCTGTATGTCCCAACCCATCCGCTCCATTGAAATTCTAGGCAGTGGCTGTCCAAACTAACCAAGTATCGACAGAGGGAACAACCGTTACAGAGAGGGAAGGATCATTACAGATGATTACAAGAAAACCTGAATCCAAAACACTCTCTATTTAACTTTTTTGATGTGGTCGGGATCCCATAGGAGTCCAATACCCCATATGTAAGACTAACTTCACTGCTCAACTGAGTTCTGACTAGTCTGCCTGGCCAGTAGGTGTGGGCTTTCCAAACGGGGGAGACAGTTTAAGGATATTTTAATACATTAAAGCGTACTGCGCTAAAATGAAAACAGAACATATTTTTTCACTGAAAATAAGCAAATATAAGCTTTTTTTTCTTTTCTTTTTTTTTTTTTTCTGAGATGGAGTCTTGCTCTGCTGCCCGGGCTGGAGTGCGACAGTGTAATCTTGGCTCACTGCAACCTCTGCCTCCCGGGTTTAAGCAATTCTCCTGCCTCAGCCTCCCTAGTAGCTAGGATTACAGATGACTGCCATCATGCTTGGCTAATTTTTAGAATTTTAGTAGAGACAGGGTTTCACCATGTTGGCCAGGGTGGTCTCAAACTCCTGACCTCAAGAGATCCTCCTGCCTTGGCCTCCCAAAGTGCTGGGATTACAGGCATGAGTCACCACGCCCGGCCAAGATTTTCAAATAACAAAGTCACAATGGAACAGTTACCAAGTGCTCTTTACATATATTTCTTCAAAGCATCATAAAAACTTTTTTTTTTAATTAAATTTTTTTTTTTTTTTTTTGTAGAGACAAGGCCTCACCATGTTGCCCAGGCTTGTCTTGAATTCCTGGCCTCAAGAGATCCTCCTGCCTCAGCCTCCCAAAGGGCTGGGATTATAGGCATGAGGCTCCGTGCCCATCCTCATAACAACCTTTTAAGGCTCATATTAGACATTAAAAATTGAAAGCTCAGAGAGGTGATATGACTGACCTAGCCCTCTGATTCTCTTCCCATGATTTCTAGCTGCCTCTTATACAAAGCCTCCAGTATGGACCTTGAACAAAGTAGGGGCCCAAGAAAGGTTAATCTTTTTCCTTCCACAGTTTTTTACCTTCTTCTCCACTTCATTTGTAAAAAATCATGAATTAAGGTTTTCGTTAGCCAAGTGGTATTAGGTAGGGCAAAGGACAGAAGGAGGAAACACAGATGTGGAAGGGAACAAGTTGCAGAAAGGGAGCCGCCTGCCCCTTAGTGGAGATCTCTCCTTCCCTGTCTTCTTCTCCTACTTCCTCCACCCCATTGTTCTCCTCTCATGACGCCTGATCACCTCCAGTTCTGGGAGAGGCTTTCCCTTCCAACATCCGGGTGCGGCCTTGTGGGAAGGTGGCACACCTGGTCCCAGCTCACCGTGCTGGCAGGCCCTGAGGCAGGGGCCATGACTCCCACTGGCTTGAGCTCCCTGCTCTGTTTCTTCAAGTATTTGTAGCTGAGAAGGTTGTACCAGCGAGTCGACCTCTCCCCAGACCGGCAGACCTCCGCCAGGCTGATCTGGGCGCCTCCCTGTTGGGGATGGAAACAAGGAGAACATAAGTGGCGGTGGGGGGGACACCAGGTGTCAGGGAATTTGGTTCAAGAGGACAGTATGGAAAAAACACCACTCCAGATGAGAGGTAGGCATCCCGGCAGGAAGAGAGGCCAAGTTGTTAACATTTCCAATTAGCTCATTTGTTCATTCATTCATTGATTGATTGGTTTAATCATTTGCCAAATCTTTATTGAAGACTTATCCTATGAATTTTTTTAATTAAAAAAACTGTGATAAAAAAACCTTTAGTTTACCATCTTTGCCGCTTTTAAGTGCACAGTTCAGTGGTATTAAACATTACGCACATTGTTGCAAAAGAGATCTACTGAACATTCTCATCTTGCAAATCTGAAACTCTACACTTACTAAGCAACAACCTCTTTTTCCCCTTCCCCACAGCTCCTGGTAACCACCACTATATTTTCTGTTTCTATGAATTTGATGACTTTCGATACCTCATATAATTGGAATCATATAGCATTTGTCTTTTTGTGACTGGCTTATTGAACTTAACAATGCCTTCAAGGTCCACCTGTGTCGCAGCATGTATCAGAATTGTATTCCTTTTTTGTTGCTGTTATTTTGGAGGTAGGGTCTCACTCTGTTGCCCAGGCTGGAGTGCGGTGATGCGGTCATACCTCACTGTAATCTCGAACTCCTGGGCTAAGAGATCCCCCTTTCTTTTTAAGGCTGAATAATATTCCACTGTATGGGTATGCTACATTTTGCTTATCCAGCCATCTGTTGATGGACATTTGGGTTACTTCTACCTCTTCACTATTGTGAGCAGTGTTGCCATGAACATGAGTGTACAAGTAATTCTTTAAGAACCTGCTTTCAGGCCGGGCGCGGTGGCTCACGCCTGTAATCCCAGCACTTTGGGAGGCTGAGGTGGGTGGATCATCTGAGGTCGGGAGATCGAGACCAGCCTGACCAACATGGAGAAACCCCATTTCTACTAAAAATACAAAATTAGCCGAGCGTGGTGGCGTATGCCTGTAATCCCAGCTACTCGGGAGGCTGGGGCAGGAGAATTGTTTGAACTCAGGAGATGGAGGTTGCAGGTGAGATGAGATCGTGCCATTGCACTCCAGCCTGGGCAACAAGAACAAAACTCTGCCTCAAAAACAAAACAAAACAAAACAACAACAACAACAACAACAAAACCCTGCTTTCAATTCTCCTGAATATATGCCCAGAAGTACAATTGCTAGGTCATATGGTAGTTACATTTTTAATTTTTTAGTGGAACTACTACACTGTTTACCTTAAGACTTGCTAAGGGAGTGCTTATAATCCCACCAACAATGCACACGAGTTCCAATTTCTCTACATCTTCACCAACACTAGTTATTTTGTGTGGTTTTTGGATAGCCATCATCCAAATATGTGTGAGGTGGTATCTCATTGTGGTTTTGATTTGCATTGCTCTGATAACTAGTAATGTTGAACATCTTTTCACATGCATATTGGCCATTTGTATATTAATTTTGGAGAAATGTCTATTCAAGTCCTTTCCCCTTTTCAAATTGGGTTGATTTTTTTGTTGTTGAATACCCATTCTGTGTTACTTATATTAAGCACTAGGTTCTGTGTTAGGTACTGAGGATAATGATGGTCCCCACCTGGTTCCACCTTCTGGGAGCCAGCACTCTCCCAAGGAACTCAGGAACTGAACAAGTAATTAATTCCAAGTGAGGTAGAAAACTGTGTATCATTTCTTCTCCACTAAATTTGCAAAAGTTTAAAAAATTGACAACAAATGCCATTGGTGAGGTTATGGGGAAATAGGCCCTCTCTCACCTTGCTCGTGGAAATGTAAAATGGCAGAAACCCGACGGAAGGAATTTAGTCATATCTAGCAAAAATATAAATGCATTTTACCCTTCGACCGAATAATTCTCCTTGTAGCTGTCTATCCCACAGATACACCTGCAGAAACCTGCACAAGTACAAAACGACCCACAAACAAGAGTCTTCATTCTGACCCTCTTTGTAATAGCGAAAGATTTTTTTTTTTTTTTTTGAGACAGAGTTTTGCTCTTGTTGCCGAGGCTGCTGGAGTGCAATGGCATGGTCTTGGCTCACCACAACCTCTGCCTCCCAGGTTCAAGCAATTCTCCTGCCTCAGCCTCTGGAGTAGCTGGGATTAAGTGCCACCACGCCTGGCCTTTTTTTTTTTTTTTGTATTTTTAGTAGAGACGGGGTTTCTCCATGTCGGTCAGGCTGGTCTCGAACTCCCGATCTCAGGTGATCCACCCACCTCAGCCTCCCAAAGTGCTGGGATTACAGGTGTGAGGCACCCGGCCAATAGCGAAAGATTTTAAATGACCCAAAGGTCCAGCAACAGGGAACAGACTAAAAGAACTATAATCTATCCATACAATGGAATATTATATAGTCATGTAAAAAAGAGGAAGATCTCTTTTTACTGATGCAGAGAGATGGCCAGGCTATATTGTTAAGGGAAGAAAATAGCATGGTGCAGAAAAGAATATATAATATGCTACCTTTTGTGCAAGAGAGTGGGGTAAGTATATCTGTGTCTATAGTCTATCTACATATTGCACCATGCTTGAGGTGCCAGGGGGAGTGACCATGATCATATGTGCACAAGAAATAATGGAAAGATGCAAAAGAAATTAATCAAAGTGGTCACCTATATAGGATAGATGGTGAGGCTGGGGTGGGGAAAGAGCATGATTTCTCTTCAGTAAACCTTTCCATACAATTTTTCTTTGAATTATGTAAATATATCCCTTAAAATAAAAACAAACTATAACAAACTAACCTGACTGACTATAAGCTCACAGAGAAGGGGATTATTTCAAGTGACTTAATATTTTTACTGTTTTTTTTTTCCCCTACAGCCTTCCTAGAAATTACTACAAACTAATTAATCATTCCTCAGAGGCTTTATTGTTTCGACATGTGCAAAAATGAGCCCTGGTCAGGTTTGGGAAGGTGGTCAGCTCACCTTCCCCTAACACACCAGTGTCGGTGGGTGGAACCAGACTCTGTGCTGATGGGTGGTAGAAATACCAAATGCCAGTTTGCAAAATGGACCTGTAGCCAAGTGTATTAATCCGTTCTCATGCTGCTAATAAAGGCATACCCGAGACTGAGTCATTTATAAAAGAAAGAGGTTTAGTTGACTCACAGTTCAGCATGGCTGGGGAGGCCTCAGGAAACTTATAATCATGGCAGAAGGGGAAGCAAACACTTCCTTCTTCACATGGTGGCAGCAAAGAGAAGTGCCGAACAAAAGTGGGAAAAGCCCCTTATATAACCATCAGATCTCATGAGAACACACTCACTATCATGAGAACAGCAGCATGGGGGTAACAGCCCCCATGATTCAATTACCTCCCACCAGGTCCCTCCCACAACACATGGGGATTATGGGGGCTACAATTCATCAAGATGCACTGGAACGTGGCAGGGCTGTGCTAGGTCTGGGACAGTGAAAGGTGGTTTCTGAGAGCACGGTGTTGAGTGGGGAAAGGAAGAAAGCACAATGCTGACACTTCACTTGTTTAGCACCAGCTTCCTCATCTGGAAAACAGGGAAAATCACTCCTACCTACCAGCCTATTGGGAGGATCAGAGGTAATTAAATGCTTGGCACACTTCAGACACCCAGAATAAATGTACATATATACAAATATTTGTCTAATACTTATTTATTCATTCAGTAAAAACTCCCTAAGCCCTTCGCAGACTCTGGAGCCACAGAAGCATGTAAGACATGATTCTTCCCCAAAACGGGTCTCGTGGTTTCCTAGGGGGATAGACAGCTATTTGGATATTACAGTTCAGAACATGCCAGGCCATGTGTGAGGTATGAGGGGAAAAGACCAGGATCACAGCTTTGAGGTGTAACACCTCCAGCAGATTATTATTAATTCTAACAAGATATACTGTTTATCTGGGGCGGGCTCACAGGTGTGAGTATTGTCTACCTCAGTAAACTGGATGCACTTTTGAGGGCATTTACGTATTCATTCATTCATTTATTCAACACACAAAAATCTGCTGAGAAGTCTTATGTGCCAGGCACTGTTCTGGGTGCTGGAGATAGAGCAGAATTGAAGGCAGATAAATATTCCTGCCCCATGACCTTATATTTGCATCTAGGGGGATCAGATAACAACTCCATAGGTAAACTCCACACTGTGTTTCATCGAATCTAAGATGCCATCATTTAAAAGTGTACCATTATTTTATGCACCAAGAAAGAGAAATAGTTGCCAATGAAACTATAACCTGTCATCTAGTACATAGTGCATCTTGATTTCAGAAGTAAAATGTAGAGATAACATGTACCCTAGAATCTATGACGTACAGTGAAATGTTAGGTGATAAAAGGTGCTGTAGGGAAAATACTACAGGGAAAGGGGCTAGGAGGGGATAAGACAGCAGAGAGGGTAATGGGATTTATATAGGGTGGAAGACCTCACAGAGAAGGTGACATTTGAATAAAGTCCAGAAGGAGGTGAGGGAGCACCTGGGAGGACAGAATGCCAGGCAGAGGACACAGCAAGTGCAAAGGCCCGGAGGGGAGCACATGTTGGTGTGTGTATTCAAGGAACACGAGGCTGGAGGAAGAGTTTTGGGGATATAATCCCAGAGATTTTAATAAGTGGCCAAATCCCAAGGGGCCTTGGAGGCCAGGCAAAGGACACAGGTGTTGACTCTAGGTGGAGACATATGCCATCATAAGGTTTTAGCAAAAGAATGGCATGCACTGATTTACATTTAAACAGGATTAGTCTGGCTACTCTGTTGAAAAAAGAGGAAGGGGAAAAGGACAGAAGCCGGGAAACCAAGTAGGAGATGGCTGCCATCATCCAGGTAAGGGAAGACAGTGGCTTGGGTCTGGGGAAGTGGTGAGAAGTGGAATCTAGGGTTCTTTTGAAGGTGGAGCTAAGAGGATGGGGTGAGGGAAAGAGAGGGGTTAAGGATGATTGCAAGGTGTCTGGCCTGAGCAATGGAAGAATGAGATTGCCATCGGCTGAGACAGCGGAGACACAGGATGAAAGGTCAGGGGCATTCTTGTGGCCATGTTCGTTTGAGGTCCTATTTTACGTTTAAGTGAAGATGCAGAACAGGCAGTGGAGATACAAGATTCGAGGCGAGTGCGGAGGCCCATGCTGGAGCCCTGCACTTGGGATGGGTTTGCAGCTGGGAGATAAAATGAGATCACCAAGGAAATGAGTAGAAAAGGGGAGGATCAAGGACCCAGCCCTGGGCCCTCTGATATAGGGAGGTCAGGGAAATGAGGAAGAATCAGCAAAGGAGACCAACATGCTAGAGGTGAGGGGAGAACACTGGAAGAGCGAGGTAACCAGGAGGCCAAGCAAGGGCAAAGGATTTTGAAGGAGGTGGAGTCAGCAACTGTGGCAAATGTAGCTGGCAGGTCCAGAAGGAAGATGGAGAGCTGGCCTCTGGTCTGGTAACAAGGAGCTCCCTGAGGAACATGAAGAGCACACCCTCGGTACAAAGATGAGGGCCAGGCCAGGCACGGTGGCTCACGTCTGTAATCCCACCACTTTCGGAGGAAAAGGTGGGTGGATCGCTTGAGGTCAGAAGTTTGAGACCAGCGTGGCCAACATGGGGAAACCCCATCTCTAATAAAAATACAAAAATTAGCCAGGTGTGGTGGCGCGTGCCTATAGTCCCAGCTACTTGGGAGGCTGAGGCAGGAGAATGGTTTGGACCCGGGAAGCGGAGGTTGCAGTGAGCCAAGATCACGCCATTGCCCTTCAGTCTGGGCAACAGACTCTGTCTCAAAAATAAAAAAAAAGAAAAAAGAAAGATGAGGGCCAAAGTCCACATGGATTGGGTTACAGAGAGGAAGGGAACACCTCTTTCAAGTTTTTCTATAAAGAAAGGGAAAGAAACAATGTAGTAGTTGGAAGTGGAAATGGGGTGAAAAAAGTTTTAGGTCGGGTGTGGTGGCTCACGCCTGTAAACCCCAGCCCTTTGAGAGGCTGAGGCGGGAGGACTGCCTGAGCCCAGGAGTTCAAGACCAGCCTGGGCAACATAGTGAGACCCCATCTCTACAAAAAATACAAAAATTAGCCGGCCATGGTGGCATGTGCCTGTAGTCCCAGCTATGGGAGAGGCTGAAGTGGGAGGATCACTTGAGCCCAGAAGGTCAAGGCTGCTGTGAGCTGAGTTCACAGCACTGCACTCCAGCCTGGGCAACAAAGCAAGATCCTCTGTCAAAAAAAATTTTTTTGTTTTGTTTTGAGCATGGGAGAAATAACAGCATGATGATATACTGATAGGCTGGATCCAGTGGAGGAGGGAAAATTGAAGATAGAGGAAAGAGCGGAATGGCTGCTGGAGTAATGTCCTTGCGAGAAAATGGGGGTGGTGGCCTCAGACAGGAGTGCAGAAGGCCCACCCTCAGAAGCCAGGGAAATGGCAGAACCTACAAGAACAGCCAGATATGGTGTGGGGGCCCTCTTCTGAGTCTGTCCTCTCTTCTCTCCCTGAGAGAAGTATGAATTAGTCATTGTGATGAGTGGGTGAGTAAATGGTCCAGGGAGATACAGTATAATTTCTGGGCAGCATTGAGGGCTCATGGGAAGTGAGTGATCACCATTTCCAAATGATACCATACAGCGTGGTTGTGTGCATTTTTTTTTCCAGTTGCTCAGTTGGAGAGGAGGGGGTGGAGAGTTCACTTTGACAGGGCTGGGTTTTGCCAAGTTAGTATGCCAAAGTGAGAGGAGGCAAGGGAACGGTTGTAATGGTGAACCATGGGACGTCAGTGGGGCCTGAGAAGCAGGCTAGCTCGAGAGAGCCCGGGCTGGGTGGCATTGAGCTCAGCAGTAGAGCAGTGGGCAACTAGGCTCCCTGTGATGCCATGCAGGGCATTTGGTGGAACTGTTGCCTGCGATATTGGGAAGGTGGGCTGTGTATTCCTCCAAACCTGTAATCTGGGTCTGGGGACATGAGAGACACTCATAGTAACCCCCTGAGAAGTAGCATGGTGAGATGGCTACACATAAGGAAGCTGGAGTCTCTGTTCAAATCCAGGCTTTGCCATTTTCTCCTTGGATGACCTGGCAGCTTACTTAGCCTTTCTGGGCCTTGATCCCTTATCTTCCTGGGGCCATCACGAAGATTAAATGAGATACTGCACATGAAGTTCTTAGCCCACTGGTAGACACATAGACTCAACTCAGTACAGATGCTGTTGCTGCCTGGCTGAAAACAGACTGGGGATTCCACACATCCTGCTGTCCGGAGTCTCTGCGTGGGAGAGGACAGGCCTTTTTCCTCCCATCTCACTTCCTCTCCTCCTCCAGCCACCAGAATACGACAGCCTGACACTCCATGTCCCCACCGTATATGGGAAAGGAGGTTTCCCATTGGCCGCAGGCAGAGACAAGCCACAGTGAGATGAGCGCTTTGGCTGCTGCCATGGCAACCAGCAATGACCAGACTTCAATTAGGAAGGAGGAATAAAAGGCATCCAATTAGGAGAAGAAAATAGGATTGAGCCTCTTCTCGCTTAGGAATGCCCAGGGCCAAGGGAATGCTTCGCTGGAGGAGCCCAGGCTTGCCAACCCCTTCAAGTCACCACCCCCATCTCTGGGCTCCAGGGAGCCCTGTGCTGGCAAAGAGACAACACAGAGGCGCTGACGTGTGTGGACTTCAGAGGGAGACCTGCTGGGGTTCAAATACGGCTTCTGCCACTTTCCTAACTGTGACAGGAAAGGTCTTTCACCTCTTTGTGCCTCAGTTTCTCCACTGGAATACGCTACCTATTTTGCAAGGTTGGAGTGAGGATCAATAGAGATAATGGGCTGGGGTGGTGGCTCACACCTGTAATCCCAGAACTTTGGGAGGTGGAGACAGGCGGATCACTTGAGGTCAGGAGTTCAAGATCAGCCTGGCCAACATGGCAAAACCCCGCCTCTACTAAAAATACAAAAATTAGCCGGGTGTGGTGGTGGGCGCTTGTAGTCCCAGCTACTCTGGAGTCTAAGGCAGGAGAATTGCTTGAATCTAGGAGGTGAAGGTTTCAGTGAGCCAAGATCACGCCACTGCACTCCAGAGACTGAGAGCAGGACTCAGTCTAAAATAAAAAAAACAGATAATGCATGTAAAGAGCTTAACTCAGTGCCTGCCATATAAACTGCAACCTACTGGTATTAACTACTGCATTATTGTCAGTAACAACATCAATAGCAGTGATGCTGTGTTGTACCCAGCTAAGAAGGAGAGATGGGAACCGATATCCAGTGAGCACAAACTGCAAACACTTTGCTGCTCTACATTCTTGCTACCCAAAGTGTGATCCAGGAACCAGCAGCATTGGCCTCACCTGGGAGCTTATTAGAAATGCAGAATCTCAGGTTCTGCTCCAGACTTGCTGAATCAGAATCTGCATTTAGCCAGAGCTCCAGGTAACTTGTGTGCATGGCACAGTTTGAAGCGCTGCTTCAGCGCCTTAGTTAGTCTTCAGAGAACCACCTCCAGGAAGGCAGTATGAGCCAGATTTTACAGATAAGGGAACTGAGACTAAGAATTGAAGACTGTGAGGAGACACAGCTGGAAGGGCAAGGCTGGTGACAGCCCCAGGCCACAATCCAAGGATGTGGCCCCACAATGCCATGATAGAGAAGGGTTTTATAGCGCATGCAGATCAAGGCAAGGATGGAGAGCAAAGAGATTCCCTTCTCTGGGCAAAGGTCTGTGATTTACAGCAGGAGAAAGGGGCGAGCCCTCCAAGAAGGCAGTGAGAGGCTCTACATTCCAGCTTCCAGAAATGGAGGCAGGAGAGGCTCGGAGAGGTGTATACATCTTGTTTTTCCCCTTTGCACATACCCCACATTTTCCTCCATCACTTCAACCCATCCATTTCCAACACGGCCCTCCTCACAGTTTGTTTACATCTTAGCCATCAATGCTGGCACCTTGTCTGTTTGGTTCCCCATTGAATCCCCAGCCCCAGACACAGGGGTGGGGACACAACAAGCTCCCAGTACAGATCTGAGCATGAGTGGAGCGACCTTCTAGGTATAATGCCCACACTTGGGCTCCTTTGTGCCCACAGTTGAGTTATCATTAAAATATTCTAACACTAAATGGCATCAGGGTTAACAAAGCCCTTTACTTCTTCTAATTCACTTGTACATCACAAGCCCGAGTTAGCTATTATATAAATCCCCCTTCTACAGATGGGAAAGCTGAGTATCTGTCTGCACTTGGGTCTGCCTGTCTCTTAGGACAAAATGTACTTGGGCTACTTCATCCCCAGTCCTGACTCCTGCCAATGCAGTGAGAGATGGAAGCCGGAGAAGGTCAGTTTCAGGGAGGAGGCTGGCAATGGCCCCACTAAACGAGAACCCACTGTGGATCAGACACTTGAATAGGTGTTTTACGGGTGCTATCTCAATCCTTATAAAGATTCTTCCAGTGGGCATGATGGAGGCATTATCATTTGCATTTTAGGGATAAGAAAAATGAGGATCAGAGATGTTAAGTACCTTGCCCAAGGTCATCCAGCTATACAGCAAGTGGTAAAGGTGGGATGTGAATGCCTATGTGTTTGCTTTCATTACTCTGTGCTTTTTTTTTTTTTTTTTTTGACACAGGGTTCTGCTGTTGCCCAGGCCAGAATGCTGCGGCATGATCAGCTCATTGCAGCTCAAGGGATCCTCCCATCTCAACCTCCAGAGTAGCTAGGACTACAAGCATGCACCACTATGCCTGGCTAATTTTATTTTTTGTAGAGATGGGGTCTTGCTGTGTTGCCCAGGCTGCTTTCGAACTCCTGCACTTGAGTGATCCTCTGGCCTTGGCCTCCCAAAGGGTTGGGATTACAGATATAAGCCACCACACAGCCATAGTCTGTGCTTCTTATCTAATCTCTCATGCTGTATAGTAAAGCTGCAGTATGTGGCTTTTTCCAGGTTCTGGCAGTTTTAAAAGGCACTTTCAGGTCCATTACTCTTCCTCTTGTGAAAGAGCTCCTTCCCTCCCACCCTAAGTCTGAGAACAACATTCACCTGTGGAAGCCTCGCTGCCTAGAATCCAAGATGAGCCTGATTGATAGCACAACCTGCGTCTCCTTCGAACCTTCTTCCTGAAGCTCAGGGTAGACCAATCCCCATAAACACAGAAGGCCGGTCAGCCAGCCAGCCAGCCAGCCAGCCAGCCAGCCAGCCAGCCAGCCAGACACGGCCCTTACCAGGCACTCTTCCAGATGGCTCCTGTCGGTGGTACAGACATCGACTCTTAAGGTCTTCTGGTGAAGGGCTGGATAGGACATGGATACCCAGAACACCTCATTGAACACTAGAGTGTCTGAGGCGTCCAGAGGCCGGGTCCGGAACAGGCAGGTTGTGCTTTCAGAGCAAGGAAGGACAGCCACGCGGATATTCCTAGAGGGAGACAGAACCGCAGGAAATCTTGGGTCAGCCCATGTCTGGGGCTAAAATGTTGGACTAAACAGCTGCTGAAATCCCTAAGCAAACAACAGTGGATGAGAGTTTGTAGAAGTGAGGAATCTGGGGAATCAGGCCCCTATACACTGGAAGGAACTTTGACAAATCGAACAAAATTCCAGATGCATTTGTCCTTTGGTCCAGACCCTTCACTTCTAGGCATTATCCCACAGATGCCCCTGCATGAGTACCAGTGAGCTATGGAGGAGGCTATTCAGCCTGGCACTGTCTGTGTGGGCAGAAGACTGAAATTGACCCAAGCATCCCATCTTGTCTTCCTTCCGTTTTGTCCGCCTTCCTGCCCTTTCTTCTTCCCACATGTGCCACCCTCACAGGCTGGCTGAGTGTAGACCACAGACACATAAGCTTCTGTTGCCACCCTCCAGGCCTTACGATCAGAGAAAACTTGGAGGCAGATGAGTGCAATAAAGGATAAACCCATCTACCATGGGAGGAGCCCACAGGCAGACAGAGCAGGTGTTTGCATCCTACCAGCATCAAGGTAACACGCAGTCACACCCCTCCAAGAGAAGCAGTGACTGGTGTTGACTCTTGGAAACAGAAGACCTATCTCTCTCTGCAAGAAACACTTGAGCTTAGGAGAAGATAAAACAGACTGTGACCATTCTTCTCCATGAGGCTCAAAGTCCAGGAGGGTAGGGCCCAGGAAGGATCTGCTCACCACCCCATTCCTAGAGCTGGCATGCAGCAGGTGCTCAGCACGTAATGGGGCAGGAATTCACACAGTCATCTAGAGAGTGCTTGTCTTTACAGTTGGTGTGCTTGCCGTTGTGCCTGTATTCACATGCACAGCACCGACATTCAGCATCACAGTCATATGCAGTACAAACCCACAGTGCCTTGACAAGGCCCATAACTGGATCAGGACAGGGCAGAAAAGTGACCCCCAGGGGTAACTCCAGAGGGTTAGGGTATGAAATACACCTGTCCAGCTACATACTCACACTTTCTGGTCTTGTTGCTGCAACAGAGCAGAAAGGTTACTCAGCTGGATGATTAATATTGCAAATTGCTTATTCTTCTCATCATACCTGAAATGAAAAGGGGCATATGAAGTACCTATTAGTAACACACTCATCTCTCTCATTCCTTCTCTCCATTAAAAGTCACAGGACGTGGCTGTTGGCTGCCCTGGGGCCTATGGTGAGCTCTAGAGCACAGGCCCAGTGCTTTGCTGCCATGCAGGGATGTAGAGCTAGAGCTGCCAATTGTTTGAAAATTTTTTTTTTGTTTTGAAACAGGGTCTCACTCTGTCATCCAGGTTGAGTGCAGTGGCATGATCGGGGCTCATGGTAGCCTCGACCTCCCAGGCTCAGGTGATCCTCCCACCTCAGCCTCTCAAGTAGCTAGGACTACAGGTGTTCACCACCACACCCAGCTAATTTTGTGTATTTTTAGTAGAGATGGGGTTTCATCATGTTGCCTGGGCTGGTCCTGAACTCCTGGAATCAAGTGATTCCTCTGCCTCAGCCTCCCAAAGTGTCAGGATTAAAGGTGTGAGCCACCACACCCAGCCAGTTGTCTGAATTTTTAAAAAGAACCCATAAATGCGGGTGAAATTTCATGATATGGAAATGTTGTCAACTAATTCCTATTAAAAAATATTGAAGGCCAGGTGTGGTGGCTCATGCCTGTAATCTCAGCACTTTGGGAGGCCAAGGCGGGCAGATCATTTGAGGTCAGGAGTTTGAGACTAGCCTGGCCAACATGGTGAAACTCCATCTCTATTAAAAATACAAAAGTTAGCCGGGCGTGGTGGCACACACCTGTAATCCCAGCTACTTGGGAGGCTGAGGCAGGAGAATCGCTTGAACCCAGGAGGCAGAGGTTGCAGCGAGCTGAGATCACACCACTGCACTCCAGCCTGGGTGACAGGTGAGACCCTGTCTCAAAAAAAAAAAAAAAAAAAAATTGAGATCATATCATCCCCCAACAAAAGAAAACAAAAAGAACAACCATGTGTGTATTGACCCAATCTGGGCTGCAGCCCCCAGTGATCAACTTCCATCCAGATCAATGAAACCTAGATGGGATGGAAAGACAAAAGCCACAGCAACAATGAACAAACACACTGAGAGGCAGGAGGTCTCAGTCCCAGTCCTGGCTCTGCTACCAGCCAGCTCAGTGAGTTGGGCCAAGTCATAAGGTCTTTTAAAACCCCATTTCTCCAACCTCATTTCTCCTATCTGTAAAGCGGATGGCTGGGAGGTGAGGAACGAATCAGCATCCCTTCAGTTAAGAAGCTGCAATGGCCAGCAGGTCCTGCTGGTGCTGCCTTCCACCCTGGGCGGCTGTGAAGGTAAATGCTGGGGAACGCTGTGGATGAAGAAGGGACCCCACACAGACCGTTCCTTCTGTCCTCCTCGTCCTCGTCACTTACTTCAGGGCAATCTGAATTCGGGTCGCACCCACTGCTTCCGATTCGTCACTGTCAAATGCAGCAGCTTCTGAAGCACCCAGTCTGAAAGGCAACAGGGGAGGAGGAGTTAGGCTTCCCTACAGTGAACAAACTATTCTGGGAGGCTGAGGTTACATCCCCAGGAAGGAAAGTTGGGGTTTGCTCAGCTTCCCTTCAGGTCCTTTTTTAAATTTTAATTAAAAAAAATTTTTTTTAGAGATGGGGGCTCACTATGTTGCCCAGGCTGGTCTCGAACTCCTTGTATCAAGTGATCCTCCCACTGAAGCCTCCCAAGTAGCTGGGATTACAGACTCACACCACTATGCCCAGCTTGGACTCCTCTCTTAAGGGGCCTTCCCTTTCTCTAGTGCTTGCTCCTTAGCCATATACCTTTTTCGTAGCTACCACAGAACTAGCACTCCCCCAAACCTGAAGCATCTCTAACCCCAGGAAAAGTTATGCTGTCTGTGCCTTGGGCAGCCAAGAGGAAGGTGGGGTCATGCCCTCTTGGGGCTCCTCCCACACACTGTGGGGGCCAAAACCTAAGCCTCTCCACAGGCCTAGGCTCTGGATATTCAGAGTTCATGGCTTACAGGGCCACAGAGAGAGCCAGCACCCAGACACCTACCTCTGCACGGAAGCCTCGTACACACCACTGTCTCCAGCCACTGACTCGTCCGATACGGCGGCTGAGACACAGGCCACTTTCAGGCCACACCCCTGGGCCGTATTCACAGCTAGGGAAGGAAAATGGAAAGGCAGGTTCAGGAACCAGGAAACTGCCTTTGCGACTCCCAATTTTGTTTTGTTTTTGAGGCAGGGTCTCACTCATCCAGGCTGGAGTGCAGTGGCACAATCATGGCTCACTGCAGCCTCGACCACTTCGGGTTCTGGTGATCCTCCCACCTCCGCCTCCCAAATACTGGAACTACAGGCATGTGCCACCATACCCAGCTAATTTTTGAATTATTATTTTGTTGTAGAGATGGGGTTTTGCCATATTGCCCAGGCTGGTCTTGAACTCCTGGTCTTAGGCGATCTGCCTGCTTTGGCCTTCCAAAGTGTTGGGATTACAGGCGTCAGCGACTGTAATCCCAACACTTTGGGATTCGGGGAGCCTGAACTCCCAATTTTGATACACTCTCTATGGAAGACAGACGGTTCCACCAAATTCCAACCACCTCTAAATGCTAAAGCAAAAAAAAAAAAAAAAAAAAAAAATTAAAAAAAAGTTTGCTTTAGGGTGATGGAAGGAGTCACATGTGATTTTGTGTTTTACCATCCCAGGCTCTTGAGTCGAACTGCCTGGATTCAAATCCGGCTCCACCACTCACTGCTTCATGACCTTGAGATACTGACTTAATCCTGTTAAGCCTCAGATGCCTCATTTGTAAAACTTGGATAATAATACCTACTTATAGGGCTGTTGACAGGACTCAGCGAGACATTATAAGGGAAGTCCTTAATATAGAGATTGGTGCAGGCAGGCAAAGTGCTCTGCAAAACTCATTACAACTATCCTTATTGCCACTACTGTTCCTATCACTGTAGATATCCATACTTTCAATGGCAAAAACTGCAATTACTTTTGCATCAACCTAACAGATCCATCCCTACCCACCTGGGGCAAAATAACAGCCCCTGGACCCTCAGGACAGAGAAGGGAGAGATTAAGCACCCGTTCTTCCACTGCCTATCCCTTTCCACTCCGAATTCAGCTCCTCCTCTTCCCTAACCTTAACAGGGGCCCTTGAAAGTCTCTGATCTGAGGCTCATAACTAAGCACTCAACACGTGCTGCACATTCCTTCCTTGCCCAAGTAATGATCACTCACGATGTGCCAGGCCCATTGCCATGTTCAGAACTACAAAGATGAATAAGACAATTCCTGCCCTCCTTGCAGCGGGGAAGGCCAGATCCAGATCTTACAACCTCACAGCTAACACCTCTGAGCACCTGCGGGCAGACCGGAGCAGGGCAAGGGCTCGCAGCATTGAGGGGCACAGAGTCCAGGGCATGGCAGGCCGGGGACGGCGATGGGTGACAAGGCGGGTCTGGGAGACTGCAAGTGCTGGTGATGGGGAAGCTGAGCCTGCGTCCCATGCCTGCTGAGCCCGCGGAGACCTCCTGCTTTCAGACCCACGCATCTCCACCCTCCACTAAACCACTTAAGGAGATTAATTTGTCTGCTGACTGAACAGCGGCACTAATCACATAACCTGCTTAGCGTCTAAGCTCTGCCTGGCATTGCTTGCTGCAGGGAAGGCTTCTGGAGATGGCATGAAGGAAATGCCATCCCGAGACCTGTGTGTGCCCAGCCTAATGTGCTGTCTGAGGCCCACAAGCCCCAAAGACACTGTTAGGGAGGGGAGAGGAGGGGGTCACTTCACAGGACATAGCTGGGGTCTGAGTGTCCTGACTTGGCTTAATATTGATATCAGAGGCATGCTCTTTGAGCCTTGTTAGAGGTTCCACCTGCACCCCCTCCTCTCCAGGGAACAATTTTCTGAGGCTTGCCACCTGCTATAGTAGGGCGCTTGCTTTTATTTTGAGAGCACTCAGCAAGACTCCCTTCCTGATGAGGGAAACCCAGGGATCTCTCGGCTCCTCTTCTAAGGAAACCACTGGCACTCAAAGCCTTTCGTTAACAAGGAAACCTCATTTCCCTACCATGCTCCCACTGGCCCTTGTACACACATGGATAATTCTGGGCACAGCAGCACCACTCCTGCCCATGCCTGGAGCCACAGAGCTGACATGGGTCTGGCTGCTTCTAGCTGGCCTCACCTGGAGCCAGGAGCACCAGCTTTTTGTAGACAGAACTCAGCACATGGATAACAGTGTGCGTTCTGAGCAGGTGGTCCTTGTGCCAGTCCTGGTCTTGCCATTTCACTCTGTGGGACTAACCTCAGACAAGTCTTTTAACCTCACTGTGCCTCACTTTTTTCATCTTTAAGATGGGGATAAAAGGGGCTGGACTTGGTGGTTCACGCCTGTAATCCCAGCACTTTGGGAGGCCAAGGTGGGTGGATCAACTGAGGTCAGGAGTTCGAGACCAGCCTGGCCAACATGGTGAAAGCCCGCCTCTACTAAAAATACAAAAAAAAAAAATTAGCCAGGCATGGTGATGTGCACCTGTAATTCCAGCTACTCGGGAGGCTGACGCAGGAGAATCGCTTGAACCCAGGAGGTGGAGGTTGCAGTGAGCCAGATGGTGCCACTGCACTCCAGCCTGGGTGACAGAGTGAGACTCCATCTCAAAAAAAAAAAAAAAAGGAGATTAAAAATAGCACCCACTTCCCAGAGGTGTTGTAAGGCTTAAATGAGTAAATATGCAGAGAAGTACCTAAATCCTAAACACCTGTACGCTATATATCATAGCTATGATTATTGTGAGCTATTTTTACTGTGGCCAGGAAAGCCAAGAAGGCCCAGGTGAGTTTACTGAGCATCCTACTCAGTCCTGACCTTCACACCCAGAGCCAGATGGGGTTGGTGGGGCCCCAAGCACCAGGAGTTGGCATGAATGTGCATGCTGAACTGCCTCCCAGCCTAAGGCATGACAATAAGGGGGTTGGGTTCCGGGGCCAGAAACACTCAGGTTCCTATCCCTGCTTCCTCACTTGTTGGCTGGGTGACCTAAGGCAAGTGACATCACCTCTCTGAATCTCCAATTCCTCACCAGTGAAATGGACAGAATAGAAATAACTGATTTCACCATGTATCAAGCACATTACCCAACTCATAATATATCCCCAATAAAAGTTAACTATTATGATTTATTATGTGGTTGCTGCTAAAGATAAAAAGGTTTTCTCCTAATAAATCTTAGCTGTCAATGTCAGCATCATCTTCTATTTTGAAGATTCCAACTTAAATTCCGGCCAACACCAAAATGTTCTTTCTGACCCCATGCAGAATGGGAGTCAGATCATATCATTCCTGGCTTCAAACGGTCACATGGGTCCCCAGTGCAATTAGGATAAAATCCAAACTCCTTAGCACAGCCCACCAGGCCTTTCAGGATCTGGACTCTTGCCTAGTTCTCCAGCCTCACTGGTAACCCCCTACCTCTGACTCATGGCTTCCTGGCTCCCCTTCTAGTCCCTTGCTCTGACCTCAGAGATTTTGCTCTTGCTTTTCCCAAGGCTGGCTCCATCTCACCATTCAAGACACCCTCAAATGTCATCTTCTTTCACAACCCAACCTGCCCTGGCAGTCCCACCTCTAACCAGAAAGGCTGGATCACATTCCCTGTTTTATTTTCTTTGTAGTGCTTGTTTGGTTGCAGGTTTATTCCCTGTGCCTCCATTTGAACATAAGCTTCATGAGAACAGGGACCCTGTCTGTCTTCAACACAGAATCCTTAGTGACCAACCCAGTGCCTGGCACCCAGCATATCTATAATCATGAATAGATGAATCCATGTATATCCATTAGCACAGGATGACCTGACATTTAGTTTTATGAGGTGCTAAATGTCTGTTGGAGGACAGAATCTACTACTGAAAACCCTTCACACAGGACCTCAAAAATACTGAGTTAATAAACATCCACTGAATAAATATACTTGCCATACAAAGACCCAGCACACAGAAGCAGTCAGTAAATATCGACTAGAATGATCACTGGGGGGTTCTGAGCACAGAGTATCTCTTTCCCTCCTCCTGGTTCCCACCCTCTGGGTATGGTGCTCTCTACCTTGGCCCAGCTGCTTGCCCTCCGTTCCTGGTTCCTCCAGCCGGTATCTTTCCTGGGCGCTGTTACCAAGGCTCAGTTCACAAAGAGTGGCACTCAGCTCCGGGTCTTCAAACTCCAAGGAGTTGAGGAAGGCATCACCAGCCAGGAGGGGGTCAGCCATGAGAGGGGAACAGGGTGGGGAGGGGGAGGAGAGAGAGGAACGTGGGGATAGGGAGGTCATGGACTTTGGGGTGCCAGACAGGGAACGCAGAGCCTGCAGGCGGCCACCTCCCTCTGCCTTCTGGGTCTTGGCCACCTCATCCTCGTGGATGGTGGTGATGCAGCCTGAGGGCCGGAAGCCGGTGGCCCCCTCCAGGAGCAGGAACTCCACCTTGCTCTGCAGCTCTGAGTCCAGCTGCTCAAAGGGGTCATAGTAGAGGTCAGTGAAGCTGGCTGAAGTGGAGGAGTCCAGGCTGGATGCAACCAGGGAGCCCCGGCTGGACGTGAGGGATCCGGGGCTGCTGCCTGAGGACAGGGACTGCATGCTGCTTGAGAGACTGGGACACAGGGAGGGGAAGGACAGTGAGATGCACACAGTGAAGTGGGCCCCCTGAGACCTTCTGCTGAGCTCTGGAAAGCACCATGATCTCACTAGACTTGCTTGGCAATCTCTAGGGTAGACCCTTCACCCCCACTTCATGGAAAACTGATACCCCAAGAAGGCCACATAATCAAGACATGGCAGAGCTGGGCTTTGGACTCAAGTTATAGCTGCCTTAAAAGTCCACTTTTTCCTCTAAATCTGTGTTTCCCAAAGCTCCAATTGGCTACGTTGCATTTGTATGATATGTTTTCATAGTTGAATCCATTATGTAATAAAGATTTCTTAATATCTTTCTTGAAATCAACTCACTGTGTTTTTTTTTTTTTTTTTTTTTTTGGGGGGGGATGGAGTCTTGCTCTGTCGCCAGGCTGGAGTGCAGTGGGGCGATCTCGGCTCACTGCAACCTCCGCCTCCTGGGTTTAAGCAATTCTCCTGCCTCAGCCTCCCAAGTGGCTGGGACTACAGGCACCTGCCACCACGCCCGGTTAATTTTTTGTATTTTAGTAGAGAGGGGGTTTCACCGTGTTGCCCAGGCTAGTCTCGAACTCCTGAGCTCAGGCAATCCGCCTGCGTCGGCCTCCCAAAGTGGTAGGATTACAGGCGTAAGCCACCACGCCTGCCCCAACTCACTGTTTTAATACTTTAAAACATCTATATTAAAAGGAAACTTTACATCCTAAGTGTAATTTGAAAAGCAGTATCACTTACTACAAAGAGAAGACCACCATTAGAAAAAAATCTAATGGAACAAAATGTTATTGAATTCCACTGATGCACTGTTGTTCATGGAGGCCCAGGTCTGAGGCTACATTCTCTGTGTTGTGCAGGTAGGTGGCAGTGTGAGTTTCCTAAGGCTTTTTTTTTCTTTTTGGAGACAAGGTCTGGCTCTATCACCCAGGCTGGAGTGCAGTAGCACAATCTCGGCTCACGGTAAGCCTCCTCCCGGGCTCAAGTCATCCTCCCACCTCAGCCTCCTGAGTAGCTGGGACCACAGGCATGCACCACCACACCCAGCTAATTTTGTATTTTTAGTTTCGCCATGTTGCTCAGGCTGGCTTCAAACTCCTGAGCTGAAGCGATCCACCCACCTTGGCCTCCCAAAGTGCTGGGATTACAGGTGTGAGCCATGACACCCAGCCGAGTCTCTTAAGACTACCTATTACCTGCCTGGGGCCTTCTTTGTGCTATCAGTCTGGAGAGGTCAAGACCCCTATTCCTAGCTACACCAGGCCACGCCCGAGTCTGCTGACAATCCATTTGCTATGCTTCTAAACATCCACTCTCAAGCCACGGAGGACAAGTGAAGGGTAGAGCCTGGGCTGGGACACTGGGGACACCCATGTCTGGCCATGCCCAGGGGAGCAGTGGCCTCACCGCCCACCACTCACCTTTTCAGCTGGGAGTGCAGAGTTGCCACCTGCCGGGTGGCTTCCTCCAGTTCTCTCACAAGCTGGTTCCTCTTACTGTTTAACTTTAACCTGGAAGGAGAGAAAGCATGCGAGGGATGCACCAAAAGGAAGCACAGGCATGCACTCTTACCCATGTACACCCAGACCCACAGGCACAAGAACTTTCCGTAAAGCATTTGACCACGGCATCTGGGGAGCTAGAGCTTCCACATATATTATAATCCTATGATAACTGCAATATCACTCACCCACTATATATATATATCAGGCACTCTGCTGGGAACCTTAGGACACTGCCTTAATTCAGTCACACAATAATGCTGCATAGTAAGAATGATTTTTACCACTTTACATAAGAGGAAATCGAGGCCCTTAGAGTTGTATAATTTACCTAAAGCTGTGGAATTAGTGGCAGAATTAGGATTTCACCCAACCATACCCTCCTTCTCTTCCTTCCTCCATCTTTCAGCTCATATTTACTGAATGCCCGTTTTGTACTGGACCCTGCCTGTGGCACTGGGGATAAAGTAGTGAGTGAGCACAGTAGGACTTGTTTCTGTTCTTATAGGGCTTACATTCTACTGGGGAGAACCGATATTAAAGAAATACTCAAATATCTAATTAACACAGTGTGTGACAAGGTCCATGAAGAAAAAGTACAAATGGTAGAAAAGAACACAAAAGGAGAGGCCCAATTTGAACTGGCAGGTGAGCCTCTTCCAGTCAAGTGACTCTGTGGCTGAGACTGGTGGTGTGTACCCTGCCTCCACCATTTTCCCAGCCTTCCCTGTGGCCGGGTGGGCAGGGCGTATGACCAAGTTCTGGCCAATGGGATGTGAGCACTAGTAGTTAAGAAAAGTGTGTGTGTCTTCTTTACTGTCTGTTGCATGGACTCTTGTGGACTCAAAGGGGAGGCGTCACAGATGGAAAGAGCCTGAGTTCCTGAATGACCACATGGAAGGCTGCCTGTTAACTGGACATACCCAATTAGACATTATATGAACAAAAAATAAACCCGTTGTATGAAGCCACGGAGACTTTGGGGGCTGTTTCTTGCAGCAGTTAGATTCCTGACTAGTAGAGAAATTTAAGGATGGATAATGGACAGCAGTTGGCTAGGAAAAGTGCAGGAGGGAAGAACATTCCAAGCAGGGGCTTTAGCAAAGACCTTATCATCTTGAGGTCACCATGACTGTGGGGAGGACAATGGGCAGGAGGCTGAAGACTGAAGGCGGGGAGGGTGGCTGTGAGGTGTAACCGAGATGGTGGAGGCTTGAGCAATGCAGAGACAGAGACAGTGCCTGGGCTGCAGGAGCAGCTGAGGCTGAGGGAGTAAATGTGGAAGACTGTGCGGTTACTGCTACGGGCAGCCAAGTGGCCCTGCAGATGGCATCTGCTAAGAGGAAAAGGCTGAGGCAGAGGATCCCGGGGGAAGAGAAGAGCTCTATTATGGATATGTGGGTATGAATACTGAACAGGTGGGCTGCTCTAAAGGTCGGGGCGGGGGGGTCCCTATCAGATGGATCACCACCTGAATGAGATTACCATCTGTTCTGGCTTGATTTTTGTCCCCCGAAATCCTACATCGAAGTCCTAAGCAGCAGTACCTCCAAATGTGATTATATTTGGAGATAGGGCTTTTAAGAAGTAATTAAGGTAAAATGAGGTCAGTAGGGCAGACTCTAATCCAGTATGACTGGTGTCCTTCTAAGAGGAGATTAGGGCACAGGCACGGGGGAAGACCATGTGAAACGGAGGGAGGAGGAGGCCACCTACAAGCCAAGGGAAGAGACCTCAGAAGAAAGCAACCCCACTGACATCTGATCTTGGACTTTTAGCTTCCAGACTGTGAGAAAATAAATGTCCACTGTTTAAGTCACCCAGTCAGTCTGTGGTACGTTGTTATGGCAGCCCTAGTAGACTCACGCACCATCTTAGGGCAAAATACAGAAGCAAAAACAAGGGAAGGCCTAGGACCAAGCTCTGAGTACACACAACATTCTGAGGTTGGATGGACTGGCAACAGTCAGCAAAGGAGCTGGAGAGAATGGGACCAGAGAGTCGGGAGAAGTTAGTGGATGTGACGGAATGTCACAGAACTGGAAGCAAAGATTTTCACCCAGGCATGCCTGACACCAAAGCCCAATTCAGTAAACTATCTCCCTGGAGACAAATCCTTGTGTTTGGAAGAGACCTCTGGCTTTTGGACCATATCTCAGCCCTGACCTCTCCTGAAACCTCCCATGGAGGGCAGCTTGGGTGGACTCCAGGGTGTGTCTTTGCCCCTGGAATGGCTCTCCAACCCCTGGAGTGGGCCCACTACAAAATAAAGGGCCCTATCGAGCAAGCCTGTGCCCTCACAAACTCGTGACCTGGGCTGCTCTCATGTGTCTACTAGACTAGTCTTTCTCCGCCTGTGGCCCACAGACTACCTGCATCAGAAAGCGGAGAGTGCTTATTGAAATGCACATTCCTGGGCCCTACTTTGACCTGCTGAATCAAAAAGCCCAGGGGTAGGGCCCAGAAATCTCTCTTTTCATTAAGCCTCCCAGGTGATCTTTAGGCACACCAAGGTTTGCAAGTTGCTGCACTGTATGGGGATGGCAGAGAGGCAGAGGCTGTGTCTTGCTCACCCAGCACCTAGCACCCAGCACAGTGCCCACCATGTAGACATGCTCAATATTTGCTGAATGGATGACTTTTTCTCCAGATGAAGCCAGGCACAGTTTATGAGCTCTGCTGAAAGACCTGCATATTATTATACCTTCCATGGACAGATGTGTTCCACTGTTGGCCTCCATCCCCTCATGTCAACCTGCTGAAGAGGGGATGACTGACTAGTTGATCCCTGGACTAGGGAGTGAAACTAGGATACAGCTAACCCAGCCTGGGGCCTGGGAGAAAGGGCTCATTTCCATGGAAAAGCCAAGTCATGCCATCCCTCTACCCACACATCCAAGCCCCCAGCACACGCCCTGCAGTAAAGACCAGAGCTTGCTCTAAACACAACGGAAAAGTGTTGAGGGGTGGGTCGGGCTTGTTACTGGACAACTAAATCCGTGAAATCACAGACAAGGCAACAGGAGCAGCAGGCAGAGTGGCCTTGGCATGGTTCTTGGTCAGCTCAATCCCTGGCACTGTTCTTCTAGAGTCCTGCCTGAGGCTGGGGTGGGGGTGCACAGTGGGTTGGCAGATGGAACCCGTAATAAACAAAATCCTTGACTTTCAACACAATGAACAAGGCTGTGGAATCTCTTGACCCAGTATAAAAGGAAAGCTCAGGAACAGTTGAGGTCCAGGATCAAGGAGCAGCTGGCGCTCACCATTTTTACCTTGGTTTTCCTCTTCTCTGTGGGAGAAAAGCCACAGAGGTGTGTGCTGGGAGTAAATGTGGGTCCCCAGTGAAGCCTCAAGAGGATGATGAGGGGTCTGGGAGTTGGGCTGCCATGACGTCCTGGCATTAGGGGCTAGCTACTGCTAGCAATGCACAGGTGCCGAGGCCACCTCCCAGTGGCATTGGGTTTTGCAGGATAGATGGCACATGTGTGAGATGCCTGGCACACGCTGGGAGGCCAAGAACGCATCAAGCATGGAGGCAGGCAGAGGATCCAGAAGGTGGGGCTGGAGTCCCCACAAGCTGTATTTCAGCACCTTGGGTGCTGGTTAAAAATGTAAGAACCTGGGCTGCATCTCAGGCCGGAAGAATCGGTCCCTGGGGTGGGCCAGGGAGCCTGTGCGCTAGCAAGTATCCTGCATGACTGCACACCAGCTCTGGGGAGCAGTGGGGAAGGCCCTCGGGAAGGAGGGGGAGGCAGAGGGTAGGATGAGGTTTGTTTGGATGCCTGTGAGTCTGACTGATTTGTGAGCGGGGTTTGGCAGGTCCTGCAGTCGGCCTCTCCTGGATGTGTCTATTCCTGTCCTCAAAGGCACCTTGAATGTGAGGCTGTTGTGTGAAGATGAGGAGCATAATAATCCCATTTTGAGAGACAGAGAATAGAGAAAGAGGAGCGAGGGGAGACAGAGAGAAAGAAACAGAGACACTAAAAATAAAGATACACACACATGAGAAACAAAGACAGAAGGGAAACAGAATATGAGTCAGAAGGATGAACACAGACAGACTGACATGGAGCTGGAAGGAAACAGCTGCAGACACAAAGACAGCTGGGGCGGCTTTCCCGTCTCCCCACTGTGGGAGACCCACAGCCATGAGCATGGTACCCCATTCCTGTGGGCTTCCTCCTTAGACTCCTCTTAGGGCATACATGGCTGCCTGCCTGCATGCCCTCCAGTTTCCCTACCACTGCATTTGCCCCAAGCACCCTCCTACCAGGCCCTCCGAGCTGCCCGCTCAGCAGCTGCAGAGGAGTGGAGGTTCTGGCCTCCCTGTACTAGCTATGTGAACTCACTGCTCCTGAGGAGCCAGCAGACCTTTGAAAGATGGGGTTGAAGGCAATAACAGAAGGCCTTCTGAGTGGCGAGCATCCTAAAGGGAGCACAGCCTCTGGGGTTAGCAAACTTGTGGTCTTCTAATCCCAGCTCTGGCACTTAGGGATCTCGGGTGAGCCTCAGTTTCCTCATTTTTAAAATGGGGATTAACCTCAGGGATCCTGGGAGGTTTAAATGAGATTATATAGGCTACTGTCTGGCACAGGATGGGAGCTTTTACATGTGGTATATCCTAGGGGTCCCTAAGAGCCTCCAATTCGAGTTTCAAGAAACCAACAATTTTACAGAAGGGAAGAGCCTCAATTCACAGCCTCGTCTAACTGCCTGCCTTCAGACCATATATGTATTTAATGTAATTACAGTAAATCCTCAACATTGTAGATAGGTTCTTGCTAACTGTAACTTTAAGCAAAATGATGTACATCAAATTCTTAAATGTCATTTTTTAATAAAGTTGATAGAGCTGGGTGCAGTGGGTCATGCCTGTAATCTCAGCACTTTGGAAGGCCGAGGCACGTGGATCACCTGAGGTCAGGAGTTTGAGACCAGCCTGGCCAACATGGTGAAACCCCACCTCTACTAAAATACAAAAATTAGCTGGGTGTGGTGGTGCACACTTGTAATCCCAGCTACTCGGGAGGCTAAGTCAGGAGAATTGCTTGAACTCGGAAGGTGGAAGTTGCAGTAAGCCGAGATCGTGCCACTGCACTCCAGCCTGGGTGACAAGGCAAGACTCCATCTCGAAAAAAATAAAAATAAAACATAAAGTTGATGGAAAAAAATTGGTTTCATTGTATGTAGTTTTGCTTAAAGTCACAGTTTTCCAAGAACCTACTAACAAATGTTAAGTGAGACTTAATGTATCCTGTTTTTTCCCTATTATGCAAGTGAAACCCAAATTGGTCAATGACTTGCTCAAGGTCAGCAAGTGAGAAGCGTATTGCTTTTGACCCAACAAGGAGTGAAGCTGCCATGAATCTGTTCTCTTCAGCTGCTGGCTGTGGGGATGATGAATAGCTAAGGGCTTCCCAGTGGCAATTACAGGGTCTGGGAGCAAGTGAGGGACCCAGGGAATGGGTATAAAGACCAGGAGATATACACAGAGGCCCAGTAAGGGTCTACCTAGGCCAGCTAACCATTTATTCTTTCAACGAACACTAAAGGCATGCGGGCATATAGACACAGGCCTTATCCCCAAAGCGTAAAATCCCAGAGAAAGCAGAATGGAGTCGTGGTGCTAAAGAAGACTTCTAGCAAGGTGCTTCCAAGGGCTGCAGAACACCAATTATTCAAGCTCTGTCCTTCTCCTTCTCCCACCAACTGGTGGTGGATCAGGGCTAATCAGCTGCTGCTGCCAATGAAGAACGGAAGAGAGGAAATGGATACGCTTTGGACATCACTGTTAGCAGTTCTGACTAAGCAACTAGTGCGGAGAGATTCCTACCATCGATGAGTCAAGGGGGTCTCTGAAGCCATGGGAGGCCAGGCAAGAACTTGGGGAACCCGATCCACCTGGCACCATGCCATGTGCAAGTGGGGCCTACTCAGTTGCTAGAATGGTACTGCAAGCTGGGTGCCTTAGAGCTCAAAGGCTCTCTGGAAGCCCCATGATGGGGTGACAGAGTGAGCACAGACAGCATCTCTAGGACTCCCGACTGCTTCCACTGAGGCAGTAGGCACGTTTACTTGCTTCATAGACTGGGCCTCTGCCTCTGATTTCACTAGAAAAAGGAATTCCCTTGCTCATATTCCAAACACACACACACCACATATGCCACACACACACACACACACACACACACACACACACACGCCCCCCCCCCCCCCCCACACACACACACTTGAAAATCTCTAGCTTCACTTCTAAGCTCCTTACGGGCAGGGACCTTGCTGAATAAAGGCTCCTGCCAAAAAATGGTGAAAATAACTAGAATAGATTTAAAGGTCATGGGGCAGGGACCATGTCTTGTTAATTTCTGAGTGCCCCAAATTGCCTTGCACACACAATCTGTGCAGCAAAAGGTTTCTCAAATGAATGAGTAAACATTGGCTGATGAACAGAATGAATAAATGAACATGAAGCTGGAGAGCTTTGTAAAGCCTATGGTGAACGCAGTGTTGCATTCGGTGCAATGTGGGTGAGGAGGTTGGTGGGAACACTGAAGGAAATAAACAAAGACAATGTCTATAATAAGGTCTAAATTAAAGAATGTAAACCGGTGGCTTTTAGGTTATATCAGGCCCATAGATGAGGCTGATTTGCATATTTTTTTAAAAAAACTTCTGGATTAGTTCCCAATATTTAAAAATAAAAAATCTGAACGACTCTTTTGTTTGAAGTACAGGCAGCTCTGGCAGCCCGAGGCCTGCACTCCCATTTGCTGGAGCAGAGAGACAGCACCTGCTTTAGACCAGTGGGGTCTGTGCACTCTGGTCTAACACAGACCACTGCCAGGTGGGTCTCTAGCATTTCTGTGACCTGCTTGGCTCCTATAAGCATGCCAGTTTGCAACCCCTATCCAGACCAGTGTTTTTCAAACTGCAAACTGCAACCCCTTACTTAGCATGGGGTGAAATCAATTTGGTGAGTCACAAACTGCATGAAACAAAATGCAACAGAAGGGAGAAAACATCAGAGGACCATCAGAGGTAGAAAGAGCATGCACTATTTTGTGAACCTTGGATCAGGTTACAGTATAAAATGTGCATCACTGTCAAAAAGTTGGAAAATGACTGCTTTAAGTTATATAGAGTTATGTGGCTTAATTGAGTCAGAAGATACATTTTTGAACACCTGCACCTAAGCAGACTTTTTGGTAGCATGATTCACCATGCAAAATTCCAGGGTAGCTGGCGCACTGGATGGCAAACCATCTTTCCTGATTTCCTATGTCGGCAACCTGAGAGATCTCTGAACTGAGCGTGCTCAGGGTGGAGCCCAGGGGCCCGGAGCCCCCTCATTCTTCCCCCATCTGGGGGCTGAGGACAGACTGCCAGTGAGAGAAGGGTCCTACACACCCTGGGGCCCCAGCCCCACCTCTCCGTCAGCGCCTTGCTCTGGGTGTCCCGGGCTGCCTGCAGGTCCTTTTCCAGCCGCTTCCGGGCCATCTCCAGCTGCTCCACCTCCCCCTGGGTCCACTTGCGGGGGCTGATGAAGCGCATCTCCTTCAGCAGCTCCTCCTTCTCGTTGATAAGGATCAGCCGGTCCCTCTCTGAGTCCAGCACCCCAGGCCAGGCCTCACTGTCAAGCTTGGCCAGCTGGATCTTCAGGTTGGCGATCCTGGGGGCCAAGAAAGCAAGCATGACTGGTGTGCCTAATGGCACTGAGGGAACAGGAGATGCCATGAAGAAACAGACATCTCAGAGCAATCTTTGACAGTTACTGTCTTCCTTTGATCAGCTTGTCATCTCAAGGAACCTATTTTTTTTCTAAACAAACACATGTGGGTGCCTACCATGTGCCAACAATGAAGTAGGCTCTGCAGGAATGGGGTGCAGACATGAACAAGGCAATGTCCTTGCCCTGTTCCTGGTACAATAGAGATGTGGATTCATCACCAGGCACTAACCTCTTAGCACTGGCTGTGTGGCCTTGGGCAAGTTGCTCATCTCTCTGAATGGAATAACAAAAGCTCTTTCCTCATGTTATTTTGGTTGAAGGTTTTATGATATAATCTGTAACCTGCAAAGCACAGTACTTGGCACATAGTAAGTCCTTGCTACTGTTGTTATGACCTGATGTGACTGCTTATTAGGTATGTAACATTGGGCCAATTCCCCAGGCCTTAAAGATAAGAAAAATTCATTCATCAGAATGATTGGGAAGGGTGTCTGGCACATAACAAGTACTGAGTCACTGACAGTTCTGGACCACTAAGACTACAACTACTGACCGCGTATTCTCAATTCAGAGACAGGTAGTGGCACTGTGTGAACAACTGTGGATTTGGGGTCAGAGGCCTGGAGTTGGAGTCCTGGCTCGCTCTGGCCTTCATGATGGAAGGGACCATTTCTCAAGAAAGCATTTTGGTATCACAAGCTTCTAGCACAGTCACTGGTATATTGCAGGCACTAAATAACAGTTAAAGGAAAGAGCTGGCAGCCTCATCCCTTAACTTCTCTAAGACTCCATATCCTCATCTATAAGGCAGAGATGATATGGTACCTATAGGGTGGGTTATGTGAGAACACAGCATTAAGAGCCCTTTATACATTGCCAGGTGTTATATAGATCTTCAGTATTATTATCATTGGGCCAAAATAAGATCCACAGTATAACAATGAATACTGCTACAAATAGCTAACAACAATCATGACATCATCCTTTAGGACTTGGCCTCTGCAAAGTACCATCAGCTCTCACGCCCTGGCCACCCCATCTCTAAAGGGTGATTAAGATAGGAGTTGTTCACCTGGTTGGACAGATGCCCAGGGAGGATATGATGCACCTAAGACTGCAAATCATAAACGTGGCCAACACTTGTTGAGACCAGAGGCCTCTGGACTCCCAGTTCAATCTTACGTGCAGACAATGTGGCCCAATTCTTATTTTATCAGAACACTGCTGGGGACAAAATTTACCATGATGTGCAGCAAAAATTCCATGTAGAAAAACATACCTAGATTTGCTTGTTCCCCAGGCAAGTGTCCCAGGAGGAATTCTTATACACTTGACCCTTGGTATCTGCAGGGGATTGGTTCCAGGACCTCCCACAGGTACCAAAATTCATGGATGCTCAAGTGCTTTATATAAAATGGCATAGTGTTTACATATAACCTATGCATACTCTCCTGTATACTTTAAATCATCTCTAGATTACTTATAATACCCAACACAATGTAAATGCTATGTAAATAGTTGTTATACTATATTTAAAAATTTGTATTGTTTTTTAATTTTTTTTCCTGGATACTTTTGATCCTTGGTTGGTTGAATCTGCAGATGCAGAACCCGTGGGTACAGAGGACTGACTGTAGTTAGTTATTTAAATTCACATTCATGTATACAGTAATCTATCAAGATCAGCTTTGAGACAACTTTGTAGCTGCTGTTCTGCAGTACTTTGAGAACGAAATGGTATGGTAAGGCCGGGCAGGGGCTCCACCATATGCAGGACATTGGGAAGTGACTGATGCTTTACTGGATATACTTTCTCTTTCCCTATGTCAATGCTCCTTAAATTTCAGGCCTTACATCCTTTTAAGAATCTGATAAACACAACTAGTCTCTCTTCTCAGAAATGCATGTGTGACAAAACTTGACATCCAATGATCAGACCCTCCTTGGATTACAGACACCTCCCTTCCCTCTTTCAAGTCCTGAAGCTTGCTTTCCCATTGAGCAGGCTGCTCTGTCCTTTACACTAAAATGAGCTTCGGGTGGAGGGGCAAGCAAGAGGCTGCATAAAGTCAGATGAGCTAGGAAGCTCTGTGATGAGAAGTCTAATGGCTCAACTCCAGAGAGAGCACTGCAGTCCTTTAGTGTCTCAAGGACTGACCATCTAAGACAGGCATTCCTGCAGGATGGAACAGATCCAAGGTTCAGAGTGGTCCTCTTCAGAGAGAACAAGAAGTGGCTGTCCAAATACAGATGTCTTGCTGTTTTGCTGGACGCCTGGGGGAGCTGAAATAGTACATAGGACATCTGTTTTTTTCTACCTGACCAGTATTCAATTCCTTCTTCTTTTGTTAATAATATTCCAATTTGTCTTTGGGAAATCACTCCTTTCGTACTTTCAAGTCACCTGGTTCCCATACAGCTGACTTTTCCCAGCACTGGAAACACGACGCATGCCTAGACCTTTAGAGAATCCTAATTTTGCCCACCCCCAACTGTCCTGTAACAAAGCTTGGTTCACCCAAAAATGCCAGGGAGTCTCAAACCCAAGGCTAGTTAAAACTATTGGGAAAGGTAGGCCCCCTTTCCACAGGGATTGCTAACCTGGTAGTGTGTAAGCTCCGAATTGCTGGGAGTTGCCTGGCCACATTGACAGGAAAGTCTGCTGGAGGGTAAAGCCAACATAAAGGCAAGCAGGGTGAAGAAAAGGAGAGAGACTGAGTCTGGGTAACATCATCTGAGTCCCTGGATCCAGCTGTGCCTGAAGCTAGGTATCTCAGGACTTTGGAGTTAAATAACACAATACATTCCCTTTTTTGCTTTCTCTGGTTTCTATTAGATTTCTGTCATCTCTGCAAAGAGTTCTACTATTCACACAGAGTTGGCAGAGGGGCAGAGCTGGGCACTGCCATGCTTCACCTGGCCTGGCTGAGAAGGTCCACAGGCCAGGCAACTTAGTCTAGGAAGGAATGGATGCAATGTGCCTGGCTTCCATCCACACCACAATGCCCAGGGCATTCTTTGCCAGTAACACTGGCTCAGAGTACAGAAAGATCATGAACTTGGCCGGGTGCGGTAGCTCACATCTGTAATCCCAGCACTTTGGGAGGCTGAGGTGGGTGGATCACAAGGTCAGGAGACTGAGACCATCCTGGCTAACACGGTGAAACCCCGTCTCTACTAAAAAATACAAAAAAATTAGCCGGGCGTTGTGACGGGTGCCTGTAGTCCCAGCTACTCGGGAGGCTGAGGCAGGAGAATGGCGTGAACCCGGGAGGCGGAGCTTGCAGATCGCGCCACTGCACTCCATCCTGGGTGACAGAGCGAGACTCCGTCTCAAAAAAAAAAAAAAAAAAAAAGCAAAGATCATGAACTTAAAGACAGATTGTCCAGGATTCAAATTCTGCCTCTACCACCTGGAATAGTCATGAAATATCTTGGTCTTACCTTTCTCCTCTCTAACATGGAGATAATAAGATAGACCCTGTGCTATAAGGTTGCTTTTAAAATTAAATGAGAAGATGCATTGCTTTTAAAATTAAATGAGAAGATGCATGCACAAATGTTTTAGTACAATAAACAATCTCAGCCAAGGGTAGTGGTGCGTGCCTGTAATCCCAGCTACTCAGGAGGCTGAGGTGGGAGGATCAATTAAGGCCAGGAGTTCAAGACCAGCCTGAGTAACATAGCGAGACCCTGTCCCTAAAAAAGAAAACAAAGTAATTAAAAATAAAAATCTCTTTAGGCCTATAACAGATGCTCTAAAAATGTCAGCTTTGATTATTATTTTGATTTTACTTGTGGTAGTGGAACCTGATTGCTTAGGATTCTGTGAAGCCACAGAACATCTAAATCCCAGAGGTCTACACTGCTTAAAAGCCCAGCTTGCTCCCAGCTGTGCAGGAGACACTGAAGTGGGTAGTGTCCATAATCTTTTTAGCCTGTTGCTGAAATTCCAGTTGTACTCCTTCAAACCAAAATGCTTACAGGATCATGGGAAAGCCTCGGTTGCAGAAATCAAGACAGGCAAGTGGGAAGATAACTCGGCTTTGAGGTTAAACAGATCTGGGTTCAAAGCATAGTTTCACTCTCTGTCTTGTGAAGTGTCCTGGGTGAGTCATTTCCTCTCTGAATTTCAGAGAGGATGAAAATATAAAAAGTATAATAACTATCTTCATAATCTTTGTGAGGATTAAAGAAGACGAAGTGTGTGAAAAGCTAAGCACAGAGCAGGCATTCTACAATAGTAGTTATTATTTTTGGAACCATCCCGCCCCTAGCCCCAGCCCAATTACCTTCTCTTAGCCTCTTCATATCGAAGGCGCAATCTGACCTTCTCTGCCAACTGATTGTTGCTGTTGATGCCGAACTGGAGGAGAAGAACAAAGTCAGGAATTATGTGGCTGTTGTGGCCGGTGCTGAGTTGGGTTTCGAGGGCTCATGAGAGACTTGACAGCTTGCGTGGGCAGTAGCCAAGAATAGCCCCCGGTGACTGGGCTGGCGGTGCAGATCGCAGGGAAGCTGGTTAAGCAAAAACACTTTCCTCCCTTCAGGCCACGGGAAGAACCGTACGCTCAGACATCGATCACTTTGAAAATAGAAGCCAAAAGCCCAGAATATCATCTTGCAGCCCCAAATGGCTTGGCTTGGTGCCCATTCAAGCCACAGAAGCATGGAGGACAGTTGGTGAGGAGGAAACAGGGATAGCCAATATCAAGAAACTCATTCTAGGGGCACTGGTGAGGGGATCCATAGAAAACTCAGAGGCTGCAGTCAGGAGTGAAACACTGGGTAGTTGGGGAGAAGACCCCTGCACTCACAAAGAGGGGTACAGTTCCTTTACAAATACTTTGGCCTGCAGATGGCTAGTAGCTGGACACATGGTGGTATGGGGAAGGAAGGGACAGCCTCTTTTTCTGTGCTAGTCTGTTAAGAGCAGCAAGAAGCTACAAGGCTCACCGGTCACCCTTGGACAAGTGGGAAGACAGCTATGGAACTTAGATAGGAACAGCATATAGAGGCTGTCCGCCACAGAGGCTGGAAGGCAGATTCGTTCAATGTTGCTGGCTCTAGTAAAACAAAAGCTCTCCAAAAGTTACGAGGCACCATGGTTCAGCCCTACTCTAACTCTTTCCTGAGCCACATCTGGACAGTGCTTTCACTATTCATAACTAGGACTGGACTGAGCTTTGGAACTGGGAGTCAAGCAGCTGCCTGAAAGCTGCATGCATTGTTTTGAGACTAACAGGAGGAAAATATCCTCTGCTGTCCAGCTGGGGAAAGAAAAATGAAAATGGAACTGCAAAATAGTATGGAAAAAAAAAACCAGAGAAAGACATTTTGTCCTTTAAACATGCTTTCTGTGCAGCATTAAGAGACACAAGCACCTGGCCAGGCAATACTCAGGGCCATGACGTCCGTCAGTGCAGGCTTTTCCTCCACAGCATCACATCATATCCTCCTGGGGCCAGGAGGTCTGTAAGAGAACAGAGCTCCAGAGGGCTGAGGCAGCAGCCAGCCCTGCAGAGAACCCCTGGCCAGCTCCCTGGTGAGCCATGAGAAGGCAGCTGTCCATTACAGCAGCCTCCCAGCTGCCATCCTGTGGAAGGCCCCCAGCAACCTGCCCCGTCTACTCACGCTTCCCGAGATGTCTGTCTGGGAGCTCACATCCAGGTACTGTTTCGGTAGCGGGAAACTCGAACTCTCCAGAGAGCTGCTGCTGGACCACAGGTCTGAGTGAGACCCCCTGTCAGTGCGGAAGCCGTCCTTCAACATGGCAAGGCTCTGAAGGAGGGGAGAGCAGGGTTAGTGATGCGCCTTCCCAGGAGGGAGCTCTGGGTCTGCCACGCTCCCTGTGCTTCCCTCTCTACCCTCCCTTAATTTAGGAACCTGTGCCCTCCCCAGATATCCTACTGATCCTGTGATAGAGAGCTAGCAGTGAGTGGGTCCTTGCTGTGTGCCAGGCTCTGCGCTGGGCCTATGACATAGGAGAAACCGGTGTGGATGCCGACTCTGGAGCCACATGCCCTAGTTGGAATCCCTGCTCTGCTGCTTCCCAGCTGTGTGACTTGACCTAGCTGAATAACCTCTCTTTGCCTCAATTTCCTCTCCTATAAAATGGGAATAATCAGCTGGGTGCTCATGCCTGTAATCCCAGTGCTTTGAGAGGCCGAGCTGGGAGGATCACTTGAGGCCAGGAATTCAAGATCAGCCTGGGCAACACAGTGGGACTCCCATCTCTAAAAAAAAAAAAAAAAAAAAATAGCTGGATGTGGCGGTGCATGTCTGTAGTTCCAACTACTTGGGAGGCTGAGGTGGGAGGATTGCTTGAGCCCAGGAGTTTGACGCTGCAGTGAGCTATGATCATGCCACTGCATTCCAGCCTGGGTGATAGAGCGAGACCCTGGTTCTTAAAAAAAAAAGGGGGGAAGAATCGCAGGTCCTATCTCACAGGGCCATCATCTTGATTAAATGAGATGACAAGTATAAAACACTAGTGAATACAGCCCATACTCAGTAACTGTCAGCTTTACCAGAGTCTTACTGAATCCTGACAATAGTCATACAAAGAATGACCTATGATTATCCCCAATTTATCGATGAGAAGCTGGCAATTGACCGAGGCAAGATTTGGACCTGGTCTATCTGGCTTAAGGCTCCATGATCTCAACCACTAATCATAACAGGAACATGCCTCACTGTCCATGAGCTCTTCATCTAAATGTTTTCACTGGGCTGCTGTCCTGGGCAGGAGCTTCCAAACTGTTCTGTTTCTCATAGAGCATACAGCTTCCTTCACTAAGTCATTTATAGCATCTCTGAGGACTCCTAATCTGCCAGTGAAATATCTGAGGTCAGGGTGGTTTGTGGAAAGGGAGGTGATATGTACAGGGGGTAAGAGAATGGGTCTGTAAGTCAGGGTTTGAATCACCGCTCTAGCTTCCTCTCTGAGTTGTACAGTCTTTTTTCTGTAGGATGGGGATAAACTAGGGTTGATTTAAGAGATGAGACATGATGCATACAAAAGGCTTGGCATAATCACCTGGCACATTACATAATATCTATTATAATTTGTTCAGTTCCCAGCATAGAGGCAGAACACACAATGAAATGCTTATAGAGATGCTACATTTTGATGTCAGAGGTTAATGATGTTGAAACCACCTCCCTCCATTTCATTCCTTGAAAAATAAGGCAGGGGCCAGGTGCGCTGGCTCAAGCCTGTAATCCCAGCACTTTGGGAGGCTAAGGTGGGAGAATCTCTTGAGCCCAGGAGTTATCAAGACCAGCCTGAGCAACATAGCAAGACTCTCTCTCTCTCTCTTTATTTATTTATTTATTTATTTTTTGAGACAGAGTCTCACTGTTTCGCCCAGGCCAGACTGCAGTGGTGCTATCTCGGCTCACTGCAAGCTCCACCTCCTGGGTTCACGCCATTCTCCTGCCTCAGCCTCCCGAGTAGCTGGGACTACAGGCGCCCGCCACTGCAACTGGCTTATTTTTTGTATTTTTTAGTAGAGACGGGGTTTCTCCGTGTTAGCCAGGATGGTCTCGATCTCCTGACCCCATGATCCGCCCGCCTCAGCCTCCCAAAGTGCTGGGATTACAGGCGTGAGCCACCGCGCCCGGCCGACTCTCCCTATTAAAAAATAAAAGTTTAAAAAACAAAGAAAAAATAAGTCAGGTAGTTAGAGCTAGTGGCAAGGATGTGGCCTTTGGACTAGGCCAGATGACTTCCATTCCAACTCTGCCATTTACACTAGCTGTGTGACCTTATGCAAAGTCACTTAATGCTTCTGAGCCTCCACGTCCTCCTCTATGAAATGGAACCAAAACCCCAGGAAGACTGGTAATGAGAACTCAGTGATGTGTGTACCACGTGGAAATAGCCCGCATACGACTGGCATACAGGAATACTCAGGAGAAATCAAGATGGCACCCACATCAACAGGAACTTGCATACCTTAATGAGATCTTGCTTTTCCTTTTCCCCACAGGTAATAGCCTTTTTGATGGCTTTTGTTTCTCTCAAGACAGCCTGAGCTTCATCCAGTTTGTAGCTGCCCTGAGCATCAGACATTTTCTTATCGATTCTAGGAGACAGTTAATGGGAAAGGTCAGCCTTAGATAGGGTGAGGGACAGGGTCTCCCCAGGGGAAAAGCACAGACCACAGGACTTCAGTCCCTTAAGAAGGCCCCTCCCTCTGTCCTGCTAACCCTTCCTCCCTAGGTCCCACTTGTGGGATAAGGCATAGAAGGTCCCGGGCTGGGCATGGTGGCTCACACCTGTAATCCCAACACTTTGGGAGGCCAAGGCAGGTGGATCACTTGAGGCCAGGAGTTCAAGACTAACTTGAGCAACATGGTGAAACCCCGTCTCTACCAAAAATACAAAAATCAGCTGGGCATGGTGGCACAAGCCTGTAATTCCAGCTGCCTGAGAGGCTGAGGCATGAGAATTGCTTGAACCTGGGAGGCAGAGGTTGTAGTGAGCTGAGATCATGCCACTGCACTCCAGCCTGGGAGACAGAACAAGACTCCGTCTCAAAAAAAAAAAAAAGAAAGAAAGAAAAGGAAAAAAAAAAAAGGCATAGAAAGTCCCTGTTAAACGGCCAACGTGTGTGGCTGCAGAAGCAACACTGCTCATGAAGTCACAGTCCTCTAAACATCAGCTCTTATGGGAAGCCTTCCCTGATTACTTCCCTGGGTCCTCCGGGCTGGGTAGGGGCTTCCCATATACATCACACATAGCTGTGACTCTGCAGTCGTTACATTGTGTGATAATTTATAGTTTATGCGGTAGCATCGTTGACTTGACTCTGGGAGGCTTGGGAACAGGAGGCAGAGTTGAACGTGTCTGTCTCATTCTTTTTTGGAGGGAGGGCAGGCTGTCCTGTGCATTGTATGATATTTAGCAGTATACCTGGCCTCACCCCACAAGATGCTGGTGGTACCCCCACCCTGAATGGTGACAACTGAAAATATCTCCATGTATTACCTAATGTCCCTTGAGGGAGACGGAGCAAAATCATGCTGGTCAAGAACCAGTCTTTAATAAGCATGTGTTGAGCTAATGAACACAATGAAGAAAAGGAGAGAAGGATGAAAAACTCCCAGCCCTACTACCTATTACTAGGATGACCCTGAGGTTGTCTCTCAAATACACAGAGCCTCAGTTTCCTCCTCTAAAAAGCCTGGATAACATTATCCACCTAGCCCATACTCATGAAGTTGTCAAGAACATCAAATGGAATATGGGATGGGCAATCTTGTGATGAGCTAAGAATTACTGTACAAACATAAGGGATTAAAACGCTTCTAGTCTGGAGAGCTTATTGGCTTATCCAGGCCCTACATACAGGTTCATTTTGATGGGGGAAAAATTAAAAAAAAAAAAAAAAAAGTGTCCTGACATAGTTTTCTGAAGGTCAGACCAAACCAGAGACAGGCAGGGGTGAGCTTCTGGAGAAGGAGGGCCGAGGTGTCAAAAAGGTCCAGGGGCAGAGATGCATTTTAACTACATCACACTTTCGCCAAAGGCTAGGCCTGAGGTTTCAGTCCAAGGTGGAGAAAAAGGAGTTTTACAGTCTGCGGGAACACCACAAACTCATTATTTCAGGATGAGAAACTACTCACAGGCATTCCTTTGTGGTTTCCTGCTACAGACCAAACTGTCCTGGGCTAAAAATAACCCTCATGGGGAATCCTGAGCAGAAGCAAGTTTTCATCCCGGCCTCATCGTCTGCGCCTCCAAGCAGAGGAGAGAGCGAGGCATGGAGCACGGTCTCAACACAGGCTCCCCCTGCGGTTACTTCAGCCTCCATGGAGAGAAAACAAAGCCCCGTTTATGTCTCCCCACTAAAAATAGCCTGTCTATTCCTTTCCAGGACTCGGGCCTCGGCAGGCCTATCAGGTCGGCAAGGACCGGCCCCAGATTTAGTCTGAAAAATTAGTCTAAGGGAGCTTAGAAGATGCTCCGTGGCAAGGAGGCTCCCCACAGCCAGTGTCCGGGACAGGCAGTGGCCCTGCTGCAGATGGGCATAGGGGCTGCAGGGAGTTGTTGTTTGTTGGAGCATATCTGAGGGCTGGGGACTCTGGGGAGGGGGCTGTGCCCAGCTGTCCTCTGCCAACAGGGCAAGAAGGGCTTCGAATCCCTTGCAGGATGAGACAGAAGTGGTTTGTCTGCCAGGCCTCCAACAGCCTCTACCTGATTTCTTCAAGGGCCTTAGCAACCCGGCCTCTGGAATTTGGCTCCAGAGAGCGGCTCTGAGAGGGAACACTATTGGGATGAAGCTGGGTGGGGAGGGGGTCGGGGGAGAACAAAGGGTCACCATTATGCACACGGTGAATGAATCTTTTTTTTTTTAAGGGAAAGAAAAGTGTGTGTGTGTGTGTGTGTGTGTGTGTGTGTGTGTGTGTATGCATGTGTTTTAGGATTTCCAAATTCCTCAGCTGTCCTCTCTTCAGGCCTTGAGAGATTCACATACCCAGTAGCCACAGAGAGGTGGGGCAAAGGCTGACAGCAGCCAACTCCTGGTCCTGTCCAGACACCTCCTGCCTGGGCACGGCAGGGCTCGTGCTTTGTAGAGAGGTGCTGCACTGCCCTCCCCCGACAGGGGCGAGATGCCTGGTCTCCACTCTTCCCTATTTGCAAGGGAGCTGGCAAGTCAAAGTCCCAAGCTTTCGTCTTGATTTTTCTTTGCAATCTCCTCCAAGAGGCAACCTTTAATCCTCATCAACCTTTTCTCTCCTCTCTTTTTTAAACAGGTTGCTGACTATGAATTGAACTAATATGGATTCGTGGTCCAGAGTAACTCAGCTGCCCAAAGAAGCTTAGCTGGTGTCATCAGAATCATGACAGGTGACATAGCTGCTCTTCAAAAACAACAGAGCTGGCTGGGCACGGTGGCTCACACCTGTAATCCCAGCACTTTGGGAGGCCCAGGTGGGCAGATCACGAAGTCAGGAGATCGAGACCATCCTGGCTAACACAGTGAAACCCCATCTCTACTAAAAATACAAAAAATTAGCCGGGCATGGTGGCACGTGTCTGTAGTCCCATTTAGTCAGGAGGCTGAGGCAGGAGAATCGCTTGGACCTGGGAGGCGGAGGTTGCAGTGAACTGAGATTGCGCCACTGCACTCCAGCCTGGGTGACAGGGCAAGACTCTGTCGAAAGAAAAGAAAGAAAGAAAGAAAGAAAAGAAAGAAAAGAAAGAAAGAAAGAAAGAAAGAAAGAAAGAAAGAAAGAAAGAAAGAAAGAAAGAAAGAAAGAAAGAAAGAAAAAGAAACAACAGAGCTTTTGGCTGCTAAAGAGAAATTTTCTAATAGGGGAAATTACATGTGGTCAAAGTTATCCTGGAAATTCCTTAAGGATAAGTTGTACCTTTCTCCATGTTCTGCCGCAGGGTAGGCACAGAAGTAGAAGTGACTGGATAGCATCCCTGTTAGACTCTGAAAAAGGGGCCTTACATTTTCTGGGAATGAGGAGGGAGTTATCAGGGATGATGCTGGGAAGGGAGGTATTGAGCCATGAACTTCAAAATCCAGTAGTCCTGGGTTTCAGCCCTGTCACCTGCTAGCTGGGTGGCTTTGGGCATGTTTTCAACCCTTCCAGTGCCCTCATCTGTAATATATGGCAGGACAAAAACGTCTCTTAAAAGGGGGGTGAAGAGAATGAAATGAGGTGGCTGGCGTGAAGTGCTTCCCCAGCACACTGTCTAGCCCAGGGCAGACAAAGAGTTCATCCGAGTTCCCTTCCCAATACAAGCAGGCAACCAGCTAGAGGTCACCACCCCAGCCCACTCTCAAGGAGCTCTTCCCTCATGCCAGGCATTACCACACACTTGACACGGATTTTCCAATTCAATCTTTACAATCCCTAGTTTTTCAAATGAAGTCAAAGCTCACAGGGGTTAAGTCACTTTTCCAAGGACCCAGGGAACTGGGATTTGAACCCTGACCACCTGCCTCTCAAGACTACATTCCTGACCCTCTCTGCCAAGGTGTACATTAAAGGACGCATCTTCCTCCACACTGGACGCAGAGCCCAGCTTCCGGCTAAGGAGTGTGGGCGGCTGGAGCTGCCATGGAGTCTTATCTGTCCTGATATCAAACATGGGGCAGAGGGAGGGGAAGAAAGGAGGCTTGTCTTTGGGGTTTCAGCATCAGCTTACCAAACAACAAGAGTTTTCAATGCTGCTACAGGGTGACAAAGTGGTAAAACAGGTTTGCAGTGGCTCAGAGAATAATGGGAAGTGTTCTAACCAGAAGCTCTTGGACTGCAGTAGCCAGGAAGCAGAGAGAACCCATTCAGTAAAATGATGTGGGAGTGAGTAGCCCTTAAACTGTGTGCTCAGAAGCCATTTTGCTGCAAAGTGGAGGAATCAGGCTATTGCTTCAATAGGTCAAAAATAGGCATTTTCTAAGCTTATACTATTGCCCCAAACTGTCAATGGTGCTACTGAAGATTACCAAGAAGCATAAAGCATGGTTCCAGGCCTTAAAAAGTTCAGAATCCGGTTTGAGAGACAAGATTGGTATATGTATACACACATATATAAATAACACGTATATAACGTAGATGTAAACATACAGAAAGCCATAATTTATAATACTTTGTAAGACACAAAAATTACATACAATTTGTAATAATACAAAGCCATACTTTCTTACAGCATGTGTTGTGCTGAATTTGTGTGGCTCACCCCAGGCGGTGGGGACTTGTGGGGTGGGAAGACGTGAAAAAGAACCAACTGGTCCCTCAACGGATGACCACAGTTCCCTCAACTAATAGGGCTTGGAGATAGACAGCCAAAGGCTTGGGGCTATGGCCACAGAATGATGAGGGTGGATTTGAAATTCATGGAATGAGGAAAAGGTATAGCAGTCAGGGAGGGACAAAAAGCGAGAAACAGCCATCCATACAGGTGTGGCCTCCCTGGGAATGTAAGTGAGCTGCCCCCTTAGAAGGGAGAAATCTGCCGAGTGTCTTGCCTAGAGCTTCTAAGAGGGCTACCAGGTGACCTTCATAATGATTGTCCAGTGAGCCCATTGGATACACTGAACACAATTCAATGAATGAGTCTGTTACATGCTGTAGTTAATAACAACAATAAGCTAACATCTTTCTCTCTCCCTTTCTTAATTTCTTTCTCTCCTCCTCTCTCTCCTTCTTTTCTTTCTTTTTTTCCTTTTTTTCGAGACAGGGTCTCACTTTGTCAACCAGACTGCAGGGCTTGCTTTCTCTCTCTCTCCTTCTCTTTCTTCCTCTCTCCTTCCTTCCTTTCTTTTTTTCTTTCTTTCTTTGGAGAGAGGGTGTCACTTTGTCACCCAGACTGGAGGGCTTTTTCTCTTTCTCTCTCGTTCTTTTTCCTTTCCTTTCCTTCCCTCCCTCCCTCCCTTTCTTTCTTCTTCCCTCCCTTCTTTCCTTCCTCTCCTCCCCTCCCCTTCTCTCTCTCTCTCTCTCTCTCATTCTTTCAAGACAGGGTCTCACTTTGCCACTCAGACTGGAGTGCAGTGGTGCAATCAGCTCACTGCAACCTCCAACTCACAGGCTCAAGCAATCCTCTCACCTTGGCCTCCCAAAGTGCTGGGATTACAGGCCTGAGCCACTGTGCCCAGCCACAATAAGCTAACCTTTCTTGAGTACCTGCTAAGTGACTCAGTTTTCTCATCTATAAAATGGGGGTAGTTATATAACAAAGCATTCCTTACAGTGTTGCTATAGGATCAAAGGAACACACCTGCATGGAAACACTGCAGGGGTTCCCTGGCACAGAGTAACTGCTCAACAAAGCTTAGCTAATATCGTCACAATCACAACAGGTAACACAACCACTCTTAAGAAACAACGAAGCTACTGCGTGTTCTCACTTATAAGTGGGAGCTAAATGATGAGAATACATGGACACATAGAGGGGAAAAACACAGACTGAGGCCTCTGGGAGGGTGGAGGGTGAGAGGAGGGAGAGGATCAGGAAGAATAACTAATGGGTACTAGGCTTAATACCTGGGTGATGAAATAACCTGTACAACAAACCCCCATGACACAAGTTTACCTGTGTAACAAACCTGCACATGTACCCCGAACTTCAAATAAAAGTTAAAAAAAAGAAGAAGAAGAAGACACAACGGAGCTGTATTTTACCTGGCCACAGCTCAGCTTCTAAGGGTGAAAATTACATTTGGTGAAAGTTATCCTGGAAACTCCTTAAGTCACCCATAGAGCACAATGCATATGGCATTGTGCATACTTTTCTAGTAATTGGTTTTTGCTAGAAGAGATCATTAATCCTTCACTGAAGCACTTAGTGACTGCTTTTAGGGGATATGGAAAAAAGAAGTGTATTTTGTTTGTGTGCATATGAGACCCTACTGGATTGACTAGAGATGAGGCGTGTGCACAGAAATGCTGGGCAATACTTGTTTCTGTGACTGGATAGTAACACTCGGCTGAGTGGAACAAATCTTAATGGCTTCAGGAGTCCACGGGACAATGAGTGTTCTGTGGTCTGAAATGACTCCCCTTTCCTCTTTCCAAACCCCACCCTTGGGTGGCAGTATCTTCAGGAAATGCCAGTGGAACAGAACTTGAATTGAATGATGAGAGAGCCACATTTTGAGAAGGGAGGAAAGGGACTGAAGGAGAGAGAGACAGAGAGGACAGGAGGGGAACCAGGGTGGGGAGCAGCCCCCATGCTCTGGGATGCAGGGTGTACTTACTTCTTCAGGGTCTGAAAGCCACGCTCTTTGAACTGCAGCTCGTGCTGGAGGTGAACCATCTCTCTCTTCAGCTTGTTGACCTGGAGGGCAGCAGACCACACACAGGGCTGGGTCAGAGGCTGACACCAAGGTGCAGGCTGCCTTCTCCCTGGAAAGGGAACCCAGAGCCTCCCACTGCGCCTGCATAATGACTCAGGTCAGCACCCCTTGCGCCACACTGGTCAGAGCCCCCTCCTGTCACCGATGTTGGCCTTGGTCTCTGCAGATGCCCATTCAGTCAGCATCCCAGGCAGTGTTTCTGTAGGTCATTCCTAGCCAGTCCTTGCTCCAGGGAAACAGGTGGACAGGAGCTGACCTGGGATAGAGTGGGCCTTCCCACTTCCTCGCTGTGTGAACTCTCTCAAGCTGTCTTGCCATCCTGAGCCTCCCTTTCCTGTTCTGATGGATGAGGACAATGGCAATTTCCAGAGCCATGGATCACTTAAAGCTGGCAAAGGCTATGAGAGTGCTTCACGTGGAGGCAAGAGGCAACTTAGTAACTTTAGTGGCAAGACATGCCTTAGGAGCTAGACTCGGTCTGCTGGTTTGTGTGGCCTACACTGTATTATTCAACTTTTAAAATGAGTTGCTAATAATCAAATCTTCAGAAAGGTCACATAATAAACCTAGACACACAGTTCCTTTATGAAAACATCTGAAGATCTGGTAACACTGGGCCCACATTCCAGCATGGGCTGGACTAGAGTTCAAATGCAATTACCTTTAAGACTGGGCAGACCTCTCCTGGTTACACAGTCACCACAACTCTCTACTGCCTCACCCCCAGCCCACATCCCTCATTTATGTCTTCTTGCAGGCATCTGAGTTTGTGGAAATTGTTAAATTCTTTGAGTTTAACTAAACCACTATTCAAAATACTGACTTTGCCACGAGCAAGTAATTTCACTGCTGTGCCTCAGTTTCCATACTGGTAAAATGGAAATACTAATATTTATGCCCTAAGGTAATCATGAAGTAATTAAAATAAGATAATGCAGAATAATCAGTAGCTAGGAAGACAGTACACTATATTAGAAACTTTGGAGTAAGACTTGAATCTCTTGTAACCTTAGGCAAGTTTCTTAGCTCCCCTAAGCCTCTGTTTGCTCATCTTTAAAATGCAGGTGACAGCTTGGTGGTGGCTCACACCTGTAATCCTAGCACTTTGGGAAGCTGAGCAGGTGGATCACGAGGTCAGGAGATCGAGACCATCCTGGCTAACACAGTGAAACCCCGTCTCTACTAAAAATACAAAAAATTAGCCAGGTGTGGTGGCGGGCGCCTATAGTCCCAGCTACTTGGGAGGCTGAGGCAGGAGAATGCCGTGAACCCAGGAGGCAGAGCACGCAGTGAGCGCAGATCGTGCCACTGCACTCCAGCCTGGGTGACAGAGCGAGACTCTGTCTCAAAAAATAAAAATAAAAATAAATAAATAAATAAATAAAAATAATAAAATGCAGATGACGGTAGTTACTTCATAGACACGAGATAATACACATGAGATATTTCGCACTGTGCCTGGTACATGGTGACTGCTTGTGAAATGGTAGCTGCTACAACCATTACTATTACTGTGACTACCGCTTCTACTGTTATTATTTAGGACCTTGCTAGCACTGGCTGTCATAGCCTGGCTGGAGCATCTGTTCTGGTCTTGTGGGTGGGCTTGTGGCCTAAGACCTCAGTGGCCCCAATCACTAGCACATAGCATAGGTGAAGAGGTCCTACCCGGGATTTTGCAGTGGCAATTTCAGCTTTCAGGATCTCAGGGTCATACTTGGAGCTGGATGATGAACCAGAGACCACTGTAAGGAAAAAAGAAAAACAAGAATATCAGTAGAAGAAACAGATTTCAGCAAAGTTGGCTTATTGGCCATCTAAATAAACCTAGAAAGGGAAGGACTAAAAGTGAACAACCTAAATGTTCAACAAAGGGGGATTTGTTACATAAAGATGGTACACGCGCAAACGGGGACTACGCAACTTAAAATGAGGATGAAGAATATTGAATGACAAGGGAAAATGTTGAAACTCATTATGTGAAAGCAAGTTTACAAAAAAAGTGTAAAGAATAATTTAAATTTGGGGCCAGGCACAGTGGCTGAAGCTTATAATCCCAGCCCTTTGGGAGGCTGAGGCAGGGGGATCACCTGAAATCAGGAGTTTAAGACCAGCCTGGCCAACATGGGGAAATCCCGCCTCTGCTAAAAATACAAAAATTAGCTGGGCATGGTGGTGGGCGCCTGTAGTCCCAGCTAGTCAGGAGACTGAGGCATGAGAATTGCTTGAACCTGAGAGGCAGAGGTTGCAGTGAGCCGAAATCGCGCCATCACATTCCAGCCTGGGTGACAGAGCGAGACTCCATCTCAAAAAAAAAAAAAGAATAATTTAAATTTGGAAAATATAGTTTCCAAATATACACACACATATGCATTTTAAGAAGACTGAAAAAAATACCAAAGAGAACACTGATATCTAGAGAGTTAGATGGTAAATGATATTATCATCTTTATATTTTTATCTTTTCTTTTTTTAAAAACAATAAACATATGCTTTACAATCAGAAAAAAATAAAAGTATTGTTGATTGTACTTTATAATATTAATGTACATTCAAAAAGGAAAATAAATTATCCATATCTTACCACCCTAATACAATTATCGTTTTCCTAGGTTGCCTTCCAGTATATATCCACGGTTCTATCACGTAGTTGTAATCTTACTGTATTTTAAAAATAGTATTTACTAATGTCTTGAAAAAGGATTTTAAGGCTTATGAAAGTGAATACTACACAGTAAAATACATTTAAACTAAGGAAAACTAGACAAAGAGAAAATAAGGATAAGGAAACAAACTGGCGACAAGCTCTGAGCCTCATAACTGGTAATGTGAGGGGGAAATAGGACCAGATATAAGATTTGTGGTGTCCTTAAGGTAAACACAACCCCACTGTTCAGAAAAGAACAGTTATTCTTGGTCGGGAGGCCAGAGAAGTATTTCTCCTGTGAGTCCTTAATCACACTGTAGGAACAATTTCATCATCTCCCCTGCCTACCTACTACCATCTGAACACTCTTTCCTGTTCACATGTAGCCAAATCACCTGCTGAGATCTGGGTTTTTCTTTTCTTTTCTTTTTTATTTTTTGAGACGAAGTCTTACTCTATTGCCCAGGCTGCAGTGCAGTGGCACAGTCTTGGCTCACTACAACCTCTGCCTCCTGGGTTCAAGCTGTTCTCCTGTCTCAGCCTCCTGAGTAGCTGGGATTACAGGTACGCTCCACCATGCCCGGATAATTTTGTATTTTTAGCAGAGACAAAGTTTCACCATATTGACCAGGCTGGTCTTGAACTCCTGACTGCAGGTGATCTGCCTGCCTGGGCCTCCCAAAGTGCTGGGATTACAGGCGTGAGCCACCGCACCTGGCTATCATCTGAACACTCTTTAATGTTCACATGTAGCCAGATCACCTGCTGAGATCTGGGTTTTTCTGAGGATAGAGAAGCTTATTTGGTGATTGCTGGCAATTGTCAGTGTCTGGAGGTAGGCATGACAGTCATGAGGGGAATGCTACTGTTTGGCTTTGTTTAAAAATATTTTAATAGGCCTTTTGGTTATGCATAAGGCATTAAAATGTAATACTTGGAAGTTTGGGGGATGAGAAAACTGCTCTGCATAATAACATAAAAGATATTTGGCACCACAAGAAGTGTTGCATTTCTGCTGAATTTACAATGATAATGATGATGGAGAAAAAGAAGACCGAGGTTTACCAGAAGAGATGAGTGGGGACAACACTTGGGGTGGCAAGGGCCTTGTAGCCTTTGTCTCAAGCATGGAACAGGGAATCCATGTACAGAGATGTTTTATTGCCAATTTAAAGTTTTCATCTCCTGGTGTCTAATTCCTTTGGTCTTTGCTAGACTTGGGGATTTCAGGGATAGACCTGGTTGGATATTTAGCTGGAGGTATCACCTTAAGCATACAGTGTGGGGAGGTTATAATATTATAATGTTATAATAAAATGACCTTGAACAAAATGATGTTATTTGAGGACCTGCTGTATTTCCCAAATAGGTCCTTTCAACAAAATATTAAGACAGTTAACACCATTTCTCACTCACTGATCAACAGTAATACAAGGTGAAAGAAGAGAGGAGTCGTCAGTGTGGCAATAACCTGGGAAGACACACAGAAACGTCCTCAAGGGGTGTGGGGCGGAGCGGGGGACGTCTGTTCTAGGAGCACCCTGTCCTGCCAACCACCCTGTTCATCAGGCTGTGCCTCTGGACATGGGTCTGTACTGTGGGGCAATGTTGAGGAGACTGTGGCAGCAGCGTGGAAGAGTCTGTAAAAATGGCAAGACCTGACTCAGACAGGGAGAGGTTGGCTGTGTAGACCAGTCACGCCAGGGCTGACTTGAGGCATGCATCGTGTTCCTTGGGCATGCCCAGAAATCCTGGAGACAAAAAGATGCCAAAAAGAAGAGATTCTCACCAATTAGGCCACCAGGAGCTTTAATTCTTATACCCTGGAGTATCACTGTGAAGTGCACAATTTTTACCTAAAGCCGCTGACACAAGATGTAGCCTGCTACTTATCCTTTTGTAAGTAAATGTTTGATTGAGGTAAAAAATACATACATAGAAGTGCACACATCATGTATGTACAGCCTGAGGAATTTTCACAAAAGAAACACGCTCAAGCAATCAGCACTGTAATCAAGAAAACAGGTCATCAGCCTCTCCTTTGTGTCTGCATCCCTTCACTATCCTCTACTACGAGAACTTATTTTTTTTTCAATTGAGATGAGTCTCCCTCTGTTGCCCAGGCTGGAATGCAGTGGCGTGAACTTGGCTCACTGCCACCTCTACCTCCAGGGTTTAAGCGATTCTCCTGCCTCAGCCTCCCGAGTAGCTGGGATTACAGGCACCTGCCACCACGCCCAGCTAACTTTTGTATTTTTAGTAGAGATGGAGTTTCACCATGTTGACCAGGCTGGTCTCAAACTCCTGACCTCAAGTGGTCCACCCGCCTCGGCCCCCCAAGTGCTGGGATTACAGGCGTGAGCCACCACGCCCGGCCCCGCTACAAGAACTTTATATCCAACAGGACTTTAAATACTATCTTGCCCCAAAGTTTAATAGTTCTTAATTTTTAGTTTTTATTAAAGTTATATATGAACACAGTTTAACAGTCCAACATAGTTTGAGGTTTGCTATAAAAAAGAGCATTCCACAACCCCTATCCCCATAACTCACAACCTAAAAGAAAATCATTTTCAATTTCTTGGGTGGCTACCTCTATGTGTCTAGTTATATGCATGCATTACTGCTTCTTGATCTTTTCTGTTTTCGGCATTACTTATTTACTTACCTCTCAGGAGGGTGGGGACTTAGCCTCCCTTCCTTCCCTTCCCCAGCCCCTACAGCATGCACTTGAACCTCTCCCATCTCCCCGTCATCCTAAAAGCAATAGCATACTTTTGGTGAAAGCGATGTTCAGTGTTTGCATTATTTTTACTCTGCAAACACTATTCAGGGTGCAATCAGCTAGCTGACTTTGCTTACTTTTACTTTTCAGCACTTTTTTTCCCCTTGAGTTAATTATTGTCATTTTTACGTTTGCTTAGTTTCTACAAACTTACCACTAATTCAACCTCACATTCTGCTGGTTATCTAAATCTCCTCTCATAGAGTCCAGACCAATGTGAATCTGGTGAGTTTTCTATTTTGGGATCTGTCCTGCCAGGGCTTCTGCCCTGCTTCAGTGTGAGCGAGCTGCTCTCTGTGTTCGGCTGGCTTCCTGAGATCCGCCTTTGTGTTCCTCTGTGTGTCTCCTCACCTCTCTGTATACCGCGTCTTCCTTTTCATGGTCTACCCACCTCATTTTGGTAGAACATCATCTCCAGTAGCTTCTTGAGAAAGAAACCATGAAGGAAATGAGCTTTCTAAAATCTCACACGTCTGAAAATAGCCTTATTCGGCCCTACACTTGATTAAAGGTAGTTTTGCTGGATATAGAATTCTAGGTCAGAAATAATTTTCCTTAAATCCCTGAGGGCATTGCACCATGGTCTTTTAGGTTTCCAGTGCTATTGGTGAGAAGTCTGGAGCTATTCTGAGTCCTGATCATTTCTGTGTGACCTGATTTTTTTCTCTCTGAAAGCTTTTAGGATCTTGAATTGTCCCAGTGTTTGAAGTTCCACAGTGAGATATCTTGGTGTGAGCTGACTTTCATCCACTGTGTTGGACACTCAGTGAACCCTTTCAGTCTAAAAATTCTCCTCCTTCAGTTCTGGGAAATGTTTCTGAATTATTTCAGCGATGCTTTTCTCCTCTGTTTCCTCTGTTCTATCTGGAACATATTTTCCTCAGATAGTAGATTTCCTGTCCTTGTAGTCTATTTTTTTTTCCTCTTATTTTCAATCTTGTATTTTTGCTCTGATTTTTAGAAGGTTTCCTCCATTTTATTTTCCAGTCTTCCTTTGGAGTTTTCATTTCTACTCTCATATTTTAATTTCCATGAGCTCTTTTTTATTCTCTGAAGGTTCCTTTTTAAACAATGTAGTACCGTGTTCTTGTTTCCTGACCATATAGCTTCTCTTAACGGTCTCTTCTTCATGCATACTCCTTGTTTCCTCCAAGCCCTCCCTTCACCACGTGTTGGTTTGAGTCTCTATTTTCTCTGTTAGAGGCTTTCCTCGGATATCTGGAATCTTGGTTTTCTGCTCATATTTAAGGATGGGAGCCCAAAATGCTGACTAGAGTGTGGTTTGTGGACTGTGAGTTGCACAGTACGTTATTTGTTTTCTATCTTTAAAATTTATTTTATTATTTAAGAGACAGGTGTCTGTTGCCCAGGCTGAAGTGCAATGTACACAATCATAGCTCACTGTAACCTTGAACTCCTGGACTCAGGGAATCCTCCTGCCTCAGCCTACTGAATAGCTGGGACTACAGGTGCTTGCCACCACACTCGGATAATTTTCTTCTTTAAATTTTTTGTAGAGTTGGGGTCTTACTATGTTGCCCAGGCTGGTCTTAAACTCTTGGCTTCAAGTGATCCTCCCATCTCGGCCTCTCAAAGTGCTGGTATTACAGGCATGAGCGCCTGGCCACAGCATATGATTTGGCTGGACTTGATTTGGTTTCATCCAGGAATCCTCAATGTCAGTGTCTTTCCAGCTTTTCTCTTTATATCTCTTCCCTGGTCAGATTTCCAGTAGAGTTCTCTACTGTCCAGCCTAGAGGGTAATGACCTGGCACTGTTCTGGGCACCAAGTGGTATATGAGGGCTAAGGTCTCAAAACCCTTCACTTACTCGTGCTTTCAGGATAGTACACTCTGGCTCTGAATTTGCTTGTGTCCTAGAGTCCAGAGACTCTATTTTACCCTCTCCAAAAAATAAACTTCCAGTCATTTGCCAGACTGAAGATGGTGGTTGCCTGACTGTATCGATTTAAGGAAAAGATCTGATGGTCTAATTGTCTTAGAAACAACCTTTACCCATTCCTCTTTGAGACCCTCTTCCCTTCAGTCTTACTTGCAGAAATAGCTGCTGCCACCAACATCTACAGTTTTTGCAAGTGCCCTATAGAACAGTGTTGTGAGCCTTCCTCACTATCAGCCCATTTTCTCTTTTCTCAGGTCTGCTACGTAGGTTGCCACCTGTCTGTCTGCTTTCCAGCTTCCAAATTTTATTGCTGTTCTTTCTTCTCCAATTTTCCCTAATCATATATATATATATATATATATATATATATATATGCCTTAAAAATATATTTTATCTGATACTCCTAGTTTTGCAGTGAGTAAAATCAAGTGAGTGATTCAACTGGCATTTTTTAGTTTTTTTGTTTTTTTTTTTTTGAGACGGAGTGTTGCTCTGTTGCCCAGGCTGGAGTGAAGTGGCTGGATCTCAGCTCGCTGAAAGCTCCACCTCCTGGGTTCACACTATTCTCCTGCCTCAGCCTCCCGAGTAGCTGGGACTACAGGCACCCACCACCACGCCCAGCTACTTTTTTGTACTTTTAGTAGAGATGGAGTTTACTGTGTTAGCCAGGATGGTCTCGATCTCCTGACCTCGTGATCTGCCTGCCTCGGCCTCCCGAAGTGCTGGGATTACAGGCGTGAGCCACCGCGCCTGGTCCATTTTTTAGTTTTTAGAGATGAGATCTTGCAATGTTGCCTGGACTGGACTCCTGGGCTCAAGCGATCCTCCCACTTCAGCCTCCTGAGTAACTGGAACTACATGTATATGCCACCAAGCCTGGCTTCAACTGGCATTTTTAACTAGAAAGCCCTCACTGATTTATTTTCCAAATGGGAAATCAAGGCCTAGGGAGGGGAAAAATATGATAAGGTCCCAAAGAACCCAGCTCTCTTGAGTTCTCACCTTTTAGAGGGTGGAGGAACCAAGTGTAGCTGAAGAGCCTTAGCATTTGACTGACTGACGTGGGTTAAATTAAGAAAATTGATTTTGAGATCAGATATATCTGGTTACAAAGGCTACCTTGCCACTCTTTACCAGTGTGCCTTTGGGGAAGCCACTTCCTCTTTGGGGGCCTCAGTTCCCTTGTCTGTAGAATGGGAACAACACTGTCTTAGAGGACTGTGTGTGTGATTCAGGAGGGAGATTACTTAGAGTGCCTAACATATTGCCCTCCAGGCACACAACAGGTGCATATTAAATGTTAGTTCCCTTCTTCCCCATGGAGCTAGAGATTACACCAGCGAGTCGACAGCAAAGTCTCCACCCCCAAGGCAGGGCCCCGTCTGTGTCTGGGACCCAGAGCAGCCAAGGCCAGGTGGCAAAACCCTCACAAGCCCTGGCAAGCCATCTGAGTTAGAGAACAGGCGTGTGACTTCATCCATCTGTCATGCCAAGAGCTTGACTTGGAAGGCAAACCTGGCTTGTAAAACTTGAAGACAGAGTCATGATGAGGCTTGGGTCACACCTTGTTTAACTGGGATGCTTGGGCTGGGGGAATCCCAGTTTCTGTGTGGTTTGAATCTCAGATCCAGTTGCCTGAAATGACCCTAGTCCCTTCAGATAGAAGATATTTAACAATGAAAATGGTGGTGGTGCCTCTGAGGCCAGTGGAGCTCTTGGGAGTGTCTGGAAGTCATATCACAAGGCTGAGGAACTGTATTGTTTACTTCCTTCCTTTGATCATGTATTTATTCTTATTGGTTCCAGAGATCTGTAAAAAAAACCTCTTTTTCATTTACAATGCGAATGAACTAATAATAATAATTATTTACTGAGAGCTTAAGAATATGAAAAGTACAATTCCAAGGACTTTACATTTGTTAACTAATTTAGACCCCATAACACTCCCATGAAGATGATACTATGATTAGATTGATTTTATAGATGAAGAAAACTGAGACACAGAAGTGGCATAACTTGTGCAAGGTTACAACAACTAGTAATCTGCATATCCTGGATTTGAACCAAAAAAGTCTGGCTCCAGGGTCTATAGTCTCAAAATATTATGTATTTCCTATCAATAGGACTATTTATTGAGCCATTAATATGTTCTAAGGAAACAGTACCAAGTGTCTTACCTAGACCAGTGGTTTGGGCAGTTTTATCCCCTATGACACTTATGACAAAATCTAGAGACATTTTTCGTTATCACAACTTGGGTGGGGGTGATACTGGCAGCTAGTGGGTACAGAACAAGGATGCTGCTAAACACCCTAAAATACACAGCTCTCACAAAGAAGAGTTACCCAGACTGAAATGTTAATGGTGCTGAGGTTAAGAAACTCTGACATGGTCCCATGAGATGAAGGTACTATTAACATTTCTGCCCAACTGGTTCAGTCGGTAGAGAATGAGACTCTTAATCTCAGGTCATAGATTCATGTCACATGTTGGGTGCCAAGAATTTAAAAATTAACAAAAAAAAAAAAAAAAAAAAACAAAAATTCAATAGTTAAACATAAAGATTCTGAGACTTAAAGAGGGAGTACGGTCCCCTAGAGAACACCCAGGTTGTCTGATGTCAGAGTCCAGCTGCCACCTCCCACTACAGTGCTTCTTTTTTTTCTTTCTTTTTTTTTTTTTTTGAGATGGAGTCTTGCTCTGTCTCCCAAGCTGGAGTGCAGTGGTGCTATCTCGGCTCACTGCAACCTCCGTCTCCTGGGTTCAAGCAAGCGATTCTCCTGCCTCAGCCTCCCGAGTAGCTGGGACTACAGGCATGCGCCACCACGCCCAGCTAATTTTTGTATTTTTCATAGAGACAGGGTTTCACCATGTTGGCTGGGATGGTCTCGATCTCCTGACCTCGTGATCCACCTGCCTCAGCCTCCCAAAGTGCTGGGATTACAGAAGTGAGTCACCACACCTGGCCTCCTACTATAGTGCTTCTCATGTGAATGTTTCATTCTCATAGTGCCCAACTTTAGTTTTTAATTTTGGAAACTTCTTATCTATAGAAAATTTGAAAGAATAATGTAATGAATCTCAATATATCCTTCTCTTAGAGCCATGAATTTTAAATATTTTCCCATGCTTCTTCTTGCCATCCCTCTTCCCACCCCAGTTCTTTCTTTCTCTCATTAGGGTGGTTCACAATAAGCCCTCTACTAATCATGATTAGAAATGGTGGCAAAATCTGGACCATATTCAAAGCCATCAATGTGTCATCGACAATTATTTATTTGTTTTTGTTTTTTGTTTTTTTTTTTGAGATGGAGTCTCGCTCTGTCACCCAGGCTGGAGTACAGTGGTGCAATCTTGGCTCACTGCAACCTCCGCCTCCCAGGTTCAGGCAATTCTCCTGCCTCAGCCTCCTGAGTAGCTGGGATTACAGGCACGTGCCACCACGCCCAGCTAATTTTTGTATTTTTAGAAGAGAGAAGATTTTACCATGTTGGCCAGGCTGGTCTCAAACTCCTGACCTCAATTGATCCACCTACCTCGGCCTCCCAAATTGCTGGGATTACAGGTGTGAGCCACTGTGCCCGACTGAGTTTTTCCTATTTTCTTTCCTTTCCTTTTTTTCTTGGACCTTTTTTGGAATAAGCTGCAGATATGTTGCCACATGCATCTTCATAAAATCTATGTAGACATTCTCCTACATATTCATAACTCCATTATCACAACTCAGGAAAGTCTCCAATTGTCTGAGAATGTCTTTTATGGCTGCTTTTCCCCCATTTCAGGCTCTAATTCAAGGTACAAACATTTCATTTGGTGGTGTGCCTCTTTAGGCTTTAAAAAAAAAACCTAGTCTAATTGTCTTATAGAATAATCCATATTATGGATTTGTCTGGCTGTGCTCTTGATTAGATTCAGATGAAATATTCTTGTGAGGGATCCTTCATGATATCTTTATTGCATCACGTCAGAAGGCATTGATATCACCTGGTCTCATTATTGGTCATGCTAATTTTACCACTACGTAAAGTGGTGGCTGCCCATCTCTCCAATGTAAAAGTACATCTTTCTGAAATTAGTGAGTGATTTGTAGGGTAATTCTCATTACCTGACATGTGATTATGGGTCCATGTAAATATCCTGTCCCCCAAAATACAAAGGTTTGTTTTTGTTTTTATATACACCTGACACTTTTTCAAACTGTGGGACTTTAGAGAGAGAGAGAGAGAAATCACTTTGCCCCTTTAAACCTGAGGTTCAACAGGGACAATAACATCTCCCTTCCAGGACCGTCTTAACAAAAATGGTACGGACTGAATTGTGTCTCTCCCAAATAAATATAATACATTGATGTCCTAATCCCCAAAGTGATAGTATTTGAAGATGAGGCTTTGGGGAAATAGTCAGGCTTAAATGAGGTCTTGAGGGTAGGCTCCTCACGATGGGATTAGTGCCCTAATAGAAAGAGGCACTAGAGAAGGCAGTTGTCTGCAAGCCGGGAAGACAGCCCTCACCAGAACTCGACCATGCTAGTACCCGAATCTCAGACGTCCAGGCTCTAGAACTGTAAGAAGATAAATGTGTAACGTTTAAGCCACCCAATCTATGGTATTTTATTATGGCAGCTCGAGTCGACTAAGACAGATTAAGTGCTAAAACCTTCTAAAAGTCTCCAGAACATTACTTGACACAGAATAGCTAATGAATGTAACACAGTTCTTTTCTATAACCTCTGAGATCCTGAGGGTTTTCCTGAGCTGCTAAGGAAAAAGGGAGGGCTGGGACAGTAAGTACCCTGGCAAGGTTTGTCCTGTCTTGGTAGCAGAAAGAACTTCTCAAAGTAAGGGCTTCACACTAGGGGAGAGTTCAATGGCCCAACCCAGCCATGGCCACCCTGACACCATGCCCTGATGCTAGTCCCTGTGGCCTGGCCCACACTGAAAATACTGTGGGGACAACAGAATGGATTTGCAAGTTACCACTATCTCTCACCAGCTGTAAGACCCTGGGCACATTGTTGATCCTAAGCCTCAGTTTCCTAATCTGTAAAAGGGTGATATTAATTGTTCTTGCTCACAGAACTGTTATGAGAATTAACAGAAATAGCATATTCAGACTATAGCAGAGTGTCTGGCATGAAACAGAGACTCAATAAATACAGGAACAATTTGGTTATTAGAAACAGTGAGGCTTGGCATGGTGGCTCACACCTGTAATCCCAGCACTTTGGGAGGCTGAGGCACGTGGATCACCTGAGGTCAGGAGTTCAAGAACAGCCTGGCCAACATCGGGAAACCCTGTCTTTACTAAAAATACAAAACTTAGCTGGACGTGGTGGCTCACGCTTGTAATCTCAACTGAGGCAGGAGAATTGCTGGAACCCGGGAGGTGGAGGTTACAGTGAGCCAAGATTGTGCCACTGCACTCCAGCTTGGGCAACAGAGCGAGGGCACGGTGGCTCATGCCTGTAATCCCAGCACTTTGGGAGGCTGAGGCAGGCGCATCACGAGGACAGGAGATCGAGATCATCCTGGCTAACACAGTGAAACCCCGTCTCTACTAAAAATACAAAAAAAAATTAGCTGGGCGTGGTGGCGGGCGCCTGTAGTCCCAGCTACTCTGGAGGCTGAGGCAGGAGAATGGCATGAACCCAGGAGGCGGAGCTTGCAGCGAGCAGAGATCGCGCCACTGCACTCCAGCCTGGGCAACAGAGCGAGACTCCGTCTCAAAAGAAAAAAAAGAAAAAGAAAAAAAAAAAAAGAACAAGGGGATTTTGGCATGCTTGCTCTCCTCCTTTGGGTACCAGGGATAGGATAGGAGCCCCACTCTGACCAACTTTATGGTCTGGTGGAGGAAATACTGATAACATACAAGCAGATGTATTGTGATACGTGATATGAAGGAAATAAACAGACAGCCATGGCCAAGACTAGAGTTGAGGAAGAGAGGCTTCTGATAGAGTTGTCCGAGCAGGCCTCTCAGAGGTGATGACCTGAAGGATGAGACTGGAAGACTGAGAAGGACTTAGCCTTGCAAATGGATGCGTGACAAAGCATTCTAGGAAGGGGACCGGCACATACTAAGGCACTGAGGTGGAAAATTACAGGGTGGGGTAGGGAAACAGAAAGGGGGGCTGGGGGCTCAGTGCATCTGGAGCCTAGTGAGGAGGGCATGAGATGAGGCAAGAGTGGCTGGCAGGGGCCTGACCACGGAGGGCTGTATAGGCCATGGAAAGAGTGAGGGGAAGCCACTGAAGGGCATTTGATTGTTTTGAAATTGCGGTAAATATATTCAACATAAAATTTACCATTTTAACTATTTATTAAGTGAATTGTTCAGTAGCATTAAGTACATTTACACTGTTGTGAACATACTACCATCCACCTCTAGAAATTTTCTTCTTCCCAAACTGAAACTCTGTACTCGTTAACTAAGAATTCCCCATTCCCAATTCCCCTAGTCCCTGAAAGCTTTTAAATGAGGAGATATGTAATCCGACTGGCATTCTGAGATGATTACAAATGAAATAAAATGAAACGCAAATGGCAAATGAATCACTGCAAGGCACAGGTAGGAGCAGGAAGAGCAGTAAACAAGATGGTGGTTTGGACAAAGAGTAGAGGTGAAGAGAAATGGGCAGACTTGAGAAGCAATATTGGCAGAACTCAGTGTGGCCATTCTCTGTTGGTGTCGGTGGGGGTGGTGGTAGTGGGAGGTACTCACAGCTGACCTGGGAGCCCAGCTTATGCTCCCAGACGGCATGCAGTTGCTGGTACTCCTGCTGTGCAAGCTCCAGGCGCTGCTGCTTCACCTGGTAGATCTCCTTTTGTGCACTCAGAGCCTCCTGGGCCACCACCAGGTAATCCTTCAGCATATGTTCCTGCTCCCGCCGCCATTGTACTCGAGGATCCTCAATCTGAGTGGTTTCTGGAACAGACCCCAGAGATTCTAGGTCAGCATCTCACAAATATCTGTTGGGCTGGTGGCCTGTGGTATCCACTAGCAGAAAACAAAAAGCAAAATGCATAGACAAATCACAATAAATGTAAGTGGGGCAAACTCATTTACTAAATGACAGTGATTCTCCATTTGGAGTAGTCAAACAAATAATAAGCCAGGGGGTTGGGTGTGGTGGCTCACGCCTGTAATCCCAGCACATTGGGAGGCTGAGGCAGGTGGATCACTTGAGGTCAAGGAGCTTGAGACCAGCCTGGCCAACATGGTAAAACTCCGTCTCTACTAAAAATACAAAAATTAGCCAGTATGGTGGCAGGCACCTGTAATCCCAGCTACTTGGGAGGCTAAGGCAGGGGAATTGCTTGAACCCAGGAGGGGGAGGTTGCAGCAAGCTGAGATCGTGCCACTGCACTCCAGCCTGGATGACATAATGAGACTCTGTCTGAAAAAAAAAAAAAAAAAAAAAAGAATAAACCAGGATCAATTTCCAAACCCAATGTCAATCTCTGAGAACGGCCTGAATAAGGATCAGGTTTGAGTACTAATCTAGACAGAGAGGCTCAAGGACATTAGAGATGCTCAAGGTAATCTCCTTTGGTGAAGACTAAAGGAAAGAAAAATAACTAATGTCTCAGAGGATGTGGAGAAATAGGTACCCTATAGCCAGCTGGAAATGTGAATTAGAACAGCCTTACTAGAAGACTATCTGACAATGCAAATTAAGAGCCTTAAAATGTTAATACCCTTTGACCAATAATTCTCCCTATAGTAATTCATTATAAAAAGTAATTTAAATTCAGTCATATATTTGTACAAAACCATAATAATAATATATTATGAAGTAGCAAGCACATGTCATTGATTCTATGATAAGTGCTGTTCTAAGAACTTTACATATGTTCACTTCTTAAATCCTTACACGAACCTTATAGATTCTATTACTATCCCCATTATACCAATGAGAAAACTGAGACGTAGAGAGGTTAAGTAACTTGCTCAAAGTCACACAGAAATAAGTGTTCAAATATGTATGCTATATTCACAGAATGCACTATTATAAAGATAACACCTTTGAAGAAAAATTAATAACATGGAAAGGTACTTATAATATGCAGGTCATAAAACCGAATAAATAACTATCTATCAAAATCAATATGTACATTCTCAAAAAGATGAGAAAATAGGAAAATATCAACAACCAACTAGGTGGCAGGATATTTTAGGATATTTTATTTTTTACAAAATTATGTGTACAAAAAACATATACACTAATGATCTGAAAAAAAAGCAGCTGACGAGATATGGAAGAGGTTAAAATAATGTCAAAGAATCAATGCCCATGGACTATTAACTCCTCAGTCACCCCCAGTTGTTGGGTGGTGTTAGGGGTGATCAACAAGCCAGAAATTGTAAAATCAGGGCAATGTGGTGAATCCAGCCTCCAGATAGGTATTGCTTCTGAATTGATTACTGGTATGTAAAAAATGGAGAGATATCTTCATTAAAATCCTGTTTTATGGCTTTTCTTGATCATTCAGAAGTTCTGGCCACCTTGGGTTCACAACTGGTCAGAAATCCCAGCACCCCATCTGTCAAAACCTGGTCTGCTTCATTCATTTATGTCATATGCCTAGCCCGGGGAACACTGGAGTTTATGCCTCCCAATCTAGGCCCTTTAGCTCTCATTCCTCCTAAACAGGTCCAATGAGCATCTCCAGTGAAATAAAGATCAAAGAAGCAGCAGGGCCAAGTTCTCATTCCTGCCAATAATCGCTGTGTTACAACAGAAAGGCTGTTTAACGTCTCTGAATCTACTTTTGTATCTCTTAAAGGGGGTAATGAACCCTGCATCACTACTGCCCAGGAAACAGGAAACTAAAGCACTTGTGCCAGGTAAAGGAAACAAATGATAGTGAAAGTAAAACCCAAACTATTGCCTAGGATCAGTTTTCATTGTTGTTGTTTTCTTTTTCTTTTTTCTTTTCTTTTTTTTTTTTTGTTTTTGAGATGGAGTCTTGCTCTGTCTCCCAGGCTGGAGTGCAGTGGCGTGATCTTGGCTCACTGCAACCTCTGCCTCCTGGGTTCCAGTAATTATCCCTGCCTCAGCCTCCCAAGTAGCTGGGATTACAGGCGCCTGCCACTACGCCCAGCTAATTTTTGTATTTTTAGTAGAGACAGGGTTTTACCATGTTAACCAGGCTAGTCTTGAACTCCTGACCTCAGGTGACCTACCTGCCTCGGCCTCCCAAAGTGGTGGGATTACAGGCGTGAGGCACTGTGCCCAGCCTAGGACCAATTTTTGAATCGTCTGTGAATAGCAATTCTTCAAGCTTTTCCTCCTCCTTTTTCTGAGAAAAAAAGTAAGGTCTGAAGACTGCTTACAGTGGCTACAAAAAACTGCCCCTCATGAGGAAAGCTTTCCATCCCTTCAAACCAAACAAGAGGCAGGAACAAATGCAAAAATAATACAAAGACAAAACAAAAAAACAAGGCGGAGATGGAATTTGTAAAACTGGGCTACAGAACAGCTGCTGTGGGTTCCCATCTCCCATCAGCAGCTGTGGATTCCCTTGGCGTTCAGGAATCGTGGGTCCCCCTGAGGGATCTGCCCTACACCTCCAGCTGGCACAGCCCACAGAAAAAAGCAGCTCAGCCTATCTTGAGCAGGCTGGCAATGTTTCTTAAAGTTTGCAACTTTTAGAAGATCTGATTTTTCACCACAAAATAATGAAAAGTACAAAAAAGAAAAATCCCACAATTCCACCATGACAAGTTTGTGAAATAAGAGAGTTTCCATCTCTCCAATCCCATTGCCCAGAGGTAACTGTTGTTGAGTCTCACACAGATACTGCCTTCTGATTATACATGAATTTTTGTTTACACATACACGCCTATATATACAAGGTTACTTTAATGCAACATGGACCATGCCATTTATATTGGTCTGTGACTTGTTTTCATCTCCAAATGATATAGCATGCTCATTTTTGCCTGTAGGTGCACCATCTTTTAAACACCTGTACAGTGTTCCACGCTATGGTATTTGGGTTTATTTAACCAGACCTCGATGGGAAATATTTGAATTGTTTTCAGTTCTTTTGCTACTACATTCAATGCTGCAGTAAGGGTTCTTAAAAACATATGTCTATGAATTTGTGCTATTAATTCTGTGGGATAGGTTTCTTAAAGAGAAACTACTAGATCAGAGGGTACACACACTTACAATTTTAATAGATATTACCAAATTACCTTCCAAAGGCAGGTAATTTCTGTTCTCAAAAACAGCATACATGAGTGCCTCCCCCCACATTCTCAGTGAAATTGCTTTTTTTTTTTTCTTTTTAAAAGTCAGTGCCTCATCCAGTGATTCTGGGTCTTTGCTGCATATTAGAATTAGCAGAGAAGCTTCAAAAAAAAAAAAAAAGCCTGAACCCCACCCCACCCCCCGAAGAACACTTAAATTAGAATTTCCAGGAGTGGGGCTCAGGTATTGACAGTTTTTAAAGCTTCTCTGGGTGACTCTGGTGCAGATATAGCTGAGAGCCCCTGGTTGAACATTAGAATCACCCGGGAGAATTTTTTAAAAATTTCAATCCTACTCCAGATCAATCAAATCCCAATCTCTGGGAGTGAGAATAAAGCAATGATGATTTACAAAGCTCCCCAAATAATTCCAGTGTGCCACCCAAGGTGAGAACCGGTGTTTAAGAGATGACAAACACATGGGCCGATTGGTCACTGAGGCTGGCAGGTGCGATGCGGGCTCCAGGTGGAATCGCCTGCCCAGGTGCTGGTTGAAATGCTGGGCCCGTGTCCAGTTCCCTAAGCGACACCTAGGTGGACCCTCCCACAGTGTTCTGGATTTCATCTGGAACGGGCACCTTCCCTTTGGCCTTAGACCTCAGCACTGCTCTGTAAAACTATAAAGGTATATGAGACCCTTACCTGAAGGTCTGGCCAAGCCAGGTGGCTTGGCGACCATTTTTTGTGGCTCATGGTCTCTTTTGTAAACCAATAAGAATAGATGGGTGCACGAACAGACAAAAACAACACACAAACTCACACCAGAACTGGTTCTCAAACTGGTTGCACACTGGAATCACCCGAGAGATTTCCACTGAATTGATCTACAGTGTGAAGTGGGCATCAATTTGTTACATTTCTGAGAGTATTTCCTTTACCCCAATGATCCCCTGGACGCTCCCAGGCAATTTCCTCTACTCACCCCCTCTCCCAGTTTGCCTGTTTTAGAACTTCACATGCATGGACTCACACAGTTATTTGCTCTTAGGGCCTTGGTTCTTTCACTAAGCAGAAGGTTTTTGAGACTCATTCCTATTGCTGTATCTGTTGTACATTTCTTATTATTGCTGAATAATATTCTATTGTATGAATACATCACATTGTCTTTGTGATAAATTGTTAGTTTGCTTCCAGTTAGGGATTATTATGATGAATACTCTAAGTCTTCGTGTGGGCATGTTTTCACTTCTCTTGGACAAAAATACCAGGGGTAGAATTGCTGGATTATACTTCGCAAGTATATGTCGAATTTCATAAGAAACTGGCAAACTTTTCCAAACTGGTTGTACCATTTTACATTCTCACCAGCAGTGTATCAGAATTCTAGTTCTTCCACATCCTTGCTAGCAGTTGGTATTGTTATTTTTTTCCTCATTTTAGTCATTATAGTGGGTATGTAATGATACCTCGTTGGAATTTTATTTTTTTATTTTTTTGAGATGGGGGTCTCACTATGCTGTCCAGGCTGGTCTTCAACTCCTGGGCTAAAGTGATCCTCCAGCCTCAGGCTCCCAAGTAGCTGGGACTACTTGGCATGTACCACCATGCCCCAGCTGATTCTGTATTTTTATTTTTGTAGAGATGAGGTCTCACTGTGTTGCCCTGTGCTGCCTTATGTTTTGCTATGGCTGGTCGTGAACTCCCGGGCTCAAGTGACCCTCCACCTCAGCACCCTGAAGTGCTGGGATTACAGGCATGAGCGACTGTGCCAGCTGCTTCTTACTGTTAAGTTGTAGGACGTCTTTACATACTTGGAATATGGTTCTTTGTTAGAGATATGTATTGCAATATTGTCTCCTTATCTGTGGCTTGTCTTTTCAGTTTCTTAATAATGTCTTTTGAGGAACAAAGATTTTAATTTGATGAAACCAAATTTATTAATTTTTCTTTTCTGGTTAGTGCTTTTTATGACTTGTCCAAAAAAATCTTTGCCTATCATAAAATCTTGCAGATTTTCTCCTATGTTTTCTTCTAGATGTTTTATAATTTTAGCTTTTATGTTTAGGTCTATGATCTATTTTGAGTTTAGTTTTACACATGGTGTGAGGCAAAGGTAGAAGTGGTGGCCTATTTTTTTTCCATATGGATACCAGTTGTACCAACAACTGTTGAAAAGATTATCCTTCAAGGGCATTGGGCCTTTTAAAAGTTCTTTACATGGTTCTAAAGAGCTGTGTTGGCTGGATGCAGTGGCTCATGCCTGTAATACCAGCACTTTGGGAGGCCGAGGCAGGTGGATCACTTGAGGTCAGGAGTTCAAGACCAGCCTGACCAACATGGCGAAACCCCATCTCTATTAAAAATACAAAAATTAGCTGGGTGTGGTGGTGTATGCCTGTAATCCCAGCTACTCAGGAGACTGAGGCAGGAGAATCGCTTGAACCCAGGAGGCAGAGGTTGCAGTGAGCCAAGATCGCGCCATTGCACTCCAGCCTGGGTGACAAGAGTGAAACTCCGTCTCAAAAAAATAAAAAAAAGAGTTGTGTTAATGCCGTTAGTTCTGAACTGTCACACCCTGAGGGGGTCCTCCGACAGCCCAGCCCCTTCTGCTGACACTACCCTTCCTCAAGTCCATCTTACCAAAATAGGTAACTTTGTAACTGGCAGGCCCTTTGAGATCATCTTGGCCACTACTACATTTTAGTTCTTGTTTTAATTAAAAGTATACATAGATATAGCTTAATAATTCAGTGCACTATAAAATTTCCTACATAAAACATCTCCCTCATATCCCTCTTTCCAAAAGCAGCTACTTTCCAAACTTGTATCTGCTCTAGTGCAGGCATCATTGAGAACCACTTCTCCACTTTCTTCTGCTCCATGCTCTAAACCTCTCCCTACAAACACACGCCATACACATTCTCCACACAGCACACATGGCAGCACACTCATGAGTTCTCCATACACCCATCCCTTCCTACACTTGCCACACACCTGTTTTCTCCACACTGCATACACACCCACGCCGCTAACAATACTGCATTTTCCAAGGGCCTTAGCAACAACAAAAGCAATTCTCTTAAAAACATCTGGAGAATATTCAACCTTGTTACTATGCAAAGGAGTGCAAATTCAAAACAATGAAGTAAGAGTTTAAACCTATGATATATGTATCAAAAGTCAAAAGAAACGAACATAGCCCCATACTGATGAAGGTCTGAGGAAAACAGTACCCTCATGTCTTGTGGCAATACAAGCTGATATAATCTTTTGGAAATATTCACCAATCTAGCAATATATACTAAAAGCTCCCAAGGTATTTATAACTTTGACTTCAAAATCCTATACTTGGAAATGAATTTTCAGGAAATTATCACAAAGAAAGTAACATACACAAAGAGTCTTCCCTGAGTGCTATTTAAAATAATAAATGAAAATAAACCAAAAGGTTGGCAATAGGAAGCATTATGGTACTTCCATTATGTGTTTTATTTTTCCCTTTTTAAAAAATTTAACTTTTAAATTTTAGATTCAGGGGGTACCTGTGCATGTTTGTTACATGGATGTATTGCATGATGCTGAGGTTTGGGGTATACTGTGCATAGTACCTAATAGGTAGTTTTTCAACCTTTGCCCCCATCTCCCTACCCTCTCTAGTAGCCCCTAGTGCCTATTGCTGCCATCTTTTATGTCGATAAGTACCCATTGTTTAGCTCCCACTCTCAAAAAAATAAAGTGAGAACAAGTGGTATTTGAGTGTTTGTCCTTGTATTAATTTGCTTAGAATAATGGCCTCCAACTGCATCCATGTTGCAGCAAAGGACATGATTTTTTCTTTTTAATGACTGTATAGTATTCCATGGTGTATATGTACCACATCTGCTTTATTCAATCCACTGCTGATGGGCACTAAGGTTGATGCCATGTCTTTGATATTAGGAATAGTACTGTGATGAACATATGAGTGCATGTGTCTTTTTGGTAGAGTGATATCTTTCCTTTTGGATATATACCTAGTAATAGGACTGCTGGGTTGAATGGTAGTTCTAAGTTCTTTGAAAAATCTCCAAACTGCTTTCCACAGTGGCTGAACTAATTTACATTCCCACTGACAGCATATAAGTGTTCTCTTTTCTCCACATCCTCACCAGCATCTGTTGTTTTTTGACTCTTTAATAACAGCCATTCTGACTGGTGTGAGATGGTATCTCGCTGTGGTTTTGATTTGCATTTCTCTGATGATCACGGATGTGGAGCATTTTTTCATATGTTTGTTAGCCTCTTTTATGTCTTCTTTTGAGAAGTGTCTGTTTATTGTTTTGCTCACTTTCTAATGGGGTTATTTGTTTTTTGCTTGTTGAATTTTTTAAGTTCCTTATAGATTCTGGATATTAGACCTTTACTGGATGCATAGTTTACAAATATTTTCTCCCACTCCATAGGTTTTCTGTTTACTCTGTTGATAGCTTCTTTTGCTGTGCAGAAGCTCTTTAGTTTAATTAGGTCCCATTTGTCAATTTTAGTTTTTGTTGCAATTGCTTTTGAGGACTTACTCATAAATTCTTTCTCAAGGCCAATGTACAGAATGGTGTTTTCTAGGTTCTCTTCTAGGCCTCTTATAGTTTGAGGTCTTACATTTAAATCTTTAATCCATTTTGAGTTAACTTTTGTATATGGTAAAAGGTAGGGGTCCAGTTTTATTCTTTTGCATATGGCTCGCCAGCTATCCCAACACCATTTATTGAACAGGAAGTCCTTTCCCCACTGCATATTTTTGTCGACTTAGTTGAAGATCAAATAGCTGTAGGTGTGCGGCTTTATTCTAAATTCTCTATTCTGTTCCATTGATCTACGTGCCTGCTTTTGTACTAGTATCATGCTGTTTTGGATACTGCAGCCTTATAGTATAGTTTGAAGTTGGATAATATGATGCCTCTGGCTTTGTTCTTTTTGCTTAGATTTGCTTTGGCCGTTTGGACTCTTTTCTGGCTCGAAATGAATTTAGAATAGTTTTTTCTAATTCTGTGAAAAATGATGCTGGTAGTTTGATATGAATAGCACTCAATCTGCAGATTGCTTTATGCAGTATGGCCATTTAAACAATATTGATTCTTCCAATCCATGAGCACGGAACGTTTTTCCATTTGTTTGTGTCACCTGTGATTTCTTTCAGCAGTGTTTAGTAGTTCTCCTTGTATATATCTTTCACCTCCTTGGCTAGATGTATTCCTAGGTATTTTTTTTTTGTGTGTGGCTACTGTAAATGGGATTGCGTTCTTGATTTGGTTCTCAGTTTGAACATTATTGGTTTACAGAAATGCTATTGATTTTTTTACATTTATTTTGTATCCTGAAACTTTGCTGAAATCATTTATCAGTTCTAGAAGTCTTTTGGCAGAATCTTTAGGGTTGTCTAGGTATAGAATCAAATCATCAGCGAAGAGAGATACTTTGACTTCTTCTTTTCCTATTTGGGTATCTTCTATTTCTTTCTCTTGCCTTGATTGCTCTGGCTAGGACTTCCTCCATTATGTGTTAAAATGTATTGACACATCCTTTTGATGTATTAAAAATGACAAATATGGGCCAGGCACAGCAGCTCACGCCTGTAATCCCAGCACTTTGGGAGGCCCAGGCAGGAGGATCACCTGCGGTCAGGAGTTTGAAACCAGCCTGGCCAACATGGTGAAACCCCATCTCTACTAAAAATACAAAAATTAGCTAGGCATGATGGCACATGCCTGTAATTCCAGCTATTCAGGAGGCTGAGGCAGGAGAATTGTTTGAACTCGGGAGGCGGAGGTTGCAGTGAGCCAAGATCACATCACTGCACTACAGCCTGGGGACAGAGCAAGACTCTGTCTAGAAGAAAAAAAAAAAAGACAAATATGAAGATTATATAGCATCCCTTAGATATCTATGATATAGTATGAAAAGAAAACAGACATAAAATTTGATCACTGATTAAAACCATCTAATCATGGTATGTGTAGATAATCGGGGATACTGAATACTGACATGAAATAGTAAAAATGGCTTATGTTTTAGAAACAGTTGTCTGTAGGCTGGGCATGGTGGCTCACGTCTGTATTCCCAGCACTTTGGGAGGCCAAGGTGGGCAGATCACCTGAGGTTAGGAGTTTGAGACCAGCCTGGCCAACAAGGTGAAACCCTGTCTCCACTAAAATTACAAAAATGAGCTGGGCGTGGTGGCGGGCACCTGCAATCCCAGCTACTTGGGAGGCTGAGGCAGGAGAATTGCTTGAACCCGGAAGGTGGAGGTTGCAGTGAGACAAGATCTGCCACTGTACTCCAGCCTGGGCGACAGAGCGAGACTTCGTCTAAAAAAAAAGAAGAAAAGAAAAGAAAAAAACAAAAAAAAAGAAAGAGTTGTCTGCATTGCTGCTTCCAATTCCTCCCCTGTTTTCTTTTAGACTCACTCTAGTCAGGCTTTTGCTCCCAGTCCTCGTCCAAAGCTGCCCTCCAAAGTCAGGTCACCCAGGTTGCTAAATCTATTGGTTTATCCTTGGTCCTCTTTGTATTTGCCCTGTCAGAAGCCTTCGACACTGTCGGCAATTCTCTGCTTGATATGTTTCCTTCACGTGGCTTCCAACACACTCGGTTTCCCTCCCTCCTTTCTGATCACTCTTTCTCAGAATCATTGCTGCTTTTCCTCTTCTTGCCACCCTCTGTTGTCTGGAGACCCATGACTTATTCCTTGGTCCTCTTCTCTGTTTCATTCCCAACCAACTTAGTGTCTTTACATACTAGCTATATGCCAGCAACTCTCAAATACTTATCTTCAGCCCAGACCTCTCTCCTAAACTCCAGGTTTATATATCAAACTGTCAAGCCACATGTCCTCTCAGATAGGTAATAGACATGTAAGTCTTGACATGTCCAAATGAACTCCTGCTCTTCCTTCCTAAGTCTACTCCCCCTGCAGTTTTCTCCACTTGGTTGATAGCAACTCCATCCTTCTAGTTGCTCAGCTCCAGAAGTTATTCTTTCCTTTTTCTTTCATACTTTACATGCAATCTATCGGGAAATCCTGCTGTCTCTACCTAGAGAATACCTCCAGCATCTGGCCAATCTTCACCCTGACCATTGCTACAGCCCAGGTCTAGGGCGCCTGGACTGTGGCATTTGTCGCTCACAAGTCTCCTTGCCTCCACCCTTGCCCTAATAAGGTGTATTCTCAGCATGGCAGTCAGACTGGTCCTTTTAAGACATAAGTCAGATCATGTTACTCATCTGTTTAAAACTCTCCAATGGCTCACTCCCATCTCACACAGCGGAAGAGCTAGGCCTCTGGGGCAGACCACTGCCTGACCTCTACTCTGCTGCACTCTGTCCTGATGTCCTTCTCCCCTCTCCTCACTCATTATGTTATATGCACACTTGCCTCTTTGCTATCCCTTGACCGCTAAATGTGATCACACCTTGGAGTTCTTCTTCTATCTATGCTTTCTATTTGAAATGCTCTCTCACCTCCTTCAAGTCTTAGCTCAAATCTCATTGTCTCAACAAGATCTTCTTCCCGGAAGACCACATCATATTTAATGGTACTCTTGGTCACCATTACCACGGCCCTTTCTTCGCCACCCCCAAATACACCTCAGCTCCCGACTTTGCTCCTTTTTTCTGTGTACTGAACATTCTCTAACATACTACATAATCTACTTATTTATTTTTTGTCTCTCCTGCCAAAATGAAATTTCTATAAGAGCAAGGATCTTTGCCATTTTGTACTCCCATGTATCGCAAGCTCCCAGAAGAGTTGGCCAATAAACATTTGCTAAATGAATGAATGCTCGATGGTGAATGTATGAGCGAATTGTTGTTTGATTATATTGTGCTATACCTCTCTCTCTTTTTTTTTTTTTTTTTTTGGTACAGAATCTCGCTCTGTTGCCCAGGCTGGAGTGCAGTGGCGGGATCTCGGCTCACTGCAAGCTCCGCTTCCAGGGTTCATGCCATTCTCCTGCCTCAGCCTCCTGAGCAGCTGGGATTACAGATGCCCGCCACCACGCCCAGCTAATTTTTTGTATTTTTAATAGAGATGGGGTTTCACTCTGTTAGCCAGAATGGTCTCGACCTCCTGACCTCGTGATCCGCCCACCTCGGCCTCCCAAAGTGCTGGGATTACAGGCGTGAGCCACTGCGCCCAGCACACCCCCACCTTTTTTTTTTTTTTTTTTTTTTTTTTTTTTTTTTTAAGAGACAAGGCCTTGCTATGTTGCCCAGACTAGCCTTGAACTCCTGGGTTCAAATGATCTTCCTGCCTCAGCCTCCCAAGTACCTGGGACTATAGACACATGCAAACATGCCCGATATTGTGTCTATAACTCTTAAGAGAATTTCAGTCCATGAACAATGCACACACAGAACTGGTCCAAGTGCATGGCTCTGAATGCCTGGGCCTTGGTGCTCATATTCCTACTATATTGCTATCAATGGCTCCATCTACTGAGGTGGTCCCCCACATCCAACCAGACCACCTCAAACCAAGAGGAAACCAGTAGCCTGACAGCTTGTGAAACTACCAGATAGAATTCTTCCTGCTATGGCCCCATTTAATCACCCCCATACACCCCATTTCTGCCTTCATTCCCTCAAGAATAAACTCTGCCACGGCCTGCTACTACTTTCTTCCATTTTTCCAACAGCTCCCAGAAGCACCTTGAAATCCCACTCCCACCATGAGATTTTAATGAGGGGGATGCACTCAGCAATTAGAAACAGGAAAAGACTGATTAGGTCTCCTGCACATCAGTGTTTAACCCAGCATCCCATGCAGCCCTCCAAGCATTAACCTCATTCCCCATACACACTCAATTAGGCATATTTACTTCTCATTATCCAGTACGCAATCATGAGTGCTAATAAAAACCTTTGCTACCCCCAACAATGCAATTAATGCCATTAGCTGTCTCTCAGAAGCTCTTCTACACTTTGGTGCCAACAACAGTCCACTCATTCACCCATTTATTCATGCATTCATGCACGTATGCCCTTTTCTATTTAGCACAGGTTAAGTTCACACCTACTATGTGCCTTACCAGGCAAAGGCCTGGGACTAGAGAGATGAATTAGACACAGTCTCTGCTCTAGGAGACCTGCAACAACAGGCAAATGATTATAATACAGGGTGATGAAGGGCACAAGACAGGTGTGGCCAGGGTGCTACTGAAACCCAGAAGAGGAAGTAGGTGGAGAAGTACAACTTCATTCTCCAGGGCCAGTTCCAATCCCAGCCCTGCCACATTTTAGCTGTGAGTCTTAAGTAGTCAATTGACTCTAAATCCCATTTATGACATGGGGATGATCATCTGAACATCCCACCAGGAATTGGGAGGATTAAAAGAGATAATGCCTATCAAGTCCTCAGCACAGGACACGGCACAGACTGTGTGCTCAGTAAACAGAGGCTATTAGGATTTGATGCCCTAGTCTCAGCCTTCAGACTTTGCCAGGCACATCCCATTTCATTCTATTTTCTTCTTGCCTGAGAGGATTAAGGGGATGCTACAGTTTAGAAGGCTGAGAGTGAGGCTGAAAAATCCCTTTCCTCTGTACACATGCACAAGTGGGACAGCAAATTTCAGAGAACAGTCTTGGCCAAGAGGGTGCTCAGTGGATGAGGCCCAAACACACATCAACTCTCCCCCGCTGGAGGATTGCTCCCTGGGTTCCTCCACCTGTCAGACAACCTGCTTCTTTCCTCAAGTCATTCCTCCATCACAGTCCCAGAGACAGAGGTACTAGGAATCTTTGTAACGGATTGGGATACTTGGATCACAGATATGAAGTGAGGGTGGGCTGACTGGTATGATGGGCCAGACACACACACACACACACACACACACACACACACACACACAAACACACTCTTTCTCTCTCTCTCTCTCTCTCGCCAATTCACTATGGACATATATGCATACATGCTGTGGGGGGCCTGCTAGGGCTCTGGCTGCTCTAAGATAGTCTGGCAATGACAATGACACATCTTTCTTTTAGGGGGAAGAAAAGGTATGCCCACAAATTTACATATGTAAATATATATGTGCATATATACACATACACACATACAAACACATGATTAGAAAATTTCTGGAATGATACACAAGAAACTGTTCACAGTGGCTGCCCCCATAAAATTGGGGAGATGGATTGTGAGAGGAGTTTTAGATTCTATTAAAAACCCTTCTAAACTGTTATTTTTACACAAGCATACATTATCTATCTATATCTACATCGACATTTCTATCTAAATCTATATAAAACAAAATACAATCTGGCTCCAAGAGTCTGCAAGTGGTTCTTCCAGACTTGGAGGGAGGATGGGCTTGGAGGTGGAGGGATGAAGAGGGCACAGGGAAGGGAGGACCGTCGGGAACTTACTGGTGTTGTGGTCTATGAAGTAATCTCCAACCTGTGGGTCATATGCCTCTTCCCATCCTAGCGGCAACTCATCACTAATGCAGTCAGCAAAGGTGAGCGGTTTGGTGTACCTGGCAAGGGAGAGGAGAAACAGACTCCATCAGCCTACAGTCCCCAAATGCCTGCAACCTGCTGCTTCCCTGTGCCTCCTGCTTTTCTGGGCTGGCTCAACAGATCCAAAAGTTTTACACCACAGCAGCACCAGCTCTGTTGTCCCCTTTGTTCCCGGGAAGGTGAACACATAGCTGCAGCAGCAGGATAAGATCACCCTGTGTGGGAGGCAGGGAATCTGTGTTCTGGTCCCAACTTTGCCACTCCTTCAGAAGTGACTGGAGCAAGTCAACTTCCTTCTTTGGGCCTCTGTTTCTGCAACTCTGATTGAGGGTTTGCAGGCAAAGGGTCTAAGGTCAAGTCTTGCTTCTTGAGTTGGACTCCAGCCCTCCTTGGCTTCTTCACCTGCAACGCACTCAGCCACCCCACCTCTAATCCTTATCCTGGCTCTGTCTCACGCCTGTCATGCTCACTTGCCCTTTGGAAGGCTGGCTTGCCGCAACATCAAGAATAGCAGATGTTCCATCCCTGTGAGTTTGGCCAATGAGCAGTATTTATTTTCCTCTTGAGCTGATTCCCAAATGCTTGCACCCACAATGGCGCTTCCTTAGACAATCCAGGCCAAACTGATCTTTTAGCAATAACCGCTCTCTATGTCCCCATCTTGTGGGGATCAAAGTGGTAGTAATCACCAAGTCTCAATGGCTAAATCAAATAAACAAATCACTCAACTAAACTAACAAAGGCTTGTCAGTGCTAGAAAACTATCACAAACAATTTGTCAAGTATTTAAACCAGAGTATGGGAAGCTGGGAATCTGGGTATATGAGATTCAGCCTGGGTGGCCCCTCCAGACAGTCACTTTGGTTTCTTCCCATCACTGCCTCTGCCTAAAATACATATTCTACAATCTCCTTCTCCTGTCTGCTTCCTACCCAATCCCAATTCTGGAAGCCCAGAAGGCTCTGCTTCAGATTCTTTCTATAGACTGGCAAAGTGAAGTACAACGGGACAGGACGGGAGATGACTGGGCTGGGGTCTAGGATTTCTCATCAAGGGCTTCCTTCCAAGGAAGAGACTTGCTAGATATGTCCCCTCCCAACAGCTCCCCTGCTGCTGCATATGGATCATCACCTTTTAAATTCCTTCTTGGGGATTAATTAAATGATTTTAATCAATGGTGCAACCAAGCTACAGAATCCTGTGTCCAGCACAATTGGCGCTCAATAAGTATTTGTGCAACGGGGCCCAGCGCAGTGATTCATGCCTATAATCCCAGCACTTTGGGAGGCTGAGGTGGGTGGATCACTTGAGGTCAGGAGTTTGAGACCAGCCTGCTCAATGTGGTGAAACTCTCTCTACTAAAAATGCAAAAATTAGCTGGGCATGGTGGCTGGTGCCTGTAATCCCAGCTACTCAGGAGGCTGAGGCAGGAGAATTGCTTGAACCTGGGAAGTGGAGGGTGCACTGAGCCGAGATCACACTACTGCACTCCAGCCTGGGTGACAATGTGAAACTCTGTCTCAAAAAAAAAAAAAAAAAAAAAAATTGCACAATGAGTGAATAATGTAATGAATACATAGGAAAAACCAAAAAAAGAGGCTTACACTCTCCTGCCCTCTAAAACTCACTCCAAATCCAACTTACAGAAAAATACATGAAGAAAGGGATGCTGAAAGAGCCCCAGCTGGATAGGACCTGGTGTGTTCACGTACCACTATATACCCAGGGTCTGGCAGGCTATGAAAAATACCTTTTGGTTGAATGAATACCCAAAAGCTTCTGATAGTAATTTACTGCTGCACTGTGGAAGGCTGCTGGTTCCATGAGGATGAGGCCAGAGGTATGTGATGTGCAATACACTATGTGCTAAATTAGCCGGGTATGGTGGTACACACCTGTAGTCCCAGCTACTTGGGAGGCTGAGGTGGAAGAACTGCTTGAGCCCAGGAGTTGGAGGCTGCAGTTAGCTGTGATGGCACCACTGCATTACAAGCTGGGCAACAGAGCCAGACCCTGACTCTAAAACACCACCACCACCACCAACAACAACAACAAAACAAATAAGGGTTCAGTAAGCATCACTTACTGGCTGTGTGAGTTAGGCAACTTACTTTCCTTCTCTGAGCTTCAGTATTCTTATCTGTATAATGAGGACAGTACTAACTCTCCATTTGTTGGGTGGGTTAAATAAGGCCATGTTTGTGAGTACTTTTAGCACAGGTGCTAGTGTGAATGGGCACTCAAAAATCATTAGTTATCCTTACCTCCATTTACCAGAAGGAGAAACTGAGGCTAAGAAAGACTAAATAACATTCTCAATGTCAAAGACAAAGCTGGGATTTCAAGCAAGATGGCTGGTCTCTAGGGCCCCTGCAGGGAGCTACCAGATTATCTTGAAAGCTGACACCTTCATTGCATCTCCTAAGCCCCACGGGAAAACACAAACTACCATTTTGGAGTAGAAGGAGGGAAAATGGGGTAGACACAGGTGATGGGGACTTCCCTCAGCTCAGGATGCACTTGGTTCAGGAGCATCTGCTCCAAACGACCTGGATGAAGTTTCCCCAAAGCCGTCTCCAGGCCACCCGCCACCACCCTCCATGCCCTGCCAGATGTCAGAAACAAAAGGCCACTTCTCTCAGTGTCTTGCTTAAAGTTTTTTAAGTGGTTTGTTCCCTCTTCCTTATGGAGAATGAAGACCAGCAACCAAGAGCAAAGCCTCATCTAACATCACCTCATCTAACAAAGCCTTGAAAGGGGCTCTGAAGGAAAGCTCCACACGCAGGTATGCCTTCCATGGGGAGTGACTCCATGGCTGATGACAGGTCAATCTGTGGGGAAACAGGCATGGTCAGGCCACCAGAGAGATCATTCTGGCTCATTCCTCCACCTGCACTGTGCCCAGAGAAGTCCCACCTACCAGAAGAGGTATGAATCTTATATAGACAGTTTGCAACCCAGAAAACCAAGAAGATACGTCCCCTTCCCAACAGCTCCCCTGTTTCTGCGTATAGATCATCACTTTTCAAAATTCCTCCTTGGAGATTAATTAAGTGATTTTAATCAGTGGTGCATCCAAGCTACAGAATCCTGTGTCTGGCATAATTGGTGCTCAATAAATATTTGTGCAATGGGTGAATAATGTAATGAATATGTAGGAACAACCAAAAAAGATGAAGTGTTCTGGCCAGGTGTGGTGGCTTACACCTGTAATCCCAGCTACTTGGGAGGCAGAGGCAGGAGAAGCACTTGAACCCGGGAGGTGGAGGTTGCGATGAGCCGAGATCGTGCCGTTGCACTCCAGCCTGGGTAACAAGAACAAAACTCCGTCTCAAAAAAAAAAAAAAAAAGATGAAGTGTTCTTTATTTTGCTAACATGAAAGATGCTCTCAATATACTCTGAGAAAAACAACACTGTTCAAAGATAAAAGCTACAGGATACTGTTACAGTATGACATTTTGCCTGAAGAGAGTGTGTGTGTGTGTGTTAGTAAAGAAACTGGAAAGACACAGATTGAAACGCTATCTGAATATAGGGATTTCAGTGTAATTTTATTTCTTCTCTTTCTTTTTTTTTATTAATTTATTTGTTGTGTTCATATATTAATCATAACTAAAATGTTGAATAAGGGCTAACTCTAGGCCTAGAAAGCAAGCTGTGTATGTGACATTCCCTTTCCAGGTAGCAGGTGCTCTTACTCTGTTTTGCAAATAAGAAAACATGCTCGGCATCACACAGTTAGTAAACACCACAGGTATAACCTGAAGTTCCACTGCCAGATTCCAAAACTCGAGCTCTGCTAATAAAAATTAACAAGACTGGGCCAGGCGCAGTGGCTCATGCCTGTAATCCCAGCACTTTGGGAGGCCGAGGCGGGCGGATCACGAGGTCAGGAGATCGAGACCACGGTGAAACCCCTTCTCTACTAAAAATACAAAAAATTAGCCGGGCGCAGTGGCGGGCGCCTGTAGTCCCAGCTACTCGGGAGGCTGAGGCAGGAGAATGGCGTGAACCCGGGAGGCGGAGCTTGCAGTGAGCCGAGATCCCGCCACTGCACTCCAGCCTGGGGGACAGAGCAAGACTCCGTCTCAAAATAAATAAGTAAATAAATAAAAAATAACAAGACGAAGGGTGAGTCTCAGAACAATCTGGAACACAGAGCAAGCTGTGCTAGAGATACAGAAGGTGAAATGAGACAAGAGGGACATCTGAAGCAGGCAAAAGGCATGGGGGCTTTAGCATATTTGGGACCTTCAGTTATCTATGTGTTGGTGCAAGGATATTCAATAGACCTGGGAAATCCATGGCTGCTTAATAAAGAGGCAATTAAGTGTTTCAAAGTCGGCTGGGTGCAGTGGCTCACACCTGTAATCTCAGCATTTGGGAGGCTGAGGCGGGTGGATCACCCGAGGTCAGGAGTTCAAGACCAGCCTGGCAAACATGGTGAAACTCCATCTCTATTAAAAATACAAAAATTAGCTGGGCATGGTGGCAGGCACTTGTAATCCCAGCTACTCGGGAGGCTGAGCCAGGAGAATCGCTTGAACCTGGGAGGCGGAGGCTGCAGTGAGCTGAGATCACACCACTGCACTCCAGAGCAAGATTCCATCTCAAAAAAAAAAAAAAAAAAAAAAAAAGTGTTTCAAAGTCATTAATACAAATGATTTACTGAGCTTGCTGGGTGTGAGGATGGAGATGGGGTTAGGAGGACGGGACTGAAACCCCGAAAATGTGTCACTATCTGGAAAACCATTAACTCCACTGATTGTTCCAGCCTTACACGTTGAGATGTCAGAGCCAAATACATTTATTCGCTCCAAGCATCAGTAATGTGACAGACATGTGGATACCCTACCAGGACACAATGCTGATTCCACTTGCAGTGAACACAGACACTGTGCCCAAGAGAAATAAAGCAGAGGGAGGCAAGAGGACCCAAAGCTAGAAGGAGAGGGCAAAGGAGAGAGAAACACTTTGGGTTTGATATTCTCATTCCCCTTTGATGCGATCACAGGGGAAATGCCAGAGGGCTGACTGACTGATATCCTGACTCCCAGAGCTCTTCCATGGGAAACAAGGAAGTGCCTATGGAAGGCTATGCAACTTACAAGAAATCTGGACAGCAAGATTCTCTCCGGAACAAATGCCAAGAGGGAGATGAATTATTCAGTGTGTAGAGATGTGTCATTCAGGATGAAGAGATGTGTTTTTGGCTGCACAAAGATTTAAACAGACACACTCACACATACATACATGCACACACTCACTCTTCCTGGCAGTTAAGGAGAGGAATTGTCCATTTAAACCAGCCACCCCCCGTCCCCCAGGAACTGTGGGTGCTCCACTGGCCTGAAATGTTTCACCTTGGGCAAGTGCTAAGGATGCAACCTGGGAAGAAATGTCCACTTTCAGATGTGGCCAGGACTTGGGGGCCTGCCTGGAACTCCCAGCCCCCACCCTCGGGTGAAGCAATTCACCACCATCCAGCCTGGTTCAGTCGGTCCCTGCTTCCAGCCTCCACAACTCGGGCTGCCGAAAACCCCAATTGTGAAATCAAATGACCCAGATGCTGGAGGGGCAAGAAGGGAGGGTGCCAGACAAGAACGAGTTCTGCCTCTTCTTAATTACAAATCTCTAAAGGAGCACAAACATTCCTGAATGTTTCTCAACAGGCCCTCCTGGAAAAACGGCCAGATGTGTCGCTGTGGAGACAGGTAGGTTCTGCCAGGAGCACCCTACAAACAGCACACAGGCACACCTGTCGGGGAGAGCCACCCCGGGGGCTGGAAGCCTCCCTTACCCTCCTCTCAGGGGCAACCACCAGTGGGTAACTGGTAGTTACTTTCCTACGGGCTGTGAGGACATGAGACCACGGTGGGCATTCGGCATTCTGACAATGTGCCTTTTCTAAGGAGGCAGCTCAGAGGAGGAGAGGAAAGCCTTCTGCCAAGTTTAATACTGGGTGGTGATTCTCTCGGGACTGAAGAATGCATACCCTATCTTTCATGTTCCTAGTGTTTCCCAAGCAAGTCCCAGCTTCCCACAGTAACCTCTTTATTACCGTCCAGCAGGATGCTGGCCTGCTCTCTCTGAGGGCTGGCTGGGCGGGATCACTTTCTAAAGGGCCCTCCAGACTCCAAGCCAAGAACTGTCCAAACTTTCAGCCGAACCTCTCCTCCCCAGCCCAGGCACAATGGCCAGGCTGGTTCTTCCCGCCCTGGGCTGTTTCACACGCATAGTTCCCATAGCTAAGGTTGCACAATTCCTGATAATGCTCCTTCACCTGGGGCTGCTGCAGAACACCATTTCTAAGCAGTCCCTTCACCTTTAGCTCCGGGGAGGCCAGAATGAACAGGAAGAAAGGCAACGTTTGAAGTCCTTCTTCCTTTAATTCAGTTTGGTTCAGACTCTTTTACTCATTGTCTAACAAATCTGGGCATGATAAAAATAACCATCTCTCAAGTTTGTTAGGAGAGCTGAGCACATGACACACAGCAGAGCCTTCGTTAACACCAGCTACAGAGGAAAGAGACAGATAGGGCCCTGCCCTTACAGTCTAGAGGGCGAGATGCACCCCAGCCAGAAGCAAATCAAGAGGGCCATTTCAGAGAGATCCATGCTATTCAGGTGAAGTGGAGGCGGAGGTCAGCTTTGGCGGCTCTGGGGCCTGGGTATGCACTTTGGATTATTCCTCTGACCACTGCCCTTGTGTTGAGCTGGAGGGTGACCCAGAGACACTCTCTGCCTCACCCTCCACTCTCATCCTTCCACCCTCATTTCAATCAATCCACCAAGCAACAAGCATTTATCAAGTGAGTATGGCACTCCAGGCCCATGCTAGGCACTACGAGGGCTCAGACGCTTGAAGAAGCCATGTTTCTGCTTCCAGGGGCAGAGGGTCTGGCCGGGGAACAAGACTCACACTCCAAACAGGCAGGGAGTCATCCCCACAACATTCCATGGGAGTGTATGTGGCTGTAACGCTACCCGCGGCCTGAGCCACAGGTAATTAGAGGATGCAGGGATATTTAATAAGGTGCTACGTCAGCAGTATAGACGCGAAAGGCCAACGGGCCATGGGCAGGGAGAGAATGCAGCAATGGGGTGTAGTCAGGGAGGGCTGGGGAGGGGAGGAGGAAAGAGCTGTGGTCAGCTCCATGGTTAAGGAGGAGGCAGGGTAGATGTTACCCACAAAGGCTCAGGAATGGGATGCGAGGCTGAAACCCAGGCTCCACCTCTTCCAGAACTGTAGGTGGGTTATGTAACCTGCTTGAGAGGAGTTTTCTTCTCTGTGAAACTTACACAGGAAGGCCCACTCTCATAAGGGTGTTGTGGGGATTAAATGAGATAACCTATACAGTATCTAGTGCCGGGACTGGCACAAGACAAGCCCTTGATAAATGTGGGTTGCAAACATAATCAGAGAGTTCTGCGCGTTGTGAAGAATCACATCACCCTTTATCTCAAATCCTTAACACGTGAGCTATCATCACCACCATCACCACACCCACCATTATCAGTCTTCACCCTAAGAGATACACGGTGGTGGTTAAAACTCACAAGTCTGGAGTCAGCCATCTGGGTCCCAATGCAGGCACTGTCACTCATTAGCTCTGTCCCCTTGGGCATGAACTCTAACCTGTGTGGCTTTGTTTCCTCATCCATAAGATGGGGGTGCTCAAAGTCACCGCTGCGTTAAAATGGGCTGTGCTGACCACATGGCATTCAGGGTTCAATCTACATTGGCTGTTAGGATGAGTTAGGTTTTATACCCCGATTTTCATGATGGGGAAACTGAAGCAAAATAATTGTCCTGGCTTGCACAGCTAATAAACCTTGCACTGTATTCTATCACCTCCCTTCCTGGAGGAGCTGGGACTGCTTAAACCATCTTTTTTTTTTTTTTTTTTTTTTTGAGACAGAGTCTGGCTCTGTCACCCAGGCTGGAGTACAGTGGCGTGATCTAAGCTCACTGCAATCTCTACCTCCCAGGGTTCAAGTGATTTTCCTGCCTCAGCCTCCTGAGTAGCTGGGACTACAGGTGCCCGCCACCATGCCGGGCTAATTTTTGTACTTTTAGTAGAGGCGGGATTTCCCCATGTTTGTCAGTCTGGTCTCAAACTCCTGACCTCAAGTGATCCTCCTGCCTCGGCCTCCCAAAATTCTGGGATTACAGGTGTGAGCCACCACACCTGGCTTCCTCTCTCTTTTTAGAAAGTTAAATGGGAGAAGGTAGGAGACAGTAGCTGAATTGGATTTGGTTCTCAAAATCTGCTCTCTGAAGGAGGAGGCATTTATACCTGGAATTCCCAAGTTCTTCTTCTCGTAAACACTTCCCTTCCTCTTGTTCTCTACCCTCCGAACACCTGTCTCAAAATTCTGGCTTTTCCACCCTTAGATCTCCTTGTTTCCCTACTCTGTTTGGGCTGGCTTACCCAGAAGTTTTCTTGGCCTAGTTATTCCCATCCTAAAATTCTTTTATAGAAAAAAGAAGAGGAGGGAGGGCTGGAGGGGAGATTCCAGACGGTTCCTCCACCCCAAACCCTCCCTACCTTCAGACTAGGCCCCCACAAACCAGTGGCTCACCTCCCCACTGCCAAATCTTGGATTCTGTCTTCCCTCTGCCCTGCTGGGTTGGTGAGATCACACACCTGTGCCCTTTGGGTCCATCCCCTTCCTTCACCTCCATCTTGAGTCTCTATGCTTATCTGTTCCCACTCACTGACATGGGGTGAATCCAGGCTGCTAATCCCCTCTGTGTGCTGCCTGTTGGGTTTAAGATTTCAGTTCTGAGAACCAAATCATGGATTAGAGTAGGTAAAGCCAACGGACAACCTGAGGGCCAAATTCAGCCTGAAGATATGTTTGTTGATCTACTACAGTGCTATATTTTAAAAACGGACTTAGCACACCTTTGGGGACAGGCACTGTCTGGATGCACTTTGTCCCCATTGCTTTCTAATGTGTCACTCCTGCCTCTTGGTTAAGAGCAGAGGGCTCTGGAGCCAGACTCACTGGCTTTGAATCCAGGCTCTGTCATTTTCTAGCTGTGTGACCTTGGACAAGATATGTAAACTCTATGTGGCTCAGTTGTCACATTTGCAAAACAGGAAAAATAAGAACACATATACTGAGCACTCACTATGCACCAGCAACTGTTCCAAGCAGTTAATGTATTTATATATTTACTCAGCTGGCCTTCACAACAGCCCTTTCAGGCAGGTACCATTCAGACCTGCCCCACAGTGCTCCTTGAAGCTTACATGAGATAATGCATGAAACAGCACATGAGTACACAGTGAGTGCTTGATAAATGTGAGTGATTCGTTTTTCATTTATTTATTTATTTATCTTTTGAGATGGAGTTTCACTCTTGTTGCCCAGGCTGGAGAGCATTGGCACGGTCTAGGCTCACTGCAACCTCTGCCTCCCGGGTTCAAGCGATTCTCCTGCCTCAGCCTCCCAAGTAGCTGGGACCACAGGCGCCTGCCACCATGCCCGGCTAATTTTTTCTATTTTTAGTAGAGATGGGGTTTCACCATGTTGGCCAGGCTGGTCTCAAACTCCTGACCTCATGTGATCCACCTACTTCAGCCTCCCAAAGTGCTGGGATTACAGGCGTGAGCCACCGCACCCAGTGATTTATTTTTCACACTGCTGCCCAAATGAGGCCCCCAACGTAGAGAATGTTAAAATTAAAAGAAACCCAACAAAACAACTCCCTTTCTTTACCAATGAGGAAACTGAGGGACAGAGATAAAAGACTTGCCTGGAGCCACCCAAGGACCCAGGGGACCTGGGGACCAACTCCAGCCCTGCATCACATAATGCCAGGAGATCAAATCAGCTTGGTGCTGGGCTTGGCTCCATTTGAAATTCAATAAGCATCTGAACAGCCTCCAAGAAATAGGTATTGATAGCATTTTCCCAGGCTAACTAACCCTATTATACCGAATGAGACTGATCATTGGGTAGGAACCAAGATGGAGAACTATGAAGCTCCCATTCATGGAGAGACGAGGTTGGGAGGTGGGCTCTTCATTTTTCTCATTACCTACTTGGAAGGTAATTTCCTAAAAGCCCCACACCACAGTAGAATGAAGACCCTGGAATATCTTTTTGCTCCTCACCCTGCTCAACCCCAGCTTCATCCTCATTCCTGAATTATGAGTTAGGCTATGGAAGCTCTGTGCCCTAAAGAAAAAGCCAACAGAACCAGAGAGGACTCCCAGTTCCATCCTTCCTAGCTGTGTAATCTCAGTCCATTCCTTCCCCCAGGTCTGAGCCTCAGTTTTCCTGCAGGTATAGAGCAGACAAGAAAACCTGCTTCCCAGGTTCTTGCATTCATTCATGCACGGACAAGACTCAACACAGCACCTGGCACACAACCCCAGGCAGGCCTGCAGCCCTACTCCTTTCTGTATTTAGGACTCTGGGGACACTCAACTCCCAGCCTTATTCCTTCCAGCCTCATGAGCTGGGTTCCCAAGGGCTCTTCCCAGGTGCTGGGCTGTCTAGAAGCCTCATCAGCAGTAACTGCAGAGGCAGCAGCTCACCCTGTCCTGGAATTTGGCCATTCCAGAATCTTCTGCTCCTTGAGCTCTGACCCTTACCACACAGCTTGAGGAGCTGGTCCTTCTAGAAATGGAATTGACCGTGAAGACTTTTCTGAGATCCTGTCTGACTTGGGGCCCCTCCCAAGACTGCATGGTTTAGACAGAGCACTGGAAGAAGAATGATGAGATCTGGGTTTGAAGCCTGACGATGCCCTTGGGCAAGGCACTCCTGTTGCTGGACCTTAACCCTTTCTCTTGGTCTTTCCCACCTGCAAAACAGAGGAAGCTAGAATTTAACACCCCTAAGGCACCCTCTGCAGCTTTAGTCTAATACCTGGCCAACCTGTCCCAAAGGTCAGGGCAGCTTCCACTTAAGGCCAGTGAAGCACTAGGCACAGGACCATATGCTCCATGTAAAATAGATCGCTTCCTTTATTCTAACAATATTTCTGTGAGGCAGGTACAATCACCCCAATTTCACCAACAGGAAACTGAGGCTTAATAGTAATAGCAATAATAATAATAAAAGCAAAATTTCATTGAGTATTTGCAAAATGCCAGGCACTATCCAATGTCCCTTACATAGACCCTATTTCACCAAAAGATGCACATTTTTAAACACATTCAGCATTTTCTGAAACTCTGATGTATGCTACTACTACTGACATCTTACAACTGATATCACCTAGGCTGCAGTCCTGATGGAGCTGTCACTGCCTGTGTGTGCACATATATCAAAGGCATCAGCACTGCCACTGGTGGAACGGGTGCTACAGGCTTGGGATAAAAATCCCACAGACAAGACATTGAGGAATTCAAAAATTCCTCAATAAAGTTGTAAGCACTTTTAACCCCTAGGAACCAAATGGTTGTGGAAAGGTGTGGAGAAGGTATGCAACAGACCTGTTTAGCAACATTCCCAAAGCAGGACTCTTAAGCTGGCTACCTCTACAGAATTGCCAAGCTTTGAGTCCCTTTTTGTGGGTCTTTATAACAAGGCTGTATGACTAACACTCTTAAGGGCACAAAGGACAATATTAAAAGCACAGACATTAATAACTCAGCTAAAAAGCTACTCCGAAGAACTGGATTCTGAATGGGAAGACACTGTAGGAATACCAGAGTTTTATTTTTCTCATATATTCCTTTGTGGGTTTTTTACACATACAAGTGATATGTGAGTTAAAAAAGAAAAAACAAAAAAAACTAACCTTGAAAAATGTATTTCAACAAATATAAAATAAGCATTCTAATTACATAAAAACATTGGGACATAGTTTAATTGGCACAATTTCCCTTTCTTATGGCACATACAATAATGGTGCTTCTTAAAATCAATATTATCTTTATTTATAAAAACCCCAAGCTAGAAACAATCCATATGTCCATCAATAGGTAAATGGATAGACAACTGTGGTACAGCCAAACAACAGAATACTACTCAGCAATAAAAAGGAATAAACTATTAAAATATGCAGTAATGAAGATTAATTTCAGACACATATTAGGTAAAAAACTCTATAGTGTATAGGCCAGACGTGGTGGCTCACGCCTCTAATCCCAGCACTTGGGGACGTTGAGGTGGGTGGATCACCTGAGCTCAGGAGTGCAACACTAGCCCGGGCAACATGGTGGAACCCTGTCTCTCCAATACAAAAAAATTAGCCAGACATGGTGGCGCGTACCTGTAGTCCCAGCTACTTGGGAGGTGGAGGTGAGAGGATCCTTGGAGCTGAGGAAGTAGAGGTTGCAGTGAACCCAGATCGTGCCACTGCACTCCAGCCTGGGTGACAGAGTGAGAGTCTGTCTCGAACACACACACACACACACACACACACACACACACACACCCCACCACCACCAACAACAACAAAAACCATATATTGTGTGATTCCATTTATATGAAATTCTAGAAAAAACAAATTAACTACAGGGGCAGAAAGCAGGTCAGTGGTTGCCTGGGGAGGAGGGTTAGAGGGAGAGGATTACAGAGGGGCACAAGAAAAGTTTTGGAGATAAGGTTTGTTATACTGATTATGATGAGGAGTTCCTACATGTGTACGTATACATGTATGTATGTGTACATATATATATATATATGCGTGTCAAAGCTCATAAAATTGTTTAAACACATACCATTTAGTAGACTTCAAAAATTCCTCAATAAAGTTGTAAGAAAAAAGAAAATCGTCAATTCAATGCAACATATTAGCTTATTTAAAACAATCTTATACACAGTATTATTAGCTCCATTTTATAGATGTAGAAACTGAGGCACAGAGAGGTTAACTGGTTCATCCAAGGACACTCAGCTAGTTGAGAGGCAAATCCAACTGGTATCAATCCTCAGCTATACTACTGAGTGGCTGTGGGCACCTTCCCAGCCCCTGGGCTGCTGTTTTCCCATCCCTACCATGAGATGACAAAGTGATGGCTACAGGACCTTTCAGCACTGAGTTTCCATGACTGTGTCCCAAGGATGTGTTTGGGGTCACGCAGCCAGAGGAGTGGATCCTTCTGGACACTCAGGTTCCCTGACACTCACCGAGCTCTCCTTGCCCATCCTCATTCATTCTCTGAACACACCTCCTGACATCTCCTTATTGTATACAATAAGTCATCCCTCCAGGACCACTGTATGAAGCCTTTTCTAAACTAAGCTGTGCATTGCCTACCAAAGGTGTCCTATCAGGGCCCCAGGGAGACATGACACTGTTTCCCCAGGTCACCCACCCAGATAGACAGGGCCTTCCTGAGACCTGTTCCGGATGCTGCAGCTGACATGTCTGGAAAACCACAAGCCAGCATGGCCCACCACATGCAAGGGTCCCAAGTCTGTGGATTCCCAAGTGTTTGCACACTCAGATTCCCAAGTGAACACATCACAGTGAGCAGGCTGCTCTAGCCAGAAGCTCGCCTTGTCTGCAACTCGACTGCTATTTCTTTGGTTTTTAGGACCACAGAGGCCTACAGTAACTGATTACAAAGGAGCTCTGCACAACAGTGGAAAAGAAACAGTTTTCGCCTCTGAAAAGTATGACTTGCTTTATGGGTTTTTCTCCCATCATTTCTTTTTAAAGAAGAAAATAAATAGAATGTTATTCCCTGAAGGGAAGCCCTACCTGCAAGTCAACATGAAACACCGAAGTGTTCTGAGCTGAAGGCGGCTGGAATAAAGTCAGCAGTGAAACAAATAAGCAATTAAAACAGCTATTTTGGGAAGCCCTAGAAAGAGGCAGATACAATATGAATTATTCATTCATACTGCGAGGATGACTTCTGGGCATTGTCCTCTTTGCCTTTGCTCTTCTCTTGTTCATTCAGCCTCTCAAGCACAGAAAGGGAACACAATACCCTGGCATGCACGCACGTGCATGCGTGCGCGCGCGCACACACACACACACACACACACACACACACACACACACACACACAGAAGGCAGGTTGCCACTCCAGATGGTGAACCACACGGAAAAGAAACCCACAGGTTGGCAGACGCTTTGAGCTCCAGTGCTGGGGAGAATGTATGAATTTCCAGTTGGCCCAAAAAGTGTGTGTGTGTGTGTGTGTGTGTGTGTGTAAGAGAGAAAGAGGAAGAAAAAGACAGTATCTTAATATCTTATTAACAGTTGTAACCTCAGCATCTTATGAGTGGGCACCAAATGAATGTTCACTGAATGAATAAATGAACTCACAAAAGAACAAAGAAAGAAAGATCTCATTGGAATTCCCAGCAGGGTTCACAGCTAGGCCCTCTACTTTCCAAATTTTGCTTGTCCCAACAAAGAGAAACTTGTGATTGAAGAAACATTTAAGGTCCTCAAGGTGCTTTTGGATTCTTGACCTTATTTGATACTCAAATAACCGTCACAACAGTGGCATCATGACCATCATGATTATTTCCCTGTTTTACAGATGACACTCAGAGACTTCCCACAACTGACAGGGCTCCCAGGGCCCTAGGTAGGGCCAGGATTATTGGATATGAGCCACCTGAGCCTTGGCCCACTGCTCCATCTCCTCCACCAGGAACCGTCTCCATGGGCTTCCCTTATTCCCAGCTGGTAACTGGAGAAGCGCGACAAGAGCCAATTCCCTTCCCCTGGGAATGCATAACCCACTGGGTAGCAAACAAGGCCTCTGTCTCCTACTCCTGTTTCATTTTAATTAGTATAATCATCATCATGAAGAAGCCAGCTCTCTCTGGCATGTGCATTCTGCAGCCCTTGGATAGCTCTACTCGAAAGTCCTGGGGGAAGAAGGTGACACTAAGGTAGAAAGGATCCTTGTGGATTGTCTACAGGTTTCAGTGATTTGAGAGACAAGGTTGACTCCATTATCACATTCGATTCCCAGATCAGAGCAGGGTGTGGGCCGGGGAATTCTCCCAGCTCAGCTGACTTGGAAGACTCTTGCCTGACACCGATGTATGACACCTTTTTTCCTATGGACACCAACACATAAGAGCCTGGAGGCCAGGGGAGCGGGCAAAGCCTTTGGAACCCCAGGGACCCAGGTTCACAGCCGTGAGAGCTTGGGCCAGACACCTTGCCTCCATGGGCCTCCGGCCGCATCGGCATGTTCCCTGGAACTGAACAGGACTCAAGAAGTGTGCATTCCTTTGCTTCCTGCTACTTTCTCTCCAGAATGAAGCCTTACAATAAACACGCTCTTCAGCGACGTAATGAATCTAGTCGGCAGAAATCATGCGGCAGGATTCTGCCATGAATTGGGTAGAGCACCAGACAATGAACCAAGATCCTTCCCTTGCTGTTCACTCTCCATGTCCTACCTAGATGGGAGAACCGATCCCCATGCTCTGTGTGTTCACAGGCCATGGACTGAACCTTCACCTGGGGCTTTCCAGAAGCCCCTAAATCACAATAGCTTGTTCTCATCACAGCCCCCCCAAGAGAATCACTGACATCTCTCTCCGTCTCTCTGGCTCCCCGTCTCTCTTTCTCTCTCTTGTTCCTTCCCTCTCTGCCTCTCTCCTTCTCTCCCCACTTTGCAGCACCCTTTCCTCACTTCTCCAGCTGTTTATTTTCTCAGTTTTTCTACCTACACTCCTTCCTGTTCACTCCCTTACCCACCCCCATAATAAAAACAACAACACATTAATCCAGTCTTGTCACTCGGTTGCTCCAACCCCTTCAAAGTCTTACCACCAAAACAGGATGGAATAGAACTCCTTGCCCCTGACCTGCTCCTCCAGCTTCACCTTTCTCAATACTCAGAATGCAGTAACCTCATTCCCACCTCAGAGCCTTTTGCTCCCGCAGGTCTCGCTGCCTGGGACAGTTACCTGTCCCTGTCTACACACCTGTCCACTTTTTGCATGGCTGGCTCTCAGTTGAAATGCTGTTTTTTTTTTTTTTTTTTTTTTTTTGAGACGGAGTCTCACTCTTGTCACCCAGGCTGGAGTGTAGTGGCGCGATCTCAGCTCACTGCAACCTTTACCTCCCGGGTTCAAGAGATTCTCCTGCCTCAGCCTTCTGAGTAGCTGGGATTCCAGGCCCCCACCACCATGCCCGGCTAATTTTTGTAGTTTTAGTGGAGACGAGGTTTCAACATGTTGGCTCTGCTGGTCTCAAACTCCTGACCTCAGGTGATCCGCCCACCTCAGCCTCCCAAAGTGCTGGGATTACAGGCGTGAGCCACCACGCCCAGCCTGAAATGCTGTTTTTTAGAGGCCTTCCTGGGCAGGCCTGACTGAGTGCCACCCTCCCCCAATTACTTTCTGTCACTGTATTTGTGTGTTGATATGTTGACTGTCTGTCTCTCCCATTCCAACAGAGTCACACCTGCAGAGTTCACCATTGTCTTCCTATGACCAAACACAGGCCCTGGCAGAGTTGAGGCTCCCTAATATCTGCTGAATGAACATAGCAGAAGGCTTGTGGCCATCTCCTCCTCTCTAAGAGGAAAACTTTGGGGGCGTTTTTGGTCTTGCTTTTTACCTCCTGAAGCAAAGTCCCTGAGCCTATTGCTTACAAAGCCAGCCTAACAAAGACTTCCAGGGATACAGAGCATATAGCCCTACTCCAGGGCCTGCTGCAGGCCACAAAACTGTTCACTCTGGAAGCTCAATGCTCTCTACACACCCCACAGCAAACTGGAAATGACCAAAGAACGGGCCCTGAGAACCCTCCCTGGGAAGACTGAAATGATGGAACTAAGGCAGGTCCACAAAGGAGAAACTTACCAGTGGAATGGAATACACAGATGTCTAGACTGGCAAGTCAGACCCGGGAATTGGGTCCATGACAAACATTCAAAGGTCTTATAAACTGCAGGCATCATGACTTTTGTACCTAGGACAGCACTAGTGCTAGGCATATCCCAGGTTCCCCAAAAAGATAGAATGGAGGAGTAAATTAGCTAAAATATATTTTAAAAAGTATCCAAATAGTTTAAATTTTGCTTTTCCTTAATGAAAATACAGCCAATGAGAAAAGATTCAACAATGAGCCCCTGATTTAATTCTATTCCAGTGCATCAATATTAAAAAACAAAAAATGAAAAAGCACTCAGGCCGGGTGCGGTGGCTCACGCCTGTAATCCCAGCACTTTGGGAGGCCGAGGGGGGCGGATCACCTGAGGTCAGGAGTTTGAGACCAGCCTGACCAACATGGTGAATCCCTATCTCTACTAAAAATACAAAAAACAGCTGGGAGTGGTGGCAGGCACCTATAATCCCAAGTACTCGGGTAGCTGAGGCAGGAGAATCGCTTGAATCCAGGAGGCAGAGATTGCAGTGAGACGAGATCACACCACTGCACTCCAGCCTGGGTGACAGAGCAAGATTCCATCTCAAAAAAAAAAAGAAAGAAAAAAAGAAAAAGCACTCATTTTTGGAAGAGCCTAAGCTTATTTCCAAATATCTTTTCAGAGCTATTGTATGTCCAGCACCAAGTATGAACTTAAACCCAGCTGGAAGTAAACACACAAACTATTCATTCATCCATGATCATGTATATGGAGGAATGAAGACATCGTTCCAAATGAAACTTTCACAACAGGCGACACAGGATTCCCAGAAAGGTGAAATCCGTGCATGCTGGACTACTCCCAGGAGGTTCTGTAGAGGAAGCAGGAAGTAGCTTGGGCCCTGACTTGGCAGTGATCGGGCCAAATAAATAAGACCTTGCATTTAACCTTCCCAACCACACACTACACAGTGGAGGACACTAAGGCTTCAAGAAGCGCTTGATTGGCCTGACGGCACACAGCGAGTGATGGAGGAACAGCCCTCTAGATCATGGTCCAGGTGCAAAGGCTCCCTGGGCGTCAGGTGAAGGAAGGACAGCAACTCTAACTCTTTGGGGTTGAGATGAGAAGGACAGAGGCTGGCATGCCATTGAGGGGCAGCAGGAGGCCTGAGAGAGGTGGAGGGTTGGCAAGACGACGGCAGGCTGATGCCAGGAGTGGCTGATGCCAGGGGCAGGGCTGTCGCGTGTTTGCACACTAGTAGCATCTTGTCTCTTTACTTAAGAACTTCACATGCAAAGGGCAAGGACTGCCTCAGGGTCTGGAAGGACAGCATGAGACTGGAAGAAAAGTCTGGAAGGAAGAGCCAGGCCAGGTCACAGGGTACCTCCAGGAAAGCCTAGGGAGTAGGGGGAAGGTCAGTCATGGCCTTCTCTTAGGGAATGTGGGGTGGGAGGTGAGTAACCTGCTGAGGGGAGTGTGGGGACCTTCCCAGGCCCCCTGGAAGGACCCAAAATACACAAAAAGGGGTTCAGAGTGGGAGGGAGGCTATCTGTGGGGTAGAAGGAACGTGGGCTTTGGAGTATGCAGGTCCGGGTTCGAATTGGAGTTCAGCCAATGAAGTAACTTCACCTCATTAGTAACAATGATAGCAACAATCATAGTTTTCATTTACAGGGTATTACTATGCAATAGGCATTGACCTAAGAGTTACCCATATTAACTCCATTTAATCCCCACAGCAATCTTGTGAGATGGTACTATTTTGTATAATTGAAAATTATTATCCAGGCCGGGTGCAGTGGCTCATGCCTGTAATCCCAGCAATTTGAGAGGCCGAGGTGGGTGGATTGCTTGAGGTCAGGAGTTTAAGACCAGCCTGACCAACATGGTGAAACCCCATCTCTACTAAACATACAAAAATTAGCTGGGCAAGGTCGTGGGCATCTGTAATCCCAACTACTTTGGAGGCTAAGGCAGGAGAATTGCTTGAACCTGGGAGGCAGAGGTTGCAGCGAGCCGAGATCATGCTACTGCACTCCAGCCTGGGTGACAGAGTAAGACTCCATCTCAAAAAAAAAAAAAAATTATATATATATAATCCTCATTTCAGATGAAAACTAAGGCATGGAGAGGTCAAGTCGCATGCCTTAGGTCCTGCAGCTGGAAGGTGGCAGAGCTGGGATTTGAATCCAGGCAAATAGGTTCAGGGTTCTAAGCTCCTAATCACCATGCACCATGCAATTAATAAAACAGGAACAACAATATCAATACTTTGTGGAGTATCAGGAAAAAGTGCAGAGCTCAATGAATGATATTTGAATAATTACTGGATAAACCTGAAGCACAGCAGAAGCCACCCAGGCAAAGGAAATATTTGCCAAAGACATACTAAGTGGTTCTCACTTTGTAAACATTATTTGACCACCTGATACGGACATCCCATTTTTCAGATGATGACACTAAGGCTCAGAAAGCTTGAGAAGCCAAGAGGGCCTCAATAAGCACATGTGGACAGTATTCAAGACTCGTGCGTGTTAATGTTAATTGAGCTCTTGCCATGGGCCAGGCCTTGTCTCATTGGATGCTCCTGACCGCCCTTTGAGGTAGGTGCTCAGTGACCTCTAAGGAACGGGACAGCAGGTCCTACAGCTAGCAAAGGGCAGCTCTGAGATCGGAATCTGCTGCTTCTACCACATCAGCTGCCACGGGAGGGTTACTGCACAGAGAACGTGGGGCAAACAAGTGTGTCTTGGGTGGAGAGGGTGCAGAGAAGCAGCCAGTCCCTAGGCAGACACCCGTCTCAGTTCTGAGTGGAGTCTACTCAACACCACCATTAGGATCCAAGGATAAACAAGACACCCAGAGTGGGCAGGCGGCACGTGGTGCAGAAACAGCCTGGCTGCGACAGGACTGGTTGCTGTTCTCCACCCACCTCCAACCTCCCTGGTCTTTCTCGTTTCCTCTTTGCCTGGGCTGCCCAATCCCTTTCTCTGGAAGTCAAATTCTCCGCAGGCATCCAGGCCTGCTGCAAACACTGTCTCCCACCTGCAGCCTTTGCCAGGCCCCAGGAGAGCAACCTCTTCTCATCTCCCACAGCCCTTCACCTGCACCCCTCCTTCCATCATATCCTAACTCATGGCACTTTCATTTGTATCCTGCTCTTCTCTCGCCTCCTAGAGTGGAAGTCGCTTCGAGACAAGGTCCGAGTTGGATTCATTTCTGGATTCCATGAGTATTATACATTTCCCATGTGTATATGATGCCTTTTGGTGGCACACAGGATGACTTTATGAGGTGCACTTGCAAGGCAGGAAAAAACATTGGATCTCTCAGGGAAAATGCTATTCCCTTTTCAATTACCCTTCAGCTTTTCAGATTCAATCAAGAGTAGAGTCTACAGTCTGGAGCTACTGTGTCTTTAACTACTCCAACCTCTGCCAGGCTCCTTTGTTAACTAAGAGAGATTGGACCCTAGGCTCATTGCCTTCCCATGGGCTATCTAGCTGGGATTTTTTTTTTTTTTTTTGAGACAAGGTCTCACTGTTGCCCAGGCTCCAGTGCCGTGGCGTGATCTCGGCTCACTGCAACCTCCATCTCCCAGGTTCAAGTAATTCTCCTACCTCAGCCTCCCAAGTAGCTGAGATTACAGGCATGCACCACCACGCCCGGCTAATTTTTTGTGTTTTTAGTAGAGACAGGGTTTCACCATGTTGGCCAGGATGGTCTTGAACTCCTGACCTCAAATGATCCGCCCGCCTCGGCCTCCCAAAGTGCTGGGATTACAGGCGTGAGCCACCGCGCCCAGCCTCTAGCTGGGAATTGGTAACATCATTTTACTTCTATTGGCAAAAATTGGGAAGAGGGTGCACCAGTGACTGAAGTTTTGGAAACCCTCATTTAGCTCATTGTTTGCAATGTCTTAGATGCTCAATAAACATTTATTAAGCACATAGTTGAGCAGAAGAATGAATGAATGAATGAGTGAATGATCATGATAACAATAGGCTTTCTTCCACGTCCTTTTCCTCCTGTCCTGCCCTTGGCCAGATGCCCTTTATGTTGGGGTGGAGAAAAACAGAACAATGTTTAAGAGTAGGGAGCCAAGGGAGAGCCAGTCCAGAAGAGGCATGCTCAACTTCAGTCCAAGCACCCTCGTGACCCACGCCAAATAGCCTCCTGGACTGTGACCTGGGGACCAGCAGAGGAAGGGATGGAGAACAGTTGTTGGATTTCTGCCACCAAGCACCCATTTCTGCCTCTTTTGGTGACAGCATTGCAAATTTCCTGAGGAACCCACCTCTCTAAAGATTCTCCATCCACGTGCTTTGGTGAGCAGTTGATTTTAAATCATTCCTGCACAACCCACTATGGACTAGTAAAAGTCAACCTCAGGACTTCCATCTGAGCCATGAATAAGAGAGACCTCTTTTTGCATTTTTCTTCAATCCTAGAAGATCATCATGTGCAAACTGAGAACGAAGCCGATACAGCAGCAGGCAGAGTCAGGAGGAGAGAAACTAAGACCTGATGATACAACTGGAGCCCTGCATTGAACAGTGACCTCTGGACTTTCCCAGTATGTGAACCAATCCATTCCTCTAGTATTTAATGTCCAATTTAGCTGAGAGCTTTTCCATAAGATCTCAGAGGAATGACCTGGAGCTGGGAGGTGAAGCAGGTGTTTTTAGCAGCAAAGGTGAGCTGTCCGCATTTGGAGGGCCCAGAAAGATGGCACCCATGCAGATAACCATCCTTCTTGCTAGGTGAAAGGTGGAGTGTTATTTTGAGGAAACAAACGGTTACTTAAGAGGCCGCTGTTGGTCACAGAACTGGGGTTGGTGGAGCTGCTGCTCCAGACCAATTCTTCCAAAAACAGGAAGGGCTGTGAGCCTCCCGCCCAGTGGCCCACGGCAGCCAACCCCACTCCCAGCCCCACTCTACCTTCTATCTGCAAACAGAAGCAAAGGGAAGGAGAGCCAGTCAAATGACGGAGAAAGAAGGAAGCACTCCTGAGGACCTACTGTGTGCTGAACAGCAGACCACAATGTAGGTACCAGCTTGACGTGGCCACTTACCGACTGTGTGCCCTTGAGCAAGTCCTTGTTACAGATGCTCAGTAAATATGAGAAGGTGACAGAGCCAGCCTGCAGGGCTGTGCTGAAGGAGAGGGTGAGGCTGCTTGGCCAGGATGAGGCCCTGGAGAGTGGGATGGAAGGAAGAAATCTTTTACAGGGAAGAAAAGAAGGGATTTCCTGAGCCCAAAGCTGGAAAGCATTAAAAAACAAACAAAACCTTTCTATAGTTATAAGGTGGGGGGTGTCATATACAAAAGATTTCAGAAGGCTTGCTGAGAAACAGGCGTGTCAGAGGGGTGGGAAGAGAACTGGGTGGGGGTGTCAGAAACCCACGTGCCCAAGAGGCCTACACCTGCATGGCTGAATGACCTTACAGGTCTCTGGGACACAATCATGGGAATTCGGTAATGAAAGGACTTTTAGAAATCACTGTGTCTGGTCATCTCATTGTGGAGATGGGGAAATTGACGCACAGGGAACAGAAGGGACTCGGCCATGACCATTCAACAACTCGCTCTGTCACCTGCCAGCTCTTGAATCTCGGGCGTATTAACCTTGCTGTGCCTCAGTTTCCTCCTATGTAAAATGGGGATAACAATCATCCCCACCTCACAGAGCTGTGGGGAGGTTTATAGGATGACGTGTGTACAGCAGTAGGCATTATGTCTAGCATATTGAAAGCAGCTGACATGTGTTAGCTTTGGAATTTTCAGACCACTCAGGAACTTTTCCATCAGAAGGGAAACCCCTTTCTTCTCACACCCTCAAGCAAAGATCCCAGGCTGCAGTGTGGGGGCTGGATACCCCTGGCCCCACCCCAATCAAATTCCTTCTGGGCTACCTTCAGGATGGCTCTGCTAGGGCCCTTTCCTAGGCTGATAATTTCTTTCTTTGTATTTCTCCAGCAGACCCTGCCTGGACAACTACTCCTTGATCTTTTCCGGATGGCACCTTTGTATTTCCTCCTTGGAGAAGTCCTTGTTTGTGATGGCCGCACCCCCAGCTGGCAAATGTGTGTGGCTCTCCTCTGGCCCACCTGAGGTCAAGGTGGGATAAAGGGAGGCCTGTGCTCACAGCCAAGCTTCCACCCCACCCCGGAACTTCTTGAGAGGTATGCTTCAGGGAGAGGGACAATGATGTGTGGCCCTTCCCTCTGCCAGCAGCTCTTCCCATCCGGCTGTGGATTAAAGGAGCCTGGGTCACTGCCCAGGCAGAATAAAGCCTGCAAACATCCTGAGGATGTGCCCCTCCTTGGCAGGAAAACAGTAGAGAGGGTGAGGGTGAGGGCTTGGGTCTCCCTGAGCTTCACCCTACCTGAGCCTGTGCACACACCCGTGCACACACATCACAGTCACGTCCCCTGAGCTCAGGAACCAGCTCTGCCACTTGCCAGCTGTGTGGCCGGTGCACATCACTTCTCTTGGCCACCTTCAGGAAACGGTGCACATCACATCCCCCAACCTGTCAAATGGGGCTGCCAGTAACACCCATCTCGGGAATAAAGGAGCTCAGGTATGCCAGGTGTTTGCACAGTGCTTGCATACAACAGGTGCTCAATACTCTGTTATCATAGCAGAAATCTCTAATAGTCACACTGCCATCTCCTGAGCATGACTCCTCTGACCCTTCCAACAGGGCAGATCCCAGCTTGATAAGCCCACAGCCCATCTGCTTCTCCTTCCCAGCTCTTCACAATGACTTACATTCTTTCTCTGGAGATAGTGACCTCTGCAAGGGCAGCGATCAGGACTGTTTAGAGCACTGCAGTATACCCAGGGGACAGAATCATTCTTGATACATAATCATAAATATATAGGGATTTTTTTTTTGGACTGACCTTGCTCGACAATGACTCTGTAAAAGAAAAGAGGCCTCCAATTTCACTCGGGCTAATAAATGAAATAGATCATCACATAGATTGCTCTTCACCTTCTTCAGGGCCATCCCTTACACCAAGAGGGAGGGTACAAGAGGGAACCCAAGCGCTGTGCCCAGTTGAGGCCACGAGCTGACAGAATGACAGAAACAGGGTTTCAGTTCTGCTTTAGCAGGGGACCCACAAACACTTCTTAACAGGGTGAGCATGGACTTCACACGACCTTTTCTTCAATATCAGCATCTCAACGAAAGGTCCAAAGAAATCCTAGAGAAGCAGTCAGGATTAGGGCACAGAATTTCAAATTCCCTCTCCAGGCAAGGCCAGGGTGATCAACTGAAGGTGGATCGGAAGTAGGGAAGAGACCCTTGCGAGCCTGGTGAGCTGAATAAGCAGTATCCCTGGAACTGCCTCCTTCTTGAGGTCTGCCCTGGAGGGCACATGACTGACAGCGGTTAACTCGAGAACTCAGGGCATCCCAGGCCCCAGGACACAGCACCCATCTACAGTCAGGGCAACTGAACTGGAGAGATGCTGGCTTTAGCCTCTGAGGAGGACCCTTGTCACTCAGTCGGCTGGGGACATTGCCAACGTCTGGGGGTGACATCCAAGGACCCTATTAGGAAAGTGGAGAGCAGCCCAGAGTGTGAGCCCAGTGTCACAGACTCAGAATGATCCAGGAACCATCCAGGGAAACAATGCCTGCAGAAAACAGCAGCTGCAGGTGTATTTCCTCCCCTGCTCAGCTCTTCCTGCCCTGCATGAGCAAGACCCTAAGACCCTCAAGAGACCCTCAGAAAATCTGTCCAGTGCCCCAACATCAGAATGAAGGCATCTGGGAAACAGGTCGAAACACAGTGCCTGACACCAACCAAACGGCTCCTCCTCTAATTGTTTTACATGGAACCAAACATCCATTGTCACATTAAAAAATAAGACATGTCTGTCAATCATTTCTAAGCCACCACCAACTTACAGAACAATCTCACTCACAGCATACCAAGCATGGGCCCTGGGAGGTCCCGGCTTTTACTTTTTAACTAATTCTAACTAGTCATACAGGTTTCTCAACAATGGCTCACCTGAATTCCTCTGCTCCTAGTCAAACAGGAGGTATTCAAATGAGTCTTGTATTCTGCATGCATTTATTTTCTCAACAAGCATTTCAGGCACGCCTACTAAGGGCATCGGTGTGTCAGGCACTGTGTTTCTACCTGTTCCCCAGATGCCTTCATTCTGATGTTGGGGCACTGGACAGATTTTCTGAGGGTCTCTTGAGGGTCTTAGGGTCTTGCTCATGCAGGGCAGGAGGAGCTGAGCAGGGGAGGAAATACATCTGCAGCTGCTGTTTTCTGCGGGCATTGTTTCCCTGTATGGTTCCTGGATCATTCTGAGTCTGTGACACTGGGCTCGCACTCTGGGCTGCTCCCTGCTTTCCTAAGTATCTTGTATCTCCTTACAGTGTTTATACTTGCAAAACACAGATTTTCAGCCTAACTTCAGACCTGCTGAGATCAGTCCTCAGCAAACCCTTCTCCTTCCTTTCGACATCAGACATAGGTACCCGATTAATCTCGGTGGGCTTCAGGTGGAGGGAGAGCCAGGGCTGGGCATCCCAATCAAACACTCTTGGGGGTCCCTCCTGGGCCATCTGATTCTGTTATGAAATGGGGCCAGTTGTTTCTCCCTGCCCTGGTGGTGTTGGACAGAGCCTCTCTCACCACACAGGGTCCCCGCAGGCTCGCACTGGGGAAGACTGAGACTCCAATAATTTAATTATCTTATCAAGGGTCACACAGATTGTACAAGTAGAAGCTGGGATTCTAACCCAGCCACTCTGACTCCACAGCTTGCTCTCTTAATCAGGGGAAAGTCAATGACTGGATATGTATCTTGATTCCTGCACTTAGATGATCACTTAGAGAAATAAGAGTCATCAAAATATAAAAACTATGAGCTGAGTTAAAAAATTAACCCATGAATTGAGTACTTATAATAAAATCAATGCCTATACAAATATTGCTCCCCACTTAACATTAGTGTCTAGTCCATGCCATCAGTATTTACTGTCAACATCTTTATGGGTCTGCTGGATGTCTTAGCATCTGACAAAGCAATGCAAGTACAATCCAAGTCAACTGCAAGGGAAATCACTAATATTCTAAAAGAGGCAGGATTTCATGAAGTTTGTGAATGTCATGTTGAATAACTACTCAATCACACCCAAGGAATGGCTGAGTTACTCAGGTAACAACTGAAAAGGAGAAAATCCATTAAGATAAAGAAGAAGAGACAACAGGCCCTTTAAAAGGGAAGGATTTCAGGCCTGGCATGGTAGCTCACCCCTGTAATCCCAGCACTTTGGGAGGTGAGGATCACTTGAGGTCGAGAGTTCGAAACCAGCCTGGCCAATATGGCAAAACCCTGTCTCTATTAAAAATACAAAAATTAGCCAGGCATGGTGGTGCATGCCTGTAATCCCAGCTACTTGGGAGGTTGAGGCAGGAGAACAGCTTGAACCCAGGAGGTGGAGACTGCAGTGAGCCAAGATTGCACCACTGCCCTCCAGCCTGGGCAACAGAGTGAACCTCTAAAAATAAAATAATAAAAGAGAAGGATTTCAGTGATACCAAGGGGTTAAACAAGGCCACAGGAAAACAGATAAAACCTTCAATATTTTGTAAAAATGACCTTCCTTATGAGCCTGGTGGGAAAGTCAAACGAGAAGAGAAAAATGTCCTTTTCTGCTATTCTCATTGTCTCCAAATAATTACACAAAAAATAAATCAACACTTTGTTCAAACTAAGAACTGGGGCATGGTTGCAGTATGTTGTTAAATACAGTATAAATATACTTTAAAATTTTTAGTTTCATTTCTCAAAATGAAGGCCTGATCAAATCTTTTCCCCCCAATATTTACTATAAATGTTTGACTTCTATTTTAAGTAATTTCTCTTCTAAATAAAACCTCCCCTTGGAATATGAACCCCCTGCACTGCTTTGTCAAGCAGCCCCTGCTTCCTGCTGTGACAGACGCAATGCTAAGGCTTGAGCAAGAGCACCTGCTTCAGAGATGCTCAGAGTTTCTTCCCTTCACAGAATTTTCCCATCTACTGTTTCATCTGATGTCTTCAAGAACTCCATGAGTTAGTTCAGGAAACTGTGTACTATTATCCCACACATATACATCTACTTTGTAGCTTACAAAGCTCTTATGACATCTGCTATCTCATCTTGACCCACAGGACAATTCTGGAGGAGAAAAGTAACACTCACATTCTACAGATGAGAAAACCGAGCCTGAAATGTAAAGAATGTGCCCAAGACCCCATAACTCGCTGTTGGAAGCTTTAGGATTAGAAGCCAGGTTTTCACCACTTGTTCTTTCCTGTGGGCTACCCAACTCTCTCAAGCACAGGGAAGACAAATGAAAGTTCTGCAGGCTAGGAATCATTTTTTCAGGCCAGTGAATTCTTTTTAGAAGCTATCTGCAAGGCTGCCTTAAAACACTCAAACATATCTCCTTTTGCAGAAACAGTCCAAGGTATACAAGCAAAACAGTGACAATCAATACATTCCCATTGCCCCATTATGACTGTTCTAGGTGGAAAATAAGGATCAGAAGAGTTCCATTCCAAATGTTCAGAATGGATAGGCCTTGCAAGCTGCTGTTTGGGTGAGCTGCATGATAGCTTGTCAGCTACAGTGGTTCAGATGCAGCAGTGTTCTCCAATGTGTAACTGAGCCGAGGGGGAAGCACGTGAATTATTAAGAAATGTCATCAGTGGAAGACTGAGTGGAGGTATGGTGGGGGAGACATCTGAGAGCCCTGAACCCCTGAAGACTAGGAAAAAACATAAACATCCCAGAAGCAAAAGTTCAACTTTTTTTTTTTTTTTTTTGAGACATAGTCTCACTGTGTCGCCCAGGCTGCAGTGGCATGATCTCAGCTCACTGCAACCTCCGCCTCCTGGGTTGAAGTGATTCTCATGCCTCAGCCTCCCAAGTAGCTGCGATTACAGGCACACGCCACCACGCCCAGCTAATTTTTGTATTTTTAGTAGAGACGGGGTTTCACCATGTTGGTCAGGATGGTCTTGACCTCTTGACTTTGTGATCCGCCCACCTCGGCCTCCCAAAGTGTTGGGATTACAGGCGTGAGCCACCACGCCCGGCCTCAACTCTTAATATATGTCAGCCCCTCCTTTGCAACCAGCTCTGCGTGCTGCTGCTGACAAGCAGCATGGTGTGGAGGCATGGGATGTCCTAGAGTCCAGCCAACCTGAGCTCTGTGATCTTGGGCAAGTTATTTCCCTTCTTTGAGTGTCAGTTTTCTTCATCTATTAAATGGGGTCATCACTTTCACTTGTCCTGAAAAGTATACAAGATAATACACAGTTAGCACAGTGCCTGCCCCACAGTAAACACTCAGAATGTTGAAGCTATCATGAATAAATTCAAATGCAGGGCACATGAAAGCACTTAATGAACGTTTGGCCCCGTCATCAAGAAAGTATTTCTGTATCTCCTAGCACAGTGAACTTTATGACCTTTAAAACCATGATTATATGGTCTGTGCAAATGTGAAAGGGAAGTAAAGTTGAGAAAATTGGGAGGTCCATCTGCGCAATGAAAATGCATACAAACCCCCCAGGCTCTTAGGGCTGGATGGTGGTCATAAAACAAGAACTCCAAGCTTCTGGGAGCCCAATCCTTCCTTGGAACCTACAAATTGGATGGAATTTTTTAACACTGGAACTGGAAACACCCCTTGCTCCCTGCCTAGTGCCCAGATACTTGGTGGTGGGCACTTGGATAAACCCTACTGCCCAGAGTGTGGAACAGCTTGAGGGGCCCCCACTGTGCTCTCAATCCGTCCACAGTATGGGGTCTGTTCTCTGCAGCACTTGCATCCTCCGGTTCTTTGCTCAAGACTTTCCAGTGGATCCCAGTCATTCATGGGTTTCCTTAGCTGGGTCTTCATGGCTCTTCATCTACCCTTTGGGAGTTCTTACCCTTTCCATGAACCCCCTCCTCCACACAGTGTGGTATAGTCCCTGCATACCTTCCCACCTCAATGTCTTAGTGAGTCATCCACGACTCTTCAACCTATCCCCCACCACATCTGTTTCTGCCTTTCTAGATCCTACAAAGCCTTCAGGGCCTCCACGAAGTCCACAGAAATCCGGTCAGCATGAATTCAACCTCATATCTAATGTTACTGCTTCAAACTTCTATACATGTATCACTGGCTGAACTGTGAGCTTCCAGGAGGCAGGGAATGTGCATATACTTGTGGGTGTGCATTCACCCACAGCACCTAACACTGCCACTTGGATCCAGCCAAGTGCCTGCCTGCCTAGAGGCTGCCTAATTTTTGCGCAATAGCTCTACCTTCCATGGTCCCTACCCTGTTCAGCTCCATCAGCTCCGTCAGCTCCTAGAACCTATTACCCTGATCTTTATGTTTTCCCTCTCCCTTCCTCTGCTCCAAACAATTCAGAATAAAACCAGGCCAGTTGGAGGTGAGCTGTGTCAAATACTCCCTGTATCTGAAAGTCTTTCAGTAAGTCCCCCCAGTGCTCCCCATTCACTTCCACTGAAACTTCCCCATGCCTATTCAGTGCCAATTTCAGTGCCTGAAGATGCCCTTGGAACCAGCGCTCTGGACATGGAAGCTGTTTCCTCCCATTACACATGCTGGTGTCTGACACAGGCTGCAGGCTTCACTCTGGGTACCGAAGTCCACTGGCTAGGGGAAGGGGCAGCACAGCTCTAATTGTGTGGAGTGATTACAATTAGCTACCAATGCTCTCGGCCCACCTGGGGAAATGGGGTGGACACAAAAGCTGCTATCAAGAGGTAACAGAACTTTCTTCCGTTATCTGTGGGTGAATCACCAGGTCCTTTTCATGGCTCACTTAAGGGGCCAGGGAAGGACCAGCATCTGAACACCTGGCAGGTGTGTATCTGGTGACCCAGGCCTTACTTTTTCCAAAATCTTTTTTTTTTTTTTAAATCAGCAAATGACACCTGCACCGCTTTGAAGAGGAATGATATTCTCCCCCATTTGAAAGGCCAGCTACCTAGAGGAGAGGAGATGAAAAATGCCATCCTGGGTTTTAGATCTAAAGCATAGCAGCCTTTTGATGTTGAAAATGAGAGGCAGGGATGGGAATTTGGGTCTCTCAGACTGGGACATCAGTGATCTCTGACAGCAAGATGTGTTCCTGCCTGGGGCTGGAGAGATTTTTCTCAGTTAGCAGTGTCCCTAGGACCCATTATCCATGGAGCCTTGTGCCTATGGGGTGCTGAGTAATAGATGAGTAAATGCTTGACTTCAGAAGCCTGCATACTATACTGGCCGCACCCTCGAGTCTTGCATCCTTTAAAGCTGCTGCTTTCCTCCATCTCTGCCTGGTTAGCACTTACATGTCCTACAGATCTTAGAGCAAGCACCTCCTCTCCAGGGAAGCTTTCCTTCCCTGGCCACTCTGATGATGACAAGTCCCATAGCCCATTGGTCTACCTGCCAGAACCTTGCAACTCTCGACTGTAATCCTTAACGCAGCTGTCATGGTAGTTATTTCCCGTGTCTTCGATTATTGCGCCATGGTCTCCCTGTAAGTTTCACAAGGACAGGGACATGTCTGCTTTGCTCTCCCCAGTCTCTCTGGCTCCTGGCACAGTAGCTGCTATAAGGAAGCGTTCAGGAGAGGTACTGATGAACAGCACAGACTTTGGAGGCAGACTACCTGAGTTCTAATTATGACTCTGTTACTTATTTGCTGTGTGACCCAGGCAAATAACTTAAACTTTCTGTGCCTCAATGTCCTTATTTGTAAAACAAGGAGAAAAATAGTCCCTACCAGATATCCAAAAGAAAGAAAAATGTATGTACATGCAAAAGTTTGTACGTGAATGTTCATAGCAGCATTCATTCATAATAGCCAAAAAGTGAGAATAACCCAAATATCCACAAACTGATGAATGGATAAACAAAATGTGGCATATCCATACAATGGAATATTATTTGGCAATGAAAAGCAATGAAGTACTGCTACATGCCTCAACATGGATGAAAGCTGAAAACATCATGCTCACTGAAAGAAGCCAGACACAAAAGGTCACATATTGTATGACTCTGTTTATATGAAATGTCCAGGATAGGCAAAATTATAGAGGCAGAAAGTATATTAGTGGTTGTCTAGGGCTGGGGGGAAGTGAAGATTGGGGGATGACTGCTAAGTGGTGCAGAGTTTTTTGTGGGGAGGTGATGAAAATATTATAAAAGTGATTGTGGTGATGGTTGCACAACTCTGAGTATACTAAGAGCCACTTAATTGTAAGCTTTAAATGGTTGAATTGTAATCGCAGCACTTTGGGAGGCTGAGATAGGTGGATAACCTGAGGTCAGGAGTTCAAGACCAGCCTGGCCAACGTGAGGAAACTCCGTCTCTACTAAAAATACAAAACTTAGCCGGGCATGATGATGCATGCCTGTAATCCCAGCTACTTGGGAGGCTGAGGCAGGAGACTCACTTGAACCCGGGAGGTGGAGGTTGCAGTGAGCTGAGATTCCACCATTGCACTCCAGCCTAGGCGACAGAGCGAGACCATCTAAAAGAAAGAAAGAGAGAGAGAAAGAGAAGAAAAGAAAAGAAAGAAAGAAAGAAAAGAAAGGAAAGAAAGGAAAGAAAGAAAAGAAAGAAAGAGAGAAAGAGAGAGAGAGAAAGAGAGAAAGAGAGACAGAGAGAGAGAGGGAGAGGGGGAGAGAGAGAGAGAAAGAGAGAAAGAGAGAGAGAGAGAGAAAGAGAGAGAGACAGAGAGAGAGGGAGAGAGGGAGAGAGAGAGAGAGAAAGAGAGAAAGAAAGAAAGAAAAGAAAAAGAAAGAAAGAAAGAAAGAAAGAAAAACAAAAAGAATGGTACTTGTCTCATAGTCTCGTTGTGAGGGTTAACTTAAATGTACTATTATCTGTCAAGTGTTTGTTACCTAGACTATGTAAGTAACTGAATACTCATTACACCTTGACTATGTGCTGGATAGTCTGCTAAGTTACAAACAGTACCTTATTTCAACCTCACAGCCCAGGGAAGGAAGTACTGTATTTTTCCCACTTTACAGATGAAGAAACTGAGGCTTACAGAGGGTAAGTAACTCACCCAAGGTGACAGGGCTAGTAAACGGCAGAACCAGGGAAAGCCACCCTTGCCCGAGCCACCACATATACAACAATGTTCCCTAAACCCAGAGATCCCTTGATTTGAAGTCAGAACCACCTGGCAAAAACAAACACGACATTCTCCTTAACATCAAATGACTGCACCCTTCACAGCCCCAACAGCGCCTCCACTGGCATTCTTTCCCCCAAGGCAACTAGCTAGGGGGAAGGAAGAGCTCCCTCCCTCCCCAGGTCCCAGAACCCCACCCTCATCCCTCTGCTCTTAGAGTCTTATTTCTACCAGGAGCCCAGCTGGAAAAGCTCCTTGTCATGTCATCCCATTTGTCCTTACCCCTGCTGAGGGGACAACAGCTTCCCTGGGGCCTTCAGTCCCTAAACAATAGCCAGACCGTTTCTCAGCACCTCATCATTTTCTTTTTCAATTTTTAAAAATTAGCACATAATTGTACATATTTTTAGAATACACAGTGATGTTTTGATACATACAATGTATAGTGATCAGATCAGGGTAATTAGCATACCCATTATCTCAAACATTTCTCATTTATTTGTGTTGGGAACATTCAATATCCTCCTCCTAGCTATTTGAAACTATATTAATATGGTTAACTATAGTTTTTTAGTGCTATAGAACACTAGAATGTATTCCTCCTGTCTAGCTGTAATTTTGTATCCTTTAACAAATCTCTCCCTAACTCTCCCTTTGCAGCTTTTAGAATCCCCTGTTCTACTTTTTACTTCTATGAGATCAACTTTTTGTACCTTCCACATGAGTGAGAACATGCAGTGTTCAACTTGCAGGAAAAATCCCTTCTGATTCATACTCTCAAAATGTTTTAAAAAGTAAACTCAGCATCCCAGCACTTTGGGGGGCTAAGGTGGAACACCTGAGGCCGGGAGTTCGAGACCAGCCTGACCAACATGGAGAAACCCCCGTCTCTACTAAAAAATACAAAATTAGCCGGGCGTGGTGGTGCATGCCTGTAATCTCAGCTACTCGGAAGGCTGAGGCAGGAGAACCGCTTGAACCCGGGAGGCGGAGGTTGCAGTGAGCTGAGATGGCGCCTCTGCACTCCAGCCTGGGCGACAAGAGTGAGACTCAATCCCCCCCCAAAAAAAAAGAAAAAAAAGGAAACTCTATCCTGTCACTTCTAAGTTAAAGGCTTTCCACTGGCCTCCCATTGCATTTATATTTACTTATTTATTTATTTAGTTTTTTTTTTTTGAGGCAAAGTCTCACTCTGTTGCCCAAGCTGGAGTGCAGTGGCGCGATCTCGGCTCACCACAACCTCCGCCTCCCTGCTTCCAGTGATTCTCCTGCCTCAGGTTCCTGAGTAGCTGGGATTACAGGTGCGTGCCACCACGCCCGGCTAATTTTTGTATTTTTAGTAGAGATGGGGTTTTGCCACGTTGGCCAGACCGGTCTCGAACTCCTGACCTCAGGTGATCTGCCCACCTTGGCCTCCCAAAGTGCTGGGATTACAGGCATGAGCCCCTGCGCCTGGCCTTCCCACTGCATTTAGAACAAACTGCACACTCTTGCCCAGCCCTCCAGCCTCCTCCAGGTCCTGGCGTCTTCTCCAAGGCTCACTCTGCTCCAGCACCCGCCCTTCTTTCTCTCCTCATCCCTAGCACACTGTGACCCATGCCAGGAATGCCATCCTCTTCCTGCATGGCTAGCTCCTGGGTTTGCAGACCCCAGTTTAACTGTCACCCTCTTGTGTGACTGAGTCATCCTAGTGAGGTCCCCTCATTTATTCTCCACCATGGCACCATTTTATTTCCTTCATGGAACTTACAACAATTGGCAATGATGCATTTCTTTCTTTCTTTGGTCATTGAATTTCTGTCTCCCTTACCGTCTGTAGCACAAACACTAGACTATAAGATCCATGAAAACAGAAACAGTGTTTCTCTTGTTCATCACCAGGCCTGCCTGATGGATGCTTAACATATCTTTCAGGGCCTCCTGGCCTTGATCTTCACTGTGAGACCTGTTGACATTTTGGGCAGGATGATTCTTTGTGGCGGGGGCTGTCCTGTGCACTGCAGGATGTCCAGCACTATCCCTGGCCCCTAGCCATTTAGAGGCACCCTCCCAGTTGTGACCACCAGAAATGTCTTGACATTGCCAGCTGTTTCTGGGGGGAGGGGTGTAGGAAAGAGAGGAGATGTCAAAACCTTCCTAGTTACACCGATGGAGCTTTTGAAAGATGAATACGCCTGAAGTAAGGAAAAAAAAGAATTCATGCAAAAGTACCACACAGTTGGAGAGTGGGGTATATGGATGCCAAGACAGGCTGCTCCCCACTACGTGTACCAGTGGGAGTGGGGAGAGAGTTACAAAACCAGGTCCCCAATGATTGCAGGACCCCAACGATTCTGCCAGCATCAGTTGGTGTAGATGGCTGGGCCGCTGGTATGAGGAGCACAGGGTGAGGTTCCTTTTTCTTAGGATGTCACTTGGATCTTTATACCTAGGTGAAGGTTGTTTAGCTCAGTGCCAGTTTCTCACTGCGGTCATGGTACATTAAAAACAGCTGATGCTTTGCAATCAAGATTCGTAATATCAGCTCACATATGTTGAGCACATACACCATCTAGCTTAAAAGCAGGATCTGAAGTCGGCGTCACCACTTTCTCCACATGCAATAGGAACTAAAGCACAGACAGGGTAGGCATCTTGCTACAGTCACACACTATAGACCACAGGTGCAGTGATTCCAACCAATTCCGTTTAACTCTAACTGTCCTGTATTAACTACTAATGTATCTGAATTTCCCAGTGAGTGACAATACCAAGCACACAAGTAAAATGACGAATTTCGTCTTTCTTCCCTACGGTGGAGTCAGTGTTAAACATACAACAAGGAGTTCTGGGGCACAGGCTCAGATCCTCCTGGCCGGGGTCCTGAGGAGGATGGAGATCACAAGGTATTGTTTTTTTTTTTTTTTTTTTTTTTTGAGACAGAGTCTGGCTCTGTTGCCCAGGCTGGAGTGCAATGGCATGATCTCAGCTCACTGCAACCTCCGCCTCCTGGGTTTAAGCGATTCTCCTGCCTCAGCCTCCCTAGTAGCTGGGATTACAGATGCCTGCCACCATGCCCAGCTAATTTTTTGTATTTTTAGTAGAGACGGGGTTTCACCACATTGACCAGGGTGGTCTTGAACTCCTTACCTCATGTGATCCACCCGCCTCGGCCTCCCAAGGTGCTGGGATTACAGGCGTGAGCCACCGTGGCTGGCCGGGTATTGTTTTTAAAAAGGAGAACGTGCCTTGGCTCTTCTGCTGGACCCAAAATTACAGAAGCAAAGATGGCTGATCAAACTGGAAAGGCCTTTGGAAATCACCTACAGCTGAGTTTCTCAAATTGGGTTTTGTGGGGCCCACATATCCAGGTGGGCTGAGGGCAGCAGTAAGTGGGCGGTTAAGGGAGGGGTTTGCATACCAGGGTTCAATGAGAAGATTCCATTTCAAGAAATGGTTCCATTGCTAAAACAACATTTGAAAACCTCTGACAACGTCCAATGTCCTGCTTTTATAGATGAGGAAACGAGGACCAGAGAGGACAAGCGATTTGCTCTAAGTGACACAGACTCCCCTCTCCCCTTAGGGGGAGGAAAGCAAGGGCTTTCTGGGTAGAGGGAGCTGTGTCTGTATCCTGGTTCTGCTAATTAATTTCTCTAAGCCTCAGTTTAGTAATTTCAGAAATGAAAGTAATCATATCTTCCTCATCAAGTTTTATAAACAATTAAATTAGCAAATGAATGGAACATGCTAAGAAGACTGGAAATAGTCAAGTGCTGGCTGCTAGGCCTACTTGGAGGTGACACAGTGCTCAGAACAGAGGCTTGGGAGCCACTAGATAGATGGATCTCCATTCTATCCCAGCACTTCCACCTCTAGCTGTGTGACTATAGGCAGATCAGTTCAGTTCCTTTAGTCCTAATTCCTCTTCTGTTTAATTAGCATAATAATTCTTCAAGTACAGGTGTACTGGGAGGTCCAGCTCAAATGAGATACACAAAGTGCTTAGTACATTGCCCAGGAAATTCTAGATGTTCTTTCTTTCTTTTTAAGAGAACGGAGTCTCGCTATATTGCCCAAGCAGGTCTCAAACTCCTGGGCTCAAGCTATCCTCCAGTCTCTGCCTCCCTAAGAGCTAGGATTACAGGTGTGAGCCGCCATGGCTGGCCTAGATGTTCAATAAACACTTGATATTATCTTCTGTGACACCTCATTAGGAGAACTGCTGCTGGGATGTCTCTGCTAGCACCCAAGAAGTACCCACCAGGAACTTCAACTCCTCTAGGGTGTGCAATGCCGAGAAACCTTGGAAGATGCACCTGCACCAGCAAAAAGTAGGCCTGGGTGATGAGTGGACTTAGAAGTGACTTAGAAGTGACTTTTGAGGGACTTAGAAAGCCCTCACCTCACAGCTCCCTCAGAAAGAATGTGTTGCATGATTGCACCTTTTATCTTATTTTTTTTTTAGAGGGGAAAAAAATCAAGGCTAGAACTTCAAGGTCAGGTTCACTTCCCTGCAGGCTCCTCCTAGGCTGCAGTGAAATTTCAAGAATTCAGCCTCTGGGCCCAGTTTACATTCCCACCCTCTCCGTATCCAGGATACCAGAGGGACCGGTAGCATTCCATCCCACCAATCAGCTTCTTCAGCTGGGCTCCAGGCGCTCAGGCGCTCAGTCACATCCTCAGCTGCCTCCCTGCTGGAAGCTGGGCCTAACCCTTGTTCTTGGGAGAAGCATTGCTGCTTAGCAGGAGAGTCATTGATTCATTCAGTTGCCCAAAATATATGTTCAGAACTCACTAGAGCCAGGCACTGAGGATACAGTTTTGTGGTAAACAGCCAGAGTCCCCTGTCCTTAAGGAGCTTGCAGTGCAGTAGAGAAGGCAGACACAGAAATAATTTGGGCAATTCTACAAAGCAGCAGCACACAGGAGCATGAGACTGTAAATGGGGGTGGAGGGGGGAGGGTCTGATCTTACTCCTCACAGTTATAGAAGGCTTCCCAAGTGAGTGTGATTAAACTCAGGGCTGAAGGATGAGTAGGTGTAAGTAGGTGAAGAGAGCAGGAAAGATAACTCCGGTTAGAGAGGCCAGCATTTGCAAGTCTCTATAATGCACAAGGTTGCAATGTCTCTCGAGACCTGTTGCCAGAGTGCAGTGGGGGTGGGGCAGAGAAACAGGATGGGGCCGGAGAGGCAAAATCAGGGTCAGTCCTGTGTTGTTGAGTGTCCTGTGAGCCACGTTAGGGAGAGAAGAGTTTTTTGTTGTTGTTGTTGTTGTTGTTTTGAGACAGGATCTTGCTCTGTCACCTAGGCTGGAGTGCAGGGGTATCATCATAGCTCACTGCAAGCCTGAACTCCTGGGCTTAAATGGTCCTCCCTCCTCAGCCTCACCAGTAGCTGGGGCCACAGTTGTATACCACTATACATGGCTTTTTTTTTTTTTTTTTTTTTTTCAGTAGGGATGAGGTCTTGCTAAGCTGCCCAGGCTGGTCTCCACCTCCTGGGCTCAAGGGATCCTTCCCCGTCTTGGCTTCACAAAGTGTTGTGATTATAGGCATGAGCCCCCTTGCCAGGCCAGGGAGAGTAGACTTTAAGAGCCATGACAGAACATAAAGTGTTTTATGCAAGGGGATGATCAGGCTATAGTTCTGTAAGAATCTTGTAATGAGTTCATCTTGAAGGAGTGGGAGGGGGCTGGTAAGGGATAGCAATTTCTGAGTCCTCAGCATAGAAGGGATAGCAATTCCTAAGTCCTTAGCATAATGAACCTGGGCTGATAAATAGGGAAGCTGTGCAGGTAAAGCCTGGGCGGGGGGATGTGCTCCTTCCAAATGTCCCTCTCCTGCACTCTCTCCTTCAGGACAGTTCCGCAGCCACACCAGTGCAGAGCTCAGTGTTTCTGGACAGATAGCACTTCAGAGCAGCCTCTACAGGTTGCAAAAGTCACAGAGGTGCTGCCCATCATTATGAACCTCTAAACCTAGACCTGGCCTCACAATGAGATCTTGTCTGGGAGAAGAAGTCACATTCTCCACAAAGGGCTCACAGCACCAAGGGTGCATTCTCAGGCATAAAGGTATGAAGAGACGGTCAAGGATTATAAAGATGCACATTTTCCATGAATCTCAAGGGTGCAAAATAGGCATCATCCACTCCCAGCTCCCGAAGGGAAAAGAAGGTCTGCAGATGCATGCTTGACATTATACATAGGGGAGGTACTCAAAAAATACTTGAGGAAGGAGAGGAGAAAGGGAAAGAGGCGGGCAAGGAGATAGTCAATTGGTTAGTGAATTCGTAGTTTCTTTGAAACCCCTGTGAGCTTCATGGAGTCCTTGGTCCCCTACAGATGCCAGTTGGCTTTCAGCCTGGTTAGACAGAGAACCAAATCTGGCTGCCTGGCACCGGGGGTGCCATCCCCAGAGATGCTGAAGTCAGGAGGTCTGAGGTGGGGCTTGAGACTTGAAGGGTTCCCCCACCATTTTTAATAAAAGTGAAAAATGGCCAGGCACAGTGGCTCATGCCTGTAATCCCAGTACTTTGGGAGGCTGAGGAGGGTAGATTGCTTGAGCCCAGGAGTTTGAGACCACCATGGCCAACAGGGTGAAACCCTGTCTCTACAAAAAATACAAAAATTATCCTGGTGTGGTGGCTCATGCCTTCAGTCCCAGCCACTTGGGGGACTGAGACAGGAGGATGGCTTGAGTCTGGGAAGCAGAGGTTACAGTGAGCTGAGATTGTGCCACTGCACTCCAGCCTGGGCGGCAGAGTGAGACCCTGTCACAAAAAAAAAAGAAAAAGAAAAAGAAAAAACCAAAAACATACAGAAGTAACCCACAAATACAAGTAACAAGAAACTTTTCCCTCCTCACCTACTATGCAAACCCTTAAGTTACAGGGAAGTTAATATTTCCAGTGTGCCCTTCCAGAAATGTTTTCACAGACATATCAGCAGGTACACTAACCCAGCACACATGCATGTGCACACAAAAACACATATACATGCTGATCAAATACATACACATATTCTACTTCATTACTAAGAAAGTATCACTTATAAACAGAATTATTAGATGCAACCAGAAAAGGAAAACACTACCAATAAGTTATGACCCAAAGCTTTCCTTACCTTAGAATATTTATATGTACTGAAAAAGCTCAGACTTTTTTTAGATATGGCCTTTATTATATGACTCTCTTTTCCATGTATGACAAGGAAGTTAAATGAAATGAATGAACTATGGTATAAGATTGAGCCCCTTCTCAGCTCTGAGTCATCAGCACCTGTGTGTTTCTCATTCACAGTGTCATTCTTTTGTGCTACTGAATGTTAAGGCATTTATTTTTTATCTTTTTTTTTTTTTTGAGACAGAATCTCACTCTGTCACCTGGGCTGGAGTACAGTGGCATGATCTCAGCTCTCTGCAACCTCCACCTCCTGGGTTCAAGTGATTCTCCTGCCTTAGCCTCCTAAGTAACTGGGATTATAGGCACGTACCACCACGCCCGGCTAATTTTTGTATGTTTAGTAGAGATGGGGTTCCCTCATGTTGGCCAGGCTGGTCTCAAACTTCTGGCCTCAAGTGATCCACCCGCCTTGGCCTCCCAAAGTGCTGGGATTACAGGCATGAGCCACCGTGCCCAGCAGCATTTCTTGAAAGAGAATTCCGTGATTCTCTTCCAAGCCGCTGACAATTACTTTGAATTTTGATTCTAGCACTTTCTTGACTTCACCAGAAGATGTCAAAGAAAGTTTTTCAATAAGAACAAAGACCTGTTTGCAAATGGTTTTTCCACGGTTTTCAATGAAAACACAGAGGGGCCACAGCTATCACGTTACCTTAACAGAAACGACATTATTTGTGCATGGTGCAAGCAACGATAGCAATGGCCAACAGCATTGATAAGAGTACCTCACATTCGAAGATATTAACGTGCAAAACAAACAAGTTCATCTTAAAACTGATCAATCACACTGTAGGACATACACAATTTCCCTTAACTCACTCTCAGTTGTCTTGGGGTTGCAAACTCAAATTCCAGCATGACCCAGGCAGGTAACCCAGTGAAGTGGGAAGGGTGGACTGCAGTGAACACAAGCTTTCAAAGGGTGGTCCTGGAGAAGCAGCTATTTCAAAACCATGTGGGCCAAACATTTCTATGGAACAGATAATTCCTTGAAGCCCATCTGTAAAACTCTAGTTGATGGGAGTGTATACTTTTAACTCCATTCTTTAAACATATAAACTACTGTTTTGAATCTTGCTGAATGCTCCATCATGTATCTTGGACTCCTTTCCCTATGAGCACCTGTAGCTCTACCTTAGACTTGTCAGTGTCCACAAGGTACTCCATTGCATGGGTGCCCCAAAATGTATCCACACAGCCCCCAGGGAGAGAGATTTGGGCTGTTTGCTGGGCTTGCTACTCTTACATACAAGGCTGAAGTGAGGAAGTGGCAGGGCTGCAGTTCTGAAGCATGACCCCCTCGAGAAGTGGGGAAGGGGTGGACATTCTGACATCCCCAAACTGGAGAATGGCTATGTTAGTCACCCAGCTCGTCTTGGCAGCTCAGCACTGAGGGTTCGAAGCTTCTGGGAAGGTCAGGGGAAGGACTGGTTGTAGAGGATTCTGAATGCACCAGCTCTTTTTATAGTCAGAAGATTCTGCAGCTTTAGGGGAGAGGTGTGGCCAACTCTTCATCCACCTCTGGCTTCCTCAATTGCAGAGCCCTGTAGCCCCCAAACCCGACTGCTGCCTGCCAACAGTCCCAGACACCCTCACTGCATCCTTCTCTCTGCTTTATGTTCCTTTTCTTCCAACAGCCCCAACCCCTTCCAGACTAACAGAGGAAAGAGAAGAATGAGTGCATGTAGGATGGGGGGAGGTCTTAGCTGTATTTGCCCCAGGATCACCTCCCACTACCTCTTCCCCTTCTAGCACATTCCATGCATACATGGTGGGTGCATAGAAGTAGGGGTAACAATAGTGACCTCAAGAACAATTGACAGTGTTGAGAAAACACGAGCCAATTAATCATCATAATTCTGAAGGTGCCTATTGTTAGCTCCATTTTATTGATAAGAAGAAAACTGAGTCTCAGAAAAGGTGAATGCCTTTGCCTAAGTTACACAACTCATGAGTAGCTTCCCTCCATAGAACATCCCAGTTTTTCAAGGATTTCTTCCAAGGGGTTGTTGCTCAGTCAGCACATGGAAACCAGAAGTTTCTTTCCTAGACAGTGTGGGTCCCAAGCCGATTGCCGAGACCCTCCTGTCCAATGCATTGTTGCATTCCTAGTGAGTGAGGGTGGCAGGGGCACGGGAACATTTCTTTTAGGAATTTTTTTGGAATTTACATTTTTAACCAAAGCCACAGCTGTTTTTGTTTTGTTTTGTTTTGAGACAGGGTCTCGCACTGTCACCCAGGCTGGGGTGCAGTGGTGCGATCTCGGCTCACTGCAGCCTCCACCTCCCGGGTTCAAGGGATTCTCATGCCTCCGCCTCCCAAGTAGCTGTGGCTACATACGCCTGCCACCACGCCCGGCTAATTTTTGTATTTTCAGTAGAGACAGGGTTTCACCATGTTGGCCAGGCTGGTCTTAAACTCCTGACCTCAGGTGATCCGCCTGCCTCAGCCTCCCAAAGTGCTAGGATTACAGGTGTAAGCCACCACGCCCAGCCAAAAGCCACAGCTTTTAAGTAATATTGCTTTCTATCATTTCACTTTCCCCTTTATCTTTCTACCCTTTGAATTATTGTTTTGCTCATTCCTTCCATTTTCATGCACTGACCTCCCTGGCAGCAGAAGAAGCAAAGCAGGCTTTCCTAACTCTCTCTCATTCCAGTGGGTCCAGAAATTTGCAGAACCTGGCAAAAAGGTTCTAACTCCAGGTTCATTAGCATGGCTTGTTAATTATAAACACTCCCCTTCCTCCCAAACGCCTAAAACAGCAGATTAAGTTTCAACTTTTGCTGGCAGGACACTTGCTTCGGACATTCCTTCTCCCCTCACCTCCTAGGATTTACAACACAAAAGTAAACATTTACACTGGTTAAGATTTACCAAAAGGAAGTGTGGTCTGGAATGCTTCCTTTGAAGTTCTGCCTCACGAGAAAAAGAGAACCCTTTTAAATATATAAAATAAGAAAATAAGCTCACGTTGGAAAAGAAAACCTCAAAGCCTTCTAGATGATATCCCACTTGGGCTCAGCATAACCAGGCTTTCTGTTTGTCCCTTGGGCCTTGAGGGCAGTGTATGTTAAATCCTAAGAATCATACAAAACTACAGGTCCCTGCTCAGGGTAAATTGTGTTATCAGTCAGCAGTGCAATCAAGTGGTCTCCTGGAAGCTCTCCGATAGGACTTTCTTCCTGACTGAGATATCACCAAGAGGGAAGGAAGAAACCAAGTACCCTACAGAGGGGGAGCCATGGGGCAAGACCAACTTATCAGGACAGAAAGAGCAACGACATCCACCTGTTCGTGCCAGAAAAAGCTGATTCTTTCAATGAGGCTTTTCTGCTTTACTGCAGGTGGATGAGGGGTGGAGCCCAGACAGGTGGATGCCAGCTGTGCTGACTGAGGGAATAACAGATGCTTTTGCAAGCAGGGGCACCAGACACCGAGGTCATGCAAGTACTTTTGGGGAAAGGGAAGTGAAAAAACTCCCCACAGGCCAGGCGCGGTGGCTCATGCCTGTAATCTCAGCACTTTGGGAGGCCGAGGCGGGCAGATCACGAGGTCAGGAGTTTGAGACCAGCCTGGCCAATATGGTGAAACCCCGTCTCTACTAAAAATACAAAAATTAGCCGGGCATGCTTGTAGTCCCAGCTGTTCGGGAGGCTGAGGCAGAAGAATTGCTTGAACCCGGGAGGCGGAGGTTGCAGTGAGCTGAGATCATGCCACTGGACTCCAGTTGGGACGACAGAGCAAGACTCCGTCTCAATAAAAGAAAAGAAAAAACTCCCCACACCCACCCTAAGATTGCAGGTCAGTGGCAATGCTCTAATAAGGAAAAGGGGAATGACTACAGTTGCATGGCATTCCTATCCAATCAGACTCTTCACCCTCTAGAGATCGTGCCTCCACCACTATATACCCCTATTGGTCAAGATCAACCAAGAATCTTGACCATGGAGAGCAAGTCCCAAGAACTTGTTGTTCACCAGCAAGTGAAGAAAGGGTGCACCAGGAAACAGCATCATTCATAACCCATTCTGTTCTAGCCCCTGCTGACTTCTTTACCTGATTAGCTCGCTGGTCTCTATGACGGCCCAGTGAGGCAGATGTTATTATGCACACTTTGTGGGTGAGATCACTGAGACTAGTTAATGCTCCCAAGGCTGCAACTTATGCCAAAGCCATCCAAGAGGCAGATGTGTTAGAAGCAGCGCTGAACTTGGACTCCTAAATTGTGAAAGGCTCAGCTCTGCTTTCTGTTAGCTGGGAGACCTTAAGCAAGTTACTCAACTCTGCAGGTATTTCTGGTCCCACTCTGTTTTGAGCAGCAGCGTTTCAATGGGTTGCACATTTATGAGAGAAGTCCACATCCACCCACATGCTCTAACTTCTTGACCCACCCAGCTGAGTGTTCAGAATTTATCAGCATGAATGCAACAAATTTTGGTAAGGCTTTCCCCTCACTCCTGGGTTCCCTATAAAGTGGGGAGCATATTCCTGCCAACACGAGCTTATATTCTCATTTGATATCCTTCCAGAGTGGAGACAGCAGCCAACTTAATGCTATACCACACTCAGGCTTTTGTTAAGGGAATATCTACAAGCACTGGCCTTTCATCATTCTTCAATCAAACAGCCCTAGCAAGGTCTCACCTTACTGCAGAGACAAAGCAGATCCAGAGCCCCTGGGCATTTACTCTTGCTACCTCCAGCTTCCTAGTGTCTCAAAAAGCCACAATCTCACTCAGAGGAACACCCCGGTGCTGGTTCTAAATTTGATCCAAGGACCATAATTGCAAACCCATTTCTCTAAACTGTAGAAGCTCAATCTTCCAACTTGCCAATTGGGCATGAAACAATGTACCTTACAAGGTTTCAACGAAGAGCTAAGGAGGCCCCAAAAAGTAAGATCCTTTCCATCATAAACATTCCTGCTCTTAGGTCCTGGGCCCTAGAGCACACTATCCGAGCGAGTCAGCATGAGACATACATGTCAGAAACCAATACAAAATACATATCACAGGATGAACAAATGAACCAAGAGGTAAATGAAAGAATGAGGGAAAGGAGAGGGGGAGAAGACTGGGAAGACCAATGGGGGCCCTGAGTCATGCTAAGATATTTTGGGGTTTTCTATGAGCACTGGAGAACCATGAGCAATTTCTGAGAAGGAGAGTAATTTGCTCTGGAAAGCCCTGTGGAAGAAAATTCCAAAAGTAGTTGCAACAAGAGATTGCTGGAAAATGATCTTGGAGCCTGGTTACCGTTAGCTGACTGTTGCAATAACCAAAGCAAGAAATGACACCTTAACTCAGACACTGGCCTGCATATGGCCAGTGCATAGAAGGGTGGGAATGAGTCAAGAGACCTCAACCACCAAAGGCTCTCAGCAGCTCTGTCCCTTCAAAAATGCAGATTTGCAGAATAAACTTTCCCACATGCTTATTTTTGTTCTAGGTTTCTACAAATGCGAAATAAGACTATCCGGTCCGGCCGGGCACGGTGGCTCACACCTGTAATCCCAGCACTTTGGGAGGCTGAGGCAGGCAGATCATGAGGTCAGGAGTTCAAGACCAGCCTGTCCAACATGGTGAAACCCCATCTCTACTAAAAATACAAAAATTAGCATGGTGGCGCGTGCCTGTAATCCCAGCTACTTGGAAGGCTGAGGCAGAAGAATTGCTTGAACCAGGACACAGGAGGCGGAGGTTGCAGTGAGCTGAGATCGCATCACTGTACTCCAGCCTGGGCTACAGAGCTAGACTCCATCTAAAAACAACAACAACAACAACAAATAACACTATCAAGTCGGGGCCGGGCACGGTGGCTCATGCCTGTAATCCCAGCACTTTGGGAGGCTGAGGCGGGCGGATCACCTGAGGTGGGGAGTTCGAGACCAGCCTGACCAACATGGAGAAACCCTGTCTCTACTAAAAATACAAAATTAGCTGGGCGTGGTGGCACATGCCTGTAATCCCAGCTAGTAGGGAGGCTGGGGCAGGAGAGTCGCTTGAACCTGGGAGGCGGAGGTTGCGGTGAGCCGAGATCACGCTATTGCACTCCAGTCTGGGCAACAAGAGCAAAACTCCGTCCCAAAAAAAAAAAAAAAAAAGACTATCAGGTCGGTGTCCTGAGCCACTAATTCCTATCCCCATTTACGCCTTATTACCTTAAAACAAAACAAAACAAAAAATCATTACTGTCCACTCACATTCCTAGCAGCATTATTCACAAATAGCCAAAAGGTGAAAGCAACCCAAATGTCCACCGACAGAGGAACAGAAAAGCAAAATGTGATATCAACATACAAGGGAATATGATTTACCCTTAAAAAGGAAGGAAATTTTGACACAGTCTACAACATGGATGAGTCTTATGTATTATTTCACATAATGCTAAGTGAAACCACCTGTCACAAAGGACAAATACTATGGGATTTCATTTATATGAGGTATCTAGAGTAGTCAAACTCATAGAGCCAGAGACAGAATAGTAGTTTCCAGGGGCTGGGGGCAGGGTGGAATGGGGAATTGTTTAGTGGGTGTAGGAAGATGAAAAGAGTTCTGGAGATGGATGGTGGTGATGGTGGCATAATAACAATATAATTAATGCACTAAACTCTACCGTTGAAAATGGTTAAGATGATTAATTTTATGTTATGTATATTTTACCACAATTTTTTAAAAAGGAAAAGAAATCATTTCTCACATGGAATGTCAGTGCAAATGGGACTGCCTGTAAATGATGGAATTCTTTGCCACCAGATACAGCCTATCCAGGAAGCTTCTCCTCCTCTTCCAGGCAACTTTTCATTATTGCTTAAAAATTCCCCTCCCCACTGCCCCACCTGGTGCTGACTCAGCTCCTGTCAGTATCTGAATGCCAGGAACCAGCCTGAGGGCGGACACTGCCACCTTCTCCTGTGTCCTAGGACACCCAGAGTTCCCAGAGACTGACAATGATGCCATCCACCACTCCAGGACCCCAGCCCCTGCCAATCTCAGCGAGCATGGCCCCAAGTCCTGACTGGCATCACACGTGAGCTTGGCAGGTTCCAGAAAGCTCTCTTCATGGCAAGAAAAGCTAGGGTGGGGTACCCTGTGGGAGCTGTTGGTAGGGGCTCCTATCAGAAGGCCCCAGGGCCTGCCATCTCAGAGGACAAGGAGGACACACGTGGTCTCAATGCTATGCACAGAATGAGGCCATGGAGGTTAGCTTGCTTCTGCCCACTTCTGCCCTTGCCAGCGAGTCAAAGGAGATCAGGACTGGAATGAGGAAATGGCTCCATCTGTCCTCTCCCCTGCAAAGAGCTGGAAAGCTTGCTCTACTGGATCCAGTCATTTATTCAGGTATTTGAACTCAGCTACTAGGTGTCTACACATTTAGGATGGTCATGTCTTTTTGATGAATCACCCTATTATTGTAAAAGCTCTCTGCATGCCATGCTGACAGCCATTCCAATATTCTTTTGATTAGTATTGGTATGGTATATCCTTCCTATCCTTTTACTTGTAACCTATGTATTTATATTTAAAGTGAACCTGTTACAGGCAGGCTATATACTTGAGTCTTGTTCTTTTTTTCTACTTTTTAATTAAAGTGTTTAGTCCATTTACTTTTACTGAATTATTGATATAGCTGGATTTAAGTCTACCAATTTGCCATTTGTTGTCTATTTGTCTTACCTGTTTCTTGTTTTCTGTTCTGCTTTTAAAAAAAAAATCATCCACAATACACCATTATTATGTTTGCTCTAAAGAGTCAACTATCTTTTAAAGAAATGAAGAAATTTTTAGTTTTTTCTATTTCTGGTGCTCTTTTAATTTCTCACGTAGATCTAAGTTTCCACCTGATATCATCTTCCTTTGGCCTGAAAAATTTATTTATTTTTTTTTTGAGACAGAGTCACGCTCTGTTACCCAAGCTGGAGTATAGCGGCACAGTCTCAACTCACTGCAACCTCTGCCTCCTAGGTTCAAGCGATTCTCCTGCCTCGGCCTCCTGAGTAGGTGGGACTGCAGGTGAGCACCACCAGCCTGGCTAATTTTTGTACTTTTAGTAGAGACAGGGTTTCCCCATGTTGGTCAGGCTGGTCTCAAACTCCTGACGTCATGATCCGCTCGCCTCAGCCTCCCAAAGTGCTGGGATTACAGGCATGGGCCACTGCACCTGGCCCTGAAAAATTTCCTTTAACATTTCTTATTGTATAACTGTGCTAGTGATACTTTCTCTAAGCAATTTATTTTATCTGAAAATGTTTGGATTTTATCTTCATTTTAAGGATACTTGTGGTTGGATACAGAATTGTTAAGTTGACAGTATTTTTCCCTTTCAGCACCTTAGAGATGTCATTCAGTTATGTTTTGGTTTGTATCGTCTCTGATGAGAAGTCCGCAGTATTCTTACTGTTCTCCTGTATGTAATTCCTATTGTTCTCCTGTGTGTTATTCCCTGATGATTTTAAGATTTTTCTCATCTTTTGTTTTCAGCAGTTTGACTATGATGTGTCTAGGTGTAGTTTTCCACATGATTTTCCTGGATTTATTGGGCTTCTTGGATCTGTGGGTGATATCATTTTCATCAACTTTGGAATTTTTCAGCCATTATGTCTTCAAATACATTTTCTTTTCCAATCTCTCTACCTCCTTTTTTATGGGAATGCAAATACACATTTCTTAGACTGATTAATAATGTCCCACAAATTGCTAAAGTCCTGACTTTTTTTTTCCAAGCTTTTTTTCCTTCTGTGCTTCAGCTTGGGTACTTTTTATTTTATTTTAGACAGGGTCTCACTCGTTCTGTTGCCCAGGCTGGAATACAGTGGCATAATCATAGCTCACGACAGCCTCTACCTCCTGGGCTCAAGTGATCCTCCTGCCTCAGCTTCCCAAATAACTGGGACTATGGGCACATACCCCACGCCTGGCTAATTTCTTTTTTATTTTAGTGGAGATGAGGTCTCACCATGTTGCCCAGGCTGGTCTTGAACTCCTGAGTTCAAGGGATCCTCCAACCTCAGTCTTCCAAAGTGTTGGGGTTACAGGTGTGAGCCACTGTACCCAGCCTCACTTGAATACTTTCTATTGCCCTGACTGCATGTTCACTAGTCTTTATTTTTTTTTACAGCATCTGATCTACTATTAAACTCATCTAGCAAATTTTTCATCAGATGTTGTAATTTTCATCTAGAATTTTCCTTTAGTTCCATTTCTCTACTGACTTATTTTAAATCTTTAAACATATCTAAACAGTCAATTATCTTTTAAAGAAACGAAGAAATTTTTTAAAGTCATCTCTAGGTCTGTTTCTATTGACTGACTTTCTTCATAAACTGAGTACCTTTTCTACTGTTGGCTGGACACTGTCAATATGAAGTTGCTGACCATCTGAACTTTGTTTTCTTTCTTTCAAGAATGTTGAGTTTTGTTTTGATGCCTAATTTATTGGCCGATCAGCTTAATCTTCTTGAGAATTGTTTTGAAGCATTGTTAGGCTATGAAGTGATTTTAAGGATGGAAACCACATGCAAAAAATGGTGGGGTAGAAAAGCATACAGAATCTGGGTCCCTGATGACAATGTGGCACCAAACCACCCTGGTCCAGACCGACCTGTCTCTTGATTCTTTTTCTCTTATGTAACAAAGAGATAACATCTATCTTGAAGCCACTGTTATTATTGATCTCTACTACCAGCAGCTAAACACTATTTCTATTAAAATTAACAAGTATTTACTAAGTAGCAGGCCTTGTGCTAGGTGCTGAGGATAAAGCAGTTTACAAGATAAATGTGGCTCCTGCCCTCTTAAAGCTTTTAGTCTAGAGCAAGGATAGAGAACCATGACCCACAGGTCAAATCTATCCATTGCCTGTTTCTGCAAATAAGGTTTCTACTGAGACACAGCCACACCTGTTTGTCGATATATTATCTATGGCTGCTTTCCTTCCACAGAGTAGTTAAGACAGAGATGGTATGGTCCACAAAGCCTGCCTAGTCCCAGAAGGGTTTCCAACCCTTCTCTAGGATAGCAGTTCTTAAACTTTTTTTTTTTTTTGTATTTTCCAATCTCCCTTCAAAATTGGTGAGAAGAGTGGTATATTTTACATTTTTGCAAGTCTCCTCAATGTAATGTATGGTTTAATAGCAGACAGTGACTCCTAAGAGCTGCATTTGCATCAATCTGTTACAAAATCACATGTCATGTTGCCTACAGAAAACTCCACTGTATTCTTGTAAGAGGTTGAAAGTTAAAAAGGCAAGTAATTTCTTAGTATTATTATGAAGCTTTGACCTCGCAGATCTCCTGAGAGGATCTCAAATATTTCCAGGGATCACACTTCAAGAACTGCTGCTCTAGAAAAGTTCTAGGCTTCCTAGAACAGAAGAGGCTTAAAAGAGAAAAGAAAAACCTCCTGAGCTGACATTATGCAGAAATAACACGAGGTATTAACTAATTACAACAGAACAATTGATTCAAAAGAAAAGGATATCACCGGCTGGGCACCGTGGCTCACGCCTGTAATCCCAGCACTTTGGGAGGCAGAGGCAGGCGGATCACCTGAGGTCGGGAGTTTGAGACCAGCTTGACCAACATGGAGAAACCCTGTCTCTACTAAAAATACAAAATTAGCCGGGCGTGGTGGCACATGCCTGTAATCCCAGCTACTCGGGAGGCTGAGGCAGGAGAATCGCTTGAACCCAGGAGGCAGAGGTTGCAGTGGGCCGAGATCGTGTCATCATTGCACTCCAGCCTGGGCAACAAGAGTGAAACTTCGTCTCAAAAAAAAAAAAAAAAAGGATATTGCCCTATGAGAGAAGGCAAATACTGAACCTGTCCCCCTTCAGGGAGTTGGAGAATGATTTCTTGAGGAACTAACTTTTAAGCTGGGCCCTGAGAAGGAGGTTAACCAGATGAAGGCAGAAAAAGGCAGAAGTTCTTCTCTCCCTCAGTACACCTGATCTTCCTGCCTCGCTAAGGAAATTGGGTTAGGCTTTAAAGAAGGATCAGAGATGGAGATTACTTTCTCCCATGGCATCTCCTCTAGAAAAAGAACCTGGTTCTTCCCAGACCAAGTTGGAAATCCGCTCTGGGAAGAAAAGGGGAAGCTATAACTTAGGGTCCTTCTGATGCTCATGGAATTAATCCCGGTGGCACAAAAGCCCAGGTATCTCTGGGATGAGGGGGATGTCCTACCAAATACGGCACTGTATGGAGGCCCAAGTGCTGAGACTCAGGGGACGCAGGCCTGAGGACAGTTATGCAGGGTGCAGCGGCCTACGGTAACCCATGTAGCAACAGAAACCCTTAGCTAACTGCCGTAATTTAAGGCAATTAGGAGCCATTCATCATCCAGATGGCTATTGGCTCTAATCGTTACTGGCTGAAGGAACTATATATAGCAGCTACCTTTCCGCTCCATTCCCAGGCCTTGTTCCTGTCTTCTGGTTGCCAGTTCTGCACTCACTCATTCTTGAAACCAGACATGCCAAGTTCCAGGAGGGACATCGGACAGAAACTGCCCCTGTTCTTCTGCCCCTTGACACACCCACCTTTGGGGTGTGAAAACCCACCAGTTCCAGCCACCATCTCATTTCAGCCTCCCAAGGCCTTTGCTCTACTTGAAAAAGCCTCAGCAGAGAAGAAAGCCATCCCGGGAGGATGAAGGCAGCAGATTCTGCTCTGTTCACTGACAGCACTGATGCCCAGCACCTACCAAACACACAGAGTCTTACACATGTTATGGGACTTATCTCTATTAATTCACTGAGTTATCCTGGTAACCTGATGAGATTAGGTCACTTATCCCATTTCACAGACGGGAAACTGAAGCACAGAGAGGTCTTGTAACTGACTCAAAGTCACCAAGTTAGTAAGGAGAGCAGACAGGATTAAAACCTGGGAGTTTGGCTTCTAAGATCAGTTCCTTGAATGTTACACTCTACTGCCTTTCTAGCTTTGAAGTGGCATGAGGAGTTGGCTTTTTAAAAAGCATATGGGCCAGGTTCAGTGGTTAACGCCTATAATCCCAGCACTTTTGGAGGCCAAGCCAGGCAGATCACCTGAGGTCAGGAGTTTGAAACCAACCTGGCCAACATGGTGAAACTCCGTCTCTACTAAAAATACAAAAATTAGCCAGGCATGGTGGCGGGCGCCTGTAATCCCAGCTACTTGGGAGGCTGAGGCAGGAAAATCACTTGAATCTGGGAGGTGGCAGTTGCAGTGAGCTGAGATCGTGCTAGTGCACTCCAGCCTGGGCAACAGAGCAAGAAAACTCCATCTCAAAAAAAAAAAAAAAGTGTATATATAAATGCTCAACATCACTCATCACTAGGGAAATGCAAACCAAAACCACAATGAAATACCACTTCATACCCATTAGGTTGGCTACTATTAAAAAAATAAAAATAAAACAATAATAAGTGTTGATGATGACGTGGAGAAATTGGAACCCTTCTGCACTGCTAGTGGGAATGTAAAATAGTGGAAAACAGATGGCAGTTTCTCGAAAAATTAGAAATAGAATTACCAGGCCAGGCACAGTGGCTCATGCCAGTAATCCCAACACTATGGGAGGCCAAGGTGGGCGGACTGCTTTGAACTCAGGAGTTCAAGACCAGCCTGAGCAATGTGGCAAAACCTTGTCTCTACTAAAAGTACAAAAATGAGCTGGGTGCAGTGGCTCACGCCTGTGGTCCCAACTACTCAGGAGGCTGAGGCTGGAGGATCACTTGAGCCAGGAAGTAGCGGCTGCAGTAAGCTAAGATCGTACCACTGCACTCCAGCCTGAGAAAGAGACCTTGTCTCAAAAAAATAGATAAATTACCATGTGATCTAGCAATTCTCCTTCTGGGTATGTACCTAACAGAATGGAAAGCAGGGGCAACAAACACATATTTATTTATTTATTTATTTTTGAGATGAAGTCTATGTTGCCCAGGCTGGAGTGCAGTGTTGCAATCTCGGCTTACTGCAACCTCTGCCTCCTGGGTTCAAGTGATTCTCCTGCCTCGGCCTCCCGAGGAGCTGGGATTACAGGCACCCGCCACCACGTCCAGCTAATTTTTGTATCTTTAGTAGAGATGGGGTTTCACCATGTTGGCCAGGCTGGTCTCAAACTCCTGACGTCAGGTGATCCACTCACCTTGGCCTCCCAAAGTGCTGGGATTAGAGGCGTGAGCCACCACGCCCGGCTAACACATATTTATACACGTATGTTCACAGCAGCATTGTTCACAAGAGCCAAAATGCAGAAGCAACCCAAGTGTCCACCAACAGATGAACTGATTAACAAGACGTCGTGTATATGTGTGTATGTATGTGTATATATTGCAACACATTGTATGTATATACATCTCACATATGTACGTACAATGAAACATTATTCAGCTTTAAAAAGGAAAGAAATTCTGACACAGCCGACAACATAGATAAACCTTGAGAACATTATGCTAAGTAAAATAGCCAGTCACAGGCCAGGCATGGTGGCTCATGCCTGTAATCCCAGCACTTTGGGAGGCCAAGGCGGGCAGATCACCTGAGGTTAGAAGTTTGAGACCAGCCTGGCCAACATGGTGAAATCCTATCTCTACTAAAGATACAAAAATTAGCCAGGTGTGGTAGCAGGTGCCTGTAATCCCAGCTATTTGGGAGGCTGAGGCAGGAGAATAGCTTGAACCCAGGAGGTGGAGGCTGCAGTGAGCTGAGACCACGCCATTGAACTCCAGCCTGGGCAACAAGAGCGAAACTCCATCTCAAAAAAAAAAAAAAAATAGCCAGTCACAAAAAATGACAAATACTCTAAGATTTCACTTATATGAGGCAGTCAGAGAAGTCAAATTCATAGAGACAGAAAGTAGAAGTTTTCAGAGTTTCAGTTTTGCAAGATGAAGAGCGTTCTAAAGATGGATGGTGGTGATGGTTGCACAATATGAATGTAGTTAACACCACAGAGCTGTACATCGGAAATGGTTAAAATGGTAAATTTTATATTACATATATTTTGCCACAATTAAAAATAAATTTTTAAAAAGTAAACTAAGAAAAGGTATCTGTGTAATAGATCTCAGAACCTTTATTATTGTAATTAAGGTAAAAATTATACAATCTTATAAAAAATTGGGAGCTGGTAACATTTCTGAACTTCTGGAACCAAGAGAACATTTGCAAACAGATTAAGTGTTGTGGACTTTCCATGATCTGCAGGCCAAGCCAAAGAGGTGATTAGCAGGCTTAAACTACTGATTTCTAATCAGAAAGTTAAAAAAAAAAAATCATACTTTATCAAAGAGAGCAGCAACAAAGGGCCAATAAACCCAGGAGTTACACAATAGAAGCTGAATTGTGCAGTATACCAAGACCCTCGGGTCTCTCCAGCACTGCATTCCTATCTGTGAACGTGTTCTCAGAAAGCCAGGATTTTCATGACGTCACTGGGCTATTGCATTACACTGATAACGCATCATTCAACACTGTATGACCTCTCACAAAGGCAGGCAGTGACTCTGAATGAAAATGAGGACATCTGGAAGGACATATTCTAGGAGTCATTAGGCAATTAGATCTAAACTGTCCCAGTCCACTTGCCTCTCCTTCCCACATAATCCAGCCTTTTAATCTCTCCAGTAAGCTAGGATCCTGGGAATACTGAGGAGCAGGACTTCTTTCTCTCTGAAAAGGCCTCTGTGTTCACATTTCTCAATAGCTGTATATCCTAAGAGGGCAGGAGGCAATGGGGGAAATAGGACAGGATGCCTTGGTGGGGGAAGTCCTGGGTTCAGTGCCTGGGAACTGACAAGAAGCATGGGTCTGGAGAGTCATCGCAGCCCTGTCTACTCTGCACCCCACTACCATCCTGCCAACCCCTGGGCCACACCTCCCATCCTCACTGTCCAACAGAGCAGGATCTGTGGGATCTGGCTGCGAGCTCCAGGAAGGAGGCAGGACTTCCTCCAGTGCCTGAATTCCAGGCACTGCACCCCGGAGAGTGCGAGAGCTTAACTAATTCTCAAATCAGGACACACAGACAAACGCTCTGAGAAATGTCAGAGAACTCAAGGAGGGTGAGTGATGTCACATCAACACGCCAAATACCTTGAGACAATGCAGCACTGGCAGGCACTTGGCTGCGAAGTCAGAGAGCCCAGACTGAAACCCCAACCCTCTTGCCAACTTGCTGTGTGACCTCGGTAAGTTCCCTAACCTCTCTGGGCCACAGCTGCCTCATCTGGAAGGTGAGGACAAGTGAAAATGTAAATGTCTATAAAATCCCTCAGTACGTGGCAGCTATCACTACTGCCGGGTGAGGTTTCCACAGCATCTAACAAGATTTTTGAACTATATTGTCACTTTACTCTTTTTTGAATATGAAATCTTGACCAAATGATAACAATGTACTATTTTCTTCCTGGAGGCAAATCAAGTGTAATTTGGTGAGAAGGGAAGAGAAAGGGAATGGGTTCAGAAACAACATTCTCATAAAGAAAAAAGCACAAAAGAAACTCAGTAATTGCCAAAACCTTGTAATACCTGACTCCCTCATGGAATCCCAGCAAATTTCAGAAGGATTCGGATACAGCCCATGTTGAACTAAAGCTGGAGTCTCCCCTTGGACCAATTCAATTCCAGAAGCATTTGCTAGGGCCTGCTGTGCACTTAGCCCTCAGCTGCTCGGCCCTGCTGCCTACAACCCAGCCAGTCCTTTCTTTCTCTTCAAGTAACCAAGGGGTTCTTCACCTACTGCAGACGTAGAGGGCAGGCTGCCCTCACCTGGACCTCCTGGGCTGAGTCCCCTGAGGTCACAGCAGTCTGGGCTGACCCTAGAGTCTCGCTAGGTCAGGCCTCTCCTTTCCAAAGCCACCCTGCCCGGAGCCAGCCCCACAAAAACACCCCCAGCCCTCACATACATGCAGATAAGCGAGCCAGCTTCCAGGAGGCACCCTGGACTGGTAAAGCAGGTTTCTGGTGCTCAGCTTGTTAAGAATAAGGAAATGCATTTTGTTTTTCAGAGCCAGGTGATGGACAATGTCCTTTCGATCCCAGGCACCTGCTCTCCCTTCACTGATGCGATGAAGACAGCCTGTCTGGGGCTGCTGGTATCTTTGTTTGATTTCTGTTGGGTCAACAGTTACCAGTTTGGCAAATAGCAATTGCGAGCCTCACAGAGAAAATCGTGGTCGCAAATTCTGAGAAACGCTGAGGGGGAAGGACTCTTGGGAGTTTCATGGTCCAATAGTTCTATTCTTCAGCTTCTCCTGCCTGAAAAGAGGGGGGAGGCCTGAGCATTCTAGCTGTCCTGGGTTTGGGGTCAGCCCTGGGACTGGAAAACTGTTCTTTCATCTGTTTTTCTGTAGCAGGAAGAATGTCAAGCTATGGAGTCTCCCTGAAATACAGACAGGGATCTGAGCTTACACCAGGGACACCGCAGTCCCAAACAGGTGGGCTGTGCCTCCTGCCAGCCAGAGCCTTGGCCTCTTCTTGGGTCTGATGCTCGCCCTCTGGCCCCAGACTTGACCTAGGAGTTCAGACTCACCAGGAGAGGAGTCAGAAGGTGACAGCTTCTTAACGGGAAGCGACCATTCGTCACCCCTACTCTGTAGCCCTTCCGTTGCCGCTCAGCACCCTTCACTTGCACTGATTCCTTTCTTAGTACCAATTATAGGCAAAACTTTCTGCTGGGCCTGGAGAGACTGGGCAGGATGCTTCCCCATTCAGGGGAGCAGTCAGGCAGAAAGAAACTACTACTTTGTGGTAGATTCATATTAGGAGAAAACACAGTGGGCCCCTACACAAGATGGGACAAAGATGGCAAGGAAGGCTCCCAGGGAGAGGTGGCCCTTCAGCTGAAGTTCACCAGGTGGGGCAGCACAGGGAGGTAGTATCAGAGCGCAGCGGGCACACGGTGTTGACACAAAGGAACGATCAAGCAAAGGGGCAAAGAGAGTGAGAGGTTTTCGAGATTAAGGTGTATTAGAATCATCTGGGTAGCATATAAAAATGCAGTTCCCAGAAGCCCCACTGGGATTCTGATTCAGTAGGCTTAGGGTGGCGGCCCAGGAATCTGCATTTTACAAGCTCCTCTGGGGAGTCTAAAGCAGGAAGTCTGTGGACCACACTCTGAGAAAGCCTGCTTTGAAGGAATGGAAAAAAAAAAAAAAAGTTATTTGTGGCTTTGATGGAATATTGGTTTATTTTCCTGGAATGTTCCCAAAGGGACTTTGGACAGCTCACTAATGACTCGTTCTTCAGTCATGTTACACAGACATACATGCCAACGTCAAACAAACTGGAAATGAATCTGGGGGGTGTCAGCAGCCTCCCTCACACCAACGGACTGAGTGTCTTCTGAGACGGGCGGGGGAGTGTTATCTCAGGAATGTGTTGGGGCAAGGTCCGTGCTTCCGATAAAATGCTGTGCACAGGTGAGCCAGGGCCTGGCGAGGGCAGTGTCCTAATCCCTGATGGGAAAGCCCTCTGGAATCTGGCCACACCTCCTGCCACCCTCATGCCAGGAAAGGTTAGTTGCTTCACGAGCCTCTCAGACTCTCTCTGCAGCCCGTGAATGGCTCCTTGTCCCCACCTGTACCCAGTCCCACACCTGGAGCCCACCTCTGGCTTCCCAGGACTGCTCCAGGCTCAGGTTCCCCCTGGCTGGGGCCAGGGTTTATGTTTAGGGGTCCCAGCTCACCCAACCAAAGCCTTGGCCCAAGGCATCATTGTGCTAGTCCCCTCACAGCAATATTTCTTTCCTTTTTTTTTCTTTTTTTGAGATGGAGTTTCACTCTTGTTGCCCAGGCTTGAGTCCAATGGCGCAATCTCGGCTCACTGCAACCTCCGCCTCCTGGGTTCAAGTGATTCTCCTGCCTCAGCCTCCTGAGTAGCTGGGATTACAGGTGTGCACCACCACACCTGGCTAATTTTGTGTTTTTAGTAGAGATGGGGTTTCTCCATGTTGGTCAGGCTGGTCTCGAACTCCCAACCTCAGGTGATCCACCCGCCTCAGCCTCCCAAAGTGCTGGGATTACAGGCATGAGCCACCATGCCTGGCCCCCTCACATCAATACTTCTCCCAGGCAGCCTGTGACTTACTTTGCCAGCTCAACTCCCTGCCTGGGAAACTTATTGTAGACTCCAGTTCCTCCTTGTCCTTTTCTTCCCTCTGTTCTCTGAGGACTGAAATCCTGCCTCTGTGCCTGCCACCTCATTGCTTATTAGAGCCAACAGGCACCACCCTGCCATGAGTGCTCCCACCTCTGGCTGGCCCTCATCCGCTGTCCCGTGTTCTGTAGCCCTGGTGACCTCCTGCATAGCCTGAGACTGCTCTGACCTTTGGCACCTGACCTTCTTGGTAGATGCACTGAGACCTCAGGACCTTGCATTTTCTCTGCAGGTGTGAACCCCTATCAATTGAGCTCCATCGCCCCACCCGGCTTCAATCTCTTATTTCACATGGGGCTCTGGGAATAAGCTGCGAAGCTCCTTTCTCTAGATAGTATTTATAGCTGGTTGTAAAAGTCCACTGTTTATTGATACCACAAGTATGTAGTGTGCCCTAAATCTGAACTAGAAAGAGGCACAGGCAGCCACAAAAGAAAAAAAGAAAAACAACAGAAGTAGTATTGAATAGTCAGTGCTACTCAATGTTAACATGCGTAAGTACCTCTGGGGATCTGGTTAAAATTCACATTCTGATTCAGGGGATCTGGGGTGCAGCCCGGGATTCTGCTTTTTTTTTTTTTCGTTTTTGAGACAGTCTCGCTCTGTCACCCAGGCTGGAGTGCAGTGGTGCAATCTCGGCTCACTGCAACCTCCACCTCCTGGGTTCAAGCAATTCTCCTGCCTCAGCCTCCTGAATAGCTGGGATAACAGATGCCCGCCACCACGTCTGGCTAATTTTTGTATTTTTAGTAGAGACGGGGTTTCGCCATGTTGGCCAGGCTGGTCTCAAACTCCTGAACTCAGGTGACCCACCCATCTCGGCCTCCCAAAGTTCTGGGACTACAGGCATGAGCACTGTGCCCGGCTGGGATTCTGCATTTCTAATAAACTCCCAGGCAATGCTGACGTGCTGGTCCACGGCCCACACTTCAAGTAGCAAGAGGGTAGGAATCACACAGACAAACAGGAGTTTGCCACAGGGGTTTGAGGCAGAAACCACCAGGCCCTGTGAACTGCCATGAGCATTCAGAGCAATTTACTTTCAAAGTTCTGAGAAAGAATGTCCTTAGGCTGGGCACAGTGGCTCATGCCTGTAATCCTTGCACTTTGTGAGGCCGAGGCGGGTGAATCACTTGAGGTCAGGACTTCGAGACCAGCCTGGCAAACATGACGAAACCCTGTCTCCACTAAAAATACAAAATTAGCCAGGTGTGGTGGCACACGCCTGTAGTCCCAGCTACTCGAGAGGCTGAGACAGGAGAATTACTTGAGTCTGGGAGATGGAGGTTGCAGAGATCATGCCATTGCAATCCAGCCTGGGCAACAGAGCTAGACTCTAAAAAAAAAAAAAAAAAAAAAAAGTACTTAGGATACCAGTCACCCATGACCTACCCTGAGTGGGCAGCTGCTGCGGTTGGCACCACATGACCCCTGACGTCTCCTGTACCAAGTGATAGTCCAGCTCAAGGCTGGCTCTGTGATATTTTCAACTCAGCATCTCTCATGATTTGCAGCAGCTGAGCTGAAGGGTTAGGAGGCATAGGCTGGGGCCATGAAGTCCATTGCGGTCACCTGCAAACTAATGCTGTGATACTGTAATAACCATTAACATTTTAAAGCATTTATGATGAGCCTTGCTTCTCTGCTAAATGCCTTAAATAAGATAATCCATGCTTAATTCTCACAACAACCCTTCAAAGTAGATGGCAGTTTAAGACCACAAGCTCTGGAGCCAGACAACTTGAGCTTGAATCCTGGCTTTGCCACTTTCTAGCTGTGCGACCTTGGGCAAATTACTCAATCCCCCTGTGCCGCCACGTCTTCATCTCTAAATAACGACAATATTAGTACCTTTCTCAGAAGGTTGGTATGATGGTTAGTTGAGCTAATAAATATAAAACAGTTAGAACTGTGCTTTGCACTCAATAAAATCTTGGTTATTGTTCCTTTTTTTTTTTTTGAGACGGCGTCTCGTTCTGTCACCCAGGCTAGAGTGTAATGGTGCAATCTCGGTCACTGTAACCTCTGTCTCCCAGGTTCAAGTGATTCTCCTGCCTCAGCCTTCTGAGTAGCTGGGATTACAGGCATGCACCACAATGCCTGGCTAATTTTTGTATTTTTTTTTTTTTAGACTGAGTCTTGCTCCGTCACCCAGGCTGGAGTGCAGTGGCACGATCTCAGCTCACTGCAACCTCTGCCTCCCAGGTTCAAGAGATTCTCCTGCTTCAGCCTTCTGAGTAGCTGGGATTACAGGTGTGCGCCACCATGCCCGGCTAATTTTTGTAATTTTTTTTTTTTTTTAGACTGAGTCTTGCTCTGTTGCCTAGACTGGAGTGCAGTGGCACAATCTCGGCTTACTGCAACCTCTGCCTCCCAGGTTCAAGCAATTCTCCTGCCTCAGTCTCCTGAGTAGCTAGAACTACAAACACCTGCCACCACACCCAGCTAATTTTTTGTATATCATTTTTAGTAGAGATGGGGTTTTGCCATGTTGGCCAGGCTGGTCTTGAACTCCTGACCTCAGGTGATCCACCTGTCTTGGCCTCCCAAAGTGCTGGGATTACAGACGTGAGCCACTGTGCCTGGTCTATTATTACCCTTAGCCTTATTTTTACAAAGCAAGGGAACAGGCTCAAAGTGATTAAGCAGCTTGCCGAGGGTCACACGCTAGTAAGAGGCAGAACTGACTCATAAATGAGGGTTTTAGGAGGCAGAGGAAACCATGACATAGGTGGGTAGGTATAGAGGGAGGTGTGGGGAGATGCTGCTGCCTCGGTTCCTCACACCTCCCTGTTGCAGCCCGCACCTGCCCAGCAGCAGGGGCCGCTATTCCTTGCCTGAGATTCCTGTGCTTTTTTCCAGAGCCATCTTGTATGGGCCTCTGTAGCCTTCGACCAGAAAGGGCCTGACTTGAAGCAGACCCCTTCCTGCTGGAAGTAGGGAGGGAGGCAGATGACAGATGTCCCATGGAGCAGGAGGCACTAGGTGCTGCCTGGGAGGGGAGGGGAGGAGTCAATGCATACAGGTGGGGCTGGTGAGCTGCAGTCCAGCAGGAAGAATGGCAAAGTGTAGGGCATGCTTGGGAACTGACACCAACCCAGGTAGGCTAGAAGCCAAGGACCAATGAAGAGAACTCAGCAACCATGGCTACCAATTATTGGCACCTGCAAGGGTGATGGGCACTCTGCAAAGTGCTTTACTTTATTTATTCAGTTTAATCCTCATAAAAACTGCATGAACTAGTGTGGTTATGTAAGAGAACAACCTTATTTCTTAGGAAATTCACACCAATGTATTTAGCAGTAAAAAGAAACGTATCTCCAAGTTATGCTTTTTTTTTAGACAGGGTCTCCCTCTGTCACCCAGGCTGGAGTGCAGTGGCACAATCATGGCTCACGGCAACCTCGACCCCCTGGGTCCAAGTGATCCTTCCACCTCAGCATTCCACAAGATGATGGAACCACAGGCATGCACTACTATGCCTGGCTAATTCTTTTATTTTTTGTGCAGACAGAGGTCTCCCTATGTTGCCCAGGCTGGTCTTGAACCCCTGGGCTCAAGCTATCCTCCCACCTTGGCCTCCCAAAGTGCTGAATTTACAGGCATGAGCCACTCTGTGCCTGGCCTCCAACTTACTCTTAAATGGTGTTTGTTTGTACATAAATATTTTATATATATCTATAAATGATATACATTATATGTACAATTTCTATATCTTTGGATACATTATATATACTCAGAGATACAGAAATGGGGTGTATATATATATATACACACACACAATTTAAATGGTTTAGATAAATAATTATATATAATATATTCAGAGAGAAAGAATAAGAGAATATAAGGTAAATGGTCAACGCAAAAAAACTGGTAAATCTGGGTAAAGGGTATATGGAAATTTCTTGTACTATTTTTGAAATTTTCCTATATGTTTGAAATATTAAAATTAAAGAGATACAAAAATATTACAGGGGAAAGGTCTTCTTAAGACACTTAAAAATAGGATGAAGTAAACACTATCATTCTCATTCTTACAGATGAGGAAAGTGAGGCAAAATATGAGATGCTTAGAAGATAAGGGTGAGACCAGCTTCGAGAAGGTCAGCAGTGTGTCCCCCAGCACCCCAAGGGGACAGGGAAGGGGGAGGGCTGGTCAGCGCTGGGTTGTGTTAGACTGAGCTGGTACCCTCTCATGGTAATGGCAGAAAAGGCAAGAGGCGAAGTTGTTTGAGACCAGAATGGGATTCAGTTTTCGATTTGTTGTAGTTTGTCGTGCTTGTCTAGACACAGAAATGATGTCCAGTGGGTACCTAGAAACAGACACCTGTGGCTTCATGGCAGAGGAGGTGGTTGAGGGCTTGGGGACACAGGACACCCCTAGGGAAGAGCAAAGAGGGAGAGGTCTCCATGTTCTACTAAGACAGAGGGAGAGGTCTCTATGTTCTACTTAGAGGGAGAGGTGTCTATTTTCTACTAAGACAGAGGGAGAGGTCTCTATTTTCTAAGACAGAGGGAGAGGGGTCTATTTTCCACTAAGCTTCTATAGGAATAAACAGAAAAGGAATGAGGTGTCAGAGCCTGCAAAAGAAAGGGTGGCAGAACTTGGCAGCTAGATGAAGGAAGAAGGAATGGAGATGGATGTTTCTGGAAATAGGGGCTGCCTGTGGAGAGGGGGCTGGGTAGGTAGGGACCAGGTGTGAGGAAGATCTACATTCCACTATGCACCCTTTGGACCTTAAGCATGGGAACCATGCCTATGTTGTAATCATTACAGAGATACCGTCTCACGGTAATGGCAAAAAAGGCCAGAGGCAAAGTTGTTTGAGACCAGGACTGGATTCAATTTTCGATTTGTTGTTTGCGGTGCTTGTCTAGACACAGAAATGTCCAGTAGGTACCCAGAAATGGGCACCGGAGGCTTCATGGCAAAGGATGTGGTTGAAGGCTTGGGGACACAGGACACCCCTAGGGAAGAGCAAAGAGGGAGAAGAGTGCAAAATGCCCCACCTCCTCTGGATGAGGATGACCCTGTAAAGGAAGGGAGTTGGGAGCACTGCTAGGTGCTACAGGAGGTCAAGGAGGATACCACTGTGTGGCCCCTGGTGACACTTCTGGAACCTCGCTCTGAGGCTGGGGTGGGAGAAGGAGGGATGGAGGTGCTGAGGCATGAATGGGGGCAGTGGAGGCAGTGGATGTGGGACTCTTCTATGTTCTTCAGGTAAAGGGGCACCAGGTGGGGTTTGCAGATTGAAGACTTCTTCTTGGAGAGGGAGCCCCTGAGCATACTGGAGAACTGAAAGTCCATGAAAGACTGAAGAAAGGAAGAGATTGTTTTGATGTGAGGACCAAGAAGTGGGCCAGGTTGTGGAGGAGGCTGAAGGGATTCTAGCTGGGTCTCTACATTGATTTGCAATTTGGCACAAATCTATTCCCTTGATCAGTGGTTCTCAAACTGAAGATTCCATCAAAATCACTTGGAGGTTCTCTTTACAAATGTGGAGTCTGGGTTCCACCTCCAGAGATTCTGACTGGGGTAGGGCCTTGGAACCTGCATTTGAGCCACTCTCTTTAGAAGTTCAGATGCACGTGGCCAACAGATGACACTGCCTTGAGAGCTCCTCTGCCAAGGTCAAGAAAAAAACATTGCTTGTTGCCAATAAAGTGCCATGAACTCCTGCGCAAAATGATGAAAACTCCAGTTGAAGAGGCATCACTATAGATGTATTTTATTTAAAGCTAAAAGCAAACTCAGTTTTTCTGACTACAGAACTTTCTAACTTTATCCTCTGACCTTTGGAGCCAGTGACAAGGCCTGTTATTTTCCAATCCAGCATGCTCTGATTTTCCTAATCTGTAATTATTTTGCTTGTTTTTATTATTTGTCTGTAAGATCCATGTAGGGTGACAGCAATTCACTGCTCTGCCTTTTCCTAGCACAGTTCTCAAAGAAGGGATGGCTTTCTTTGGTTTCAGTTTTAACCAATGTGCTGCAGAAGTGGAAGGTAACCCATGCACGGCTAAAGCCACCTCCTGCTTGCAAGGCTCAGACTGAAGACCCACTTGACTTCTAGTGAGTGAACCCTAAACACACATTCTTTCTGAAGGATGTTCTATTGGGCAAGCAGGAATGCTGCAGACCAAGCCCACAGGCCGTTCAGGCACCAAACAGTCAAAGGCAAACTTGGTTCTCACGAAGCCTTTCATACCAAATAAGCAGATGGAGACCCCTTGAGCAGAACAGTCCATAAAAAGAAGGGTGAAATTGGCCGGGCATGGTGGCCCACACCTGTAATCCCAGCACTTTGGGAGGCCAAGGTGGGCAGATCACGAGGTCAGGAGATCGAGACCAGCCTGGCTAACATGGTGAAAACCCACTTCTGACTCTACTAAAAATACAAAAAATTAGCTGGGTGTGGTGGCAGGCACCTGTAGTCCCAGCTACTAGGGAGGCTGAGGCAGGAGAATCGCTTGAACCCTGGAGGCGGAGGTTGCAGTGAGCCAAGATCGCACCACTGCACTCCAGCCTGAACAACAGAGCGAGACTCTGTCTCAATTTAAAAAAAAAAAAAAAAAAAGGGTAAAATCAAAGATGTTGATCGCCACCACAGATGAGGGCATTTGGTCAAGGAAATGATTCCTTGGAGGGATTTTGAAAAACCAAATGTACTCAGAAAAAGAGCTCACTCACCTTGTTCATGGAGAGAGGGATATCTGCTAAACTAAGGGTAGAACAAGCAAAGACCAAGCAAAGACAGACACTGTACAACTGGAAGAAAGTGCCAATGAAGGAATCACAGCAGTGAAAGACGCTCTAGTCTAAATCACCAGGACTAGTTCGGGGTTGCTCTCCTTGACATCCTGGCCTGACCTACGTGATGGTAAAGAACATGCATCTGTGGGGGCAGACAGACTGGTTTTGCATGTCAGTTCTGCCACTTATTAGCTACGCAACCTTGGGCAAGTTTTCAACTTTCTAAGCTTCAATTTCCTCATCTGCAGAATGGAGATGGTTCTTACCTCATAGGGTTGCTATGAGAATTAAACTGGGCGATGCATTCAAAGCACACAGCCCAGAGCTTGGCACAACCTAGAGTTGTAATAAATATTAGCAATTATTAGTTCCTGTCCACAGGCTGCGATCTATATGGTGGTAGTGTCTGCAACCCATTTTCTTGGAGTCTCGAAGATGTAGATTATGTGCATAAAATCCAAACCAGGTTCAGCAAATGAAAGGAAGGCCTAGCCCCCAGGCTTACAACTCTAAAGTAGCTTAGACTGGCTGGGCGTGGTGGCTTACGCCTATAATCCCAGCACTTTGGGAGGCCAAGATGGGTGGATCACCTGAGGTCAGGAGTTCCAGACCAGCCTGGCCAACATGGCGAAACCCCATCTCTACTAAAAATACAAAAATTAGCTGGGTGTGGTGGTGCATGCCTATAATCCCAGCTACTCAGGAGGTTGAGGCAAGAAAAGTACTTGAACCCAGGAGGCAGAGGTTGCAGTCAGCTGAGATTGTGCCACTGCACTCCAGCCTGGGCCACAGAGCAAGACTCTGTCTCAAAAACAAATAAATAGAAAATAAAGCAGCTTAGATCAATTTATTCAAAAGCATTACTGCTGCAGTGGGAGTTGAAGATTTTCACATTATGGCAAAAGGAGCCCAAATATCTTTGATTCTTCACCCATCAGGAAAAAAATAAGAAGATAGGCATAGAAGAGGGGAAATTACCAAACAGCAAGGTAACTGACATTCCCCCAAATATTTATTTTTATTTTTTAAGATGGAGTCTCGCTCTGTAGCCCAAGCTGGGGTGCAATGGCACAATCTCAGCTCACTGCAACCTCTGCCTCCTGGGTTCAAGCGATTCCCCTGCCTCAGCCTCCCGAGTAGCTGGTATTACAGGAGTGTGCCACTACACCTGGTCAATTTTGTATTTTTAGTAGAGACAGGGTCTCACCATGTTGGCCAGGCTGGTCTCGAACTCCTGACCTCACATATCTGCCCACCTCAGCCTCCCAAAGTGTTGGGATTACAGGCGTGAGCCACTGCACCCGGCCATCTCCCAGATATTTACTTCTCCACCTCCTGCAACTATTTTTTAAATACTTCCTGAATCATCTCAATTTTTCCAAGTAAAACTATACATATTAGGTTTTAAAATATCTCATATTCCTATGGCACTTGTCCCCTTTACAAGGTACTTTCATTTAATCTCATTCAAACTCTACAAATGTTTGTAAGGAAGGCAGATATTTACCTACAGCTATGCTTCTCCAATCTGGCTGCAACCTAGAATTAACTAGGGACTTTCTAGAAATTCCATGCTCAGGCCATACCACAGACCAAGTAAACCAGAATCTTTGGGGGTGGGCCAGGCATGGGTATTTTTAGTTGTCCCCTCCAGTGATCTGACGAGTCTAATATGTAGCAGAAGCTGGGAACCACTAACTGTTCCTTTTGTTCCCCCAGCTCCAAAGACACCTCCTCATCTCCTTGTAGAAAGGAGATCAAGACTCCTTATTCGTCCATTGCAGAGCTAAGGAAACCAGGGCTCAGGAAGGTTAAGTGGTTTGCTGCTAAGAGGAAGGGCCAGAAACAGAATCCAAAACTCCGGACCCGGGGAGCATTCAACCCTGGCTTAATGTGCTTCTACTGCATGCCAGCCACTGAGCTATCCATTAACCAAGAATAGAAAAGACGCAGGAAATTATGCCATTCTATTACGGCACAGGATGCTATGGAGCCTGGGCTGGGGAGGTGGGGAAGGTGTTTCTAAACTTCATTTGTAAGCTGAATCTTAATGCCAAGAAGACGTGAGGCGATGGTGAGGGCCTGGAGAAGGGAGTGTGGAGGTTCAGAGTGGCCAGCAAGGATTTGGGAATGATATTAAAAATGTTCCTAAGTTGGCCAGGCGCAGTGGCTCATGCCTGTAATCCCAACACTTTGGGAGGCCAAGGCAGGCAGATCACCTGAGGTCAGGAGTTTGAGACCAGACTGGCCAACATGGCAAAACTCCATCTCTACTAAAAAAAAAAAAAAAAAAATACTGGGCCAGGCACAGTGGCTCATGCCTGTAATTCCAGCATTTGGGAGGCTGAGGCGGGTGGATCACCTGAGGTTGGGAGTTCGAGACCAGCCTGACCAACATGGAGAAACCCTGTCTCTACTAAAAATACAAAATTAGCTGGGCATGGTGGCACATGCCTGTAATCCCAGCTACTCGGGAAGCCGAGGCAGGAGAATCATTTGAACCCAGGAGGCAAATGTTGCGGTGAACTGAAGTCGCACCATTGCACTCCAACCTGGGTGAGAGTGAGACTCCACCTCAAAAAAAAAAAAAAAAAGTTCATAAGCTAATTAAGACCATTTCAACTGGCTGTGTGCACCTGTGCTCAGGCGATTCTGCAATCCTGGCCAGCGTCTGCCATTCAACCACTAACAAAATATCTCAGGTCTTTCTGGGTGCACTTAGCCAGTGGTTTACAGACTTGAGTGGGCAGCAGAGTTACCCAGAGAGCTCATGAAAACCCAGATTGCTGAGCTGTACCCCCAGAGTTTCTGATTCAGTTGGTCTGACATGGGACATGAGAATGTGTTTCTAACAGGTTCTCAGGTGAAGCTGATATACTGGTCTGGAGCCACACTGAAGAACCATTGTACGAGGGCAAAAACCTTAGAGGGCCTCGTGACCAGTGAAGAGGCTGAAGAAAAACCCAAGGTCCTCCACTGGCTGCTGGTAAATGTTTGTTTTATATCAGCAATAGAAATAAACCACTTACATTTGTTTTGAAACTCCTTGAGCTATTAAGACACTTCTTAATATTCCTGTCCAGCAAAAGTCATTGTCTACTAGGAAGAAGTCTATCTTCTTAGGCATGACCAGTTTTTCCAGGGGACATTTTGCTCAGAGAGAAACAAGAAGTGGTTTACATCCAAAAAATCTGGTCCTCAAAATAAACGAATTGAGCAGTAACTCTGTAACTATAGAGAAAGTTATCAAATATATTATGGGGACTGTAATGGCTGCCATTAGAACTGCCTGGTCAGTGGAACTTGAATATAATGAGAGATGTCTAATGTGATTATTACTAACTCTATGAGATGGATTCTAATTTATTCTCATTTTGCCGGTGAAGAAATGAAGGCTCAAAAAGATATAAGTAACTTTGACCAAGGTCACAGAACCAGCAAGTGACAAAGGTATGTAAAGCTGAAGCAGTGGTCTAGGGGAATAGCGGTGGATAAGGCCTCCCTAGAGGGCTGAAGTGAGGATTCCATGAGAGGAGGGATTTGCTTTTCCTCAAAACCACCTCCCTGCACTTCCTGGAGTTGAAGTAGGGAAAGTCCCCTGGGGTGAAGGAGCCCAGGGACCCTTCCTCTCCCGAGCAGCTCAGCGCAGGGGAGTCCTGGCTCAGTTCCACTGAGAAACAGGGAGGGCAATTTCCTCTGATCCTGCTGTGGCCATGAAAATACAAATTCTATACATTCTAATGAAAGAGAAGTCCCTTCGGTCTTCTGGAATCCCCTTAGATTGGCTGCTTCCCCTTGCTTGCCTGCTTTCTTCTTGAGATGATCTCACTCTGTCACCCAGGCTGGACTGCAATGATGTAAACATGGCTCACTGCAGCCTTGACCTCTTGAGATCAAGCGATCCTCCCACCTTAGCCTCTGGTGTAGTTGGGACTATAGGTGTGGACCACCATGCCCAGCTCATTTTTTGAATGTTTGTAGAGATGGGCAAGAAAGTGAGATCCCACTTTCTTGTCCAGGCTGGTCTCAAACTCCTGGGCTCAAACTATCCTCCTGTATCAGACTCCCAAAGTGCTAGGATTATAGGTGTGAGCTGCCACACCTGGCCTCCTGTGCCTTATTTCTTAATGAACAAGAAAAACCCACAGGATTTTGCTACTGGTCAGGCTTTGGTCAGCAAAACAAAAGAACATGATATATGGTCCTCATAATCACAGTGATGCAGGTAGACAGTGTTGGCTCATGAGACCATTTTCTTTAGCCCTCTTAGCATAGGGAGGACGAAGTTACTTCGTTTGTCTTCAGTTTCCTTGTCTGCAAAACGGGGATAATTGAGTACCCTCTCCTAGGTTATTATAAGGAGTCAATGAGTCAGTGTATTAGTTGGTTGGTATGAGTTGGGTCAAGCCAGCATCATCATCTGGGGACCTGCAGGAAATGCACATTCTTGGGCCCCATCCAGATCCACTGACTCAAACTGAGTATTTAACAAGACCTCCAGGTGGTTCTGATGTTTCCTCAAGTTTGACAAACACTGCATTTGAAAGTAAGCTCCATGAGGACAAGGATTTTTGTTGGTTTAATCCCTGCTGAACCCCCAGTGCCAAAACAATGCCTGGCATATTACAGGTACACTATCCAACAAATATTTGTTAAATGACTGAACGTGTCCAGATGAAACAGGAGAGGAAGAAAAACAGACTCAGAGAGCCTGGTATTTCTACTATATTTGCACAGCTCCTTGACTAGCTGTGCCTCTCACTAATTTGTAGTAAATTCTACGAGTTGGAGACTCTATTGTGTATCACCATTGCACTCCCAGCAATTAGCCCACCTCACCACAATAGGCTCTTGATAACATCCTACTAAAGGCCTCAAGGTCTCCCGGCTTCAAATCTAGGTCCGCACCACCACTGTCGACAGGTGTCACCAGGTCTGTCCCTCCACCTTCCTAAAAGAGCTCTAGAGAACATCAAACCCCCAGTCATAATGCGATTTATCTATTTAACTATTTCCCAGTCTCCATCCCCCGCGTGCACACCCCATTGCAGCAGGGACTTTGCTCTGATCCTCCGCTCTGGCAACAGAGTCTGAGCACAGTAGGCACTCCATAAATACCTGCTGAGTGAATGGCCAACCCCCCGCTGGGTGGGACGTGATAAATGCCAATGCCCTTCCTGCAACACCACCATGCTCAAATCAGCAGGTCCTCAAACAGCTCTCAAACAGCGCAAAAGGGAAGACTGAGTGAGGGGACATGATATCAAAGCAGTTACAAATGAGTTCCAGAGACCTCCAGTTCCTGCATCAGCCTTTTTAGCTCTGCCATGACAACTGCAATTCATTACCCTGATTCACACACAGCCCTGGTGCCAGCTCACTGGCAAGAGTCGCTTCACTCCAGAAATTCCAAAGAAGGGCTTGCCCCTGATAAGACTGGGGGAGGAGGGGAGTTTACTGATTCATATAATGAGTGCTGCCAAGGTGGTTTGCGAGCTCTAATGTCAGTGTGGCTCAGGTGAGCCATGGCCCGCCAGGAAGAGACCTGAGTTGGCAAGGAAGAAACAGGGGTTTTAGTTCCTCTACCGTTACCAATGCACAGGAGGGTAGGTTGGCCTAACTGGAAAGGGCTCCCATATGAAGGCATGATAGGCGCTAAGACTTTCTATGTTGGATGTCATATCCTCACCATGACTCTCAGGGGTAGGTAGGTTCTATTCTTATCCTTGTTTTATAGCTGAGAAGGAACTGGTTCAAGGTCACTTACTTTTTTTTTTTTTTTTTGAGACGAAGTTTTGCTCTTGTTGCCCAGGCTGGAGTGCAATAGCACAATCTCGACTCACTGCAACCTCCGTCTCCCAGGTTCAAGCGACTCTCCTGCCTCAGCCTCCCGAGTAGCTGGGATTACAGGCGCCTGCTACCACGCCTGGCTAATTTTTTTGTATATTTAGTAGAGATGGTGTTTCACCATGTTGACCAGGGTGGTCTTGAACTTCTGACCTCAGGTGATCCACCCACCTTGGCCTCCCAAAGTGCTGGAATTACAGGTGTCAGCCACTGCACCCAGTCCCACTTACTATTTTAAAGTGACAAAGCCAGACTTGACTCAGTGTCCTCTAATGATCTTTATGGAGAGCTTATCTACTACAGGGAATCGTGAATCGTGTGGTATGCAATCCCATGTTTGGGTGGAACAACAAACACATACACATTTTTTTCCATAGTGGAAAAATGAGCTTGTCACTTGACTTGTCTCTCGGCCTCAGTTTCCTCATTTGCAAAATGCCATAAAAATATGATGAGCAATAGTGTTTGGCACGTGACAGACAATGGATAAGGATCTTTAAAGACAATCATGATTATTTATCACCATTATCACCAGGTGCCAGTTATTGTTCTCACTGTTAGTGATACAAAGACAAACAATGCACTTAGAAGAAATTCCTGGAATACAGTGAAATGCTCACAGCCCGACTCTCCAAGAAAAGCCACGACAGATGTAGGACTGGAAGGCTGTCCCAGGGTCATCTCATCCTAGCAGCCACCTGATGCCTGCATCTTGACATTTTATCCTTCCAAGTCTGTTACCCGTCAGTGGATCCCAGGGGCTACCCCAGGGACGAATCCAACAAGTAACCACCACTGGGCGGGGAGGAAGCCAGTGTGGGGGTTGCTACCAAAACAGGCCTGGGCAACAGCAGGCAGCCGACTGGGGAAAGTCAGCAGCTGCAGTTGGCCTGGTGTCCTCGCTGCCAGAGAGTGATGAATGGAGCAAGAGAAGAAAAAAAAAGCCAACAAAGGTGTCCCTAATCTTGATGCAGCTTCATTTTTTTTTTTTTTTCTGGCTGACCATTGAGTGAGAACTTAAGCCTCCGTCCCTTTTCTTTGGCAGACATTTGAAACTGAAAGATCTCATTTCTTCCCAACAGTGAGATGTCATGGGTAGAAGCATTGAGCAGGCAACTGGCAAGGGGTGGGGGGTGGGGAGAATGGGCATGTGACCCACCACACTTGTCCTTTTTCTTTCCCTCCTCCCCACTCTCTGCTCCACCCCCTCTTCCCCATCCTGCATCTTTAGAGAATATTCTCCGCACACAACAGTGAACGCCTGCCCCCTCCTCCCGCCACCCCATTATTATTTTTCTGCTCAGGAACTAAAGGCTAAATGGCCTGCTGGGGAAGGTCTAATAACAAAATGTCACTGTATCCAGTTTCTTAGTTTTCTCTTTCTTTATCTCACTCTGAAACGGATTCGAGGCAGCAGCAACTGAACCTTTGCTGTTCTACCTAAAGGTGTGCAGCCAGCTGGCCATCTCCATGCTGGGAGAGGCAAGACGGGAGTTTTTTGCCCAGATCTAGCCCTCAGCCCTGTCCAAGTGGAGGTGCTTCCCTTAGCAAATAGCGAGGAGCTGGTGATAGGGATGTCACCAGGCCACTTCTCCAAGTGAAGTGGATTCCTCTTATCCAGGGCCCCTTGCTGAACTGGAGGCTGCAGAGCCTCATCACCTAGCACCACATGTGGCTGGAGAGAGCTCCTGATACACGTCATGGACAGCCACCTGACATTAGGTCGGCATTCCCTGCAAGTGCCACTGAAGCCTGATCAAGGCTTCTGCCACTGAGGGAACCGTGCAGCAAGACGGTGGCCACCTTCGACTCACACTTATTCTAGCCCTGTTTCTCCTTACGTGCACCTGAACTTGGCGTGCCAACCTTCCAGGTAACTAAGGCAACCTGATTCTCTTCCCTTCAAAAGGGCAGTGTTCTTCTCACAGCAATCTGGGACCCCAGGGAATTGGAAAATTGGGTCAGTTTGGATAAGCCCTCTCCCCGGGAGGGGGAGGGATGGCGACAGAGAGGAACGGCCTTGGCTACTCATTCCCTGGCTGTTGGGAGCATTTACCCAAGCGACTTGGAAAGGACTGTGAACTCCTTGTACACACTGCATCCTTCAAAGAGTCCCTCTGCCTCCATCTCTCTCTCTTCTCCCATCCCCAAAGCTCTGGTTAGCCAGCTGCTCCCAGAAGGTGGAGTTTATGCCAAACAGTCTCCTAAGCTGCCATGAGGATCTCACTGGCTTCTCTGGTTAAGGCTCCTTAGCAAAGTCTCTCCCTGAGATCCACATCAGGTTCACCCATTTTAAGAATAAATGGTAACTCTCAAGCCCAGCTGTCAACAGGGCACTCTGGGGCCCTGAGATGGATTAATAAGCCAGGACAGAGCCAGACCAGGCTACAGCTAGTATGAGTGTAGATGCAAGAATCCAGCTAGGTGGGCTCCAGTCCTGGATGCAACACCTGTTGGTGATCTTGAGCAAGTTACTAAACCTTTTTTTTTGAGATGGCGTTTCGCCCTTGTTGCCCAGGCTAGAGTGCAGAGGCGCGATCTCAGCTCACTGCAACCTCCGCCTCCTGGGTTCAAGCGATTCTCCTGTCTCAGCCTCCTGAGTAGCTGGGATTACAGGTGCGTGCCACCACACCTGGCTAATATTTTGCATTTTTAGTAGAGACGTGGTTTCACCATGTTGGCCAGGCTGGTCTTGAACTCCTGACCTCAGGTGATCCACCCACCTCGACCTCCCAAAGTGCTGAAATTACAGGAGTGAGCCACTGCGCCCGGCCGGTTACTTAACCTTTCTAAATTTCAGTTCCCTCATCTGAAGTACTTACCCCATATGGCTGTTGAAAAGATAAAATGAGGTCACAAAATAGAATGCTTAGCTCAGTGGGCAGCAGAGAGTAAACACTCAATAGATGCTGGTATTGACTATTATTTTATTCTTCTCTGGGTTACCAAATCTCTTGCTTCTCCCTATTATCTATCCTAGTGTTTTTAAACCTCATTTCTTTCTTAATAATTGACATAGGATGTTCCCAGGCATGGTAGACTCCCATGGAATACGTAGATCTTAAACTCAAGCCTCAGAAAAAGATAAAAAGCCCTCTAATCACTTGTATGTAAGTATTATTATTATACATCTACAGGTATTAGTGGATCATTAAGAGCAGCAGCATGGAGAATAAAGAGGTTCTGGGTAACTTCCCTGGCAGACTGGTTATAACTCTCACTTAAGAAACCTTGTTGGGTGGGGCACAGTGGCTCACACCTGTAATCCTAACACTTTGGGAGGCTGAGGCAGGCGGATAACTTGAGGTCAGGAGTTCGAGACCAGCCTGGCCAACATGGTGAATCCCTGTCTCTACTAAAAATACAAAAATTAGCTGGGTGAGGTGGCATGCACCTGTAATCCCAGCTACTCGGGAGGCTGAGGCACGAGAATTGCTTGAACCCGGGAAGTAGAGGTTGCAATGAGCTGAGATTGCACCACCGCACTCCAACCTGGGTGACTGAGCAAGACTCAGTCTCAAAATAAAATAAAATAAAATAAAACAAAGCTTGTTGGAATATGACATTAGACTGACAATAACTCTAAATCCATTTTAATTGATTATAAAAATAGGAATTCACTTGCAATCACTGGAAATGTAATCATTTGACATACAGCAAATTCCTATGACACAACTCACAAATGATTGTGACGCACGATGAATGCAACTTCCTGGTCTATACAATCAAAAACGATTATGGAGAATAATGCAGCCATGCACATAAAATATGTGTGAATTATTATCATTGATGAGAAGGACATAGATCTGACTTTTAGTAAAAAATTTATATAAGAGAAAGAGAAAAAAGAAACTTTTACTAGACTCGAGGTTGGCATTTATTTTCTGTGTGACCTTGGGCAAGTCACTTGTCTCTGGTTCTCAATTTCTTTTTTTTTTTTTTTTTTTTTGAGATGGAGTTTCGCTCTTGTTGCCCAGGATGGAGTGCAATGGCGCGATCTTGGCTCACCACAACCTCCACCTCCCGGATTCAAGCGATTCTCCTGCCTCAGCCTCCCGAGTAGCCGGGATTACAGGCATGCACCGCCATGCCTGGCTAATTTTGTACTTTTAGTAGAGATGGGGTTTCTCCATATTGGTCAGGCTGGTCTCGAACTCCTGACCTCAGGTGATCTGCCCGCCTCAGCCTCCCAAAGTGCTGGGATTATAGGCATGAGCCACCGCACCAGGCTGGTTCTCAATTTCATCAGTGAAATGAGAGGCCTGGATTTCACGAACAGAAAGGTCCACTCCAGCTGCAAAATTGGGTAGATATGCAGCATCCATTTGATGCTGCTGTTTCACAGGTACGTTCTAGGAAAAGTTAAAGGAACTGGCATTCCTCAGTGTCCCCTGCATGTCAGACTTCAGGCTTGCTGCCCTACCTACCTTCACTTACTTATCACCCATAACTACCCTTGATGGTTGATGGACATCTTTCCATTCATTAGAAGGCAAACGCAAGGTTCAGGGACAATATGTCAATTACCAAGGTAACTCAGGTAGCAAGTGGCAGATCCAAGATTCCAGGAGCCAAAGACTCACTTATCTACATTTGCCCTCTAGGTGCCCATGACCTGACCACACCAGAATGGTCACAGGTAAGTGAAATCATGCCTGTTTTGGCTCCATTTCCCAAGGCCAAATTCCTTAGGCACTGGAGCAGTGGTCTTGATTCTGCAGCTAACTCAGCAGGAAGTAAAATGAGGCAGTGGTTAGAAATGTGTGTTCTGGTGTGAGCCCGCCTAGTATTCACATCACAGCTCCACAAAGGTTGAGGGGCTTTACCAAGCCTCCCTGAGCATTGGGTAGTTCAGGTGGGTAATAATTGTACCTAGTCCCAGGGTTGTTAGGAGGATTTAAAGAGATAACCTATGTAAAGCTCTCAGCAGACTGCCTGAATATAGTAAATACCCAATCATTATTTGCTACCTAGCTAAACAGGAGGCCTTTCCATGGTGACAAGCAATTTCCAAGCTTATCTATGGCAGGGGTTATGAACCTGGGGTCCAGGAGGTCCCTGAAATTATGTGCAAAAACCTTTTCTCTAGGAAGAGTTCTGAACCTTTATCAGTCTCATAAGGGTCTGTGACCTGACAGAGGTTTAGACTTTTTGACTGCTGTAGACCTGACTTCCTACCATATCAATTATTTCTGAAATAACAGGGTTAGCAAAAGATCCTCAAGTCATGGGAGAAGTTGCTGGATCCTCTCAGCATGGCCTCTCCAGCCATGTGTGCCTCCGGTACTTACCATACAGACCCAGAAACTGCCCAGAATTCCCAGGTGGTTCCTATGAGAAGGTCTGAATACAAATCGCACAACAAGAAGGAATCAGGCTGCAGGAACCTTCTCTGGGAGGGCCAGCCCCAAAGATCTATTCTTCCTCCGAGAACAATCGGTGCATTTGTTTTGCATACCACGAAGTGAAATACACAGGACGCTGGCCCCTTCGCTAGAGCTCACAAAAGCACCCAGAGTTACTCCGCAAAAGGAGCACGGCTCCAAGGTGCTGTTCAGACCTGATCCACAGCACCTGATTCCCGAAGGGCCTGTCACCTTCCCAGGCTGGCCTTGACTCAGGAAAAGCCTGTGGTGCTGCTGGAGCCTTTGGCCCAGTGGGCAGGACCCAAGCTGCCCACTGGACCCTCTCCGGTTGTTGGGACAACCATCCTCAGGAATTTCGGCCTCCCAGTCTTCCCCTGGGTGAGAAGGGGAGAGAGTTGGCAAGGCTGGCTGCTTGGCTGCTCTTCCAACCCCCTGGTGAAAGGGGAAGCTGAAAACTGGATTCCCTACCCCCAGCAGCTCCTGGCCGGCCAGCACACAAAACAGCTCAGCCCCAGAGGGAGGAATGTGCCAAGACATTCTTTAGGGTTGGTAACCAGAGACGCTATTTTGTCCTTGGTGGCTAAGAAATCACTTTTCTGACTGAAGGACCATTTGACTTACTTCTTTTAAATTCAGGGGAATGGGTGGGCATCTCCATGATTCAGGTAAGGAAAAATCCAAGGCAAATAAACACACACACACACACACACACACACACACACACACGGAGTAGAAATTTTTAGTGCAATTTTTTGTCTCACAGCATTAATTAATTGCAGGGATATAACTACCTTGGCAGAATTTTTTCTCCCCAACCCACCACCCCCCGGAATAAGTTTGGCTCTTTTCAGCTTTGTTAAATTTCTTCTTCCTTTTTCTCATAGCCCATCCCTGTTCCCCCTTCTCCTCTCATGGAGTCTGGAGAGGTAAGAGCGGCAGAAGGGTTTGAAATAATATTTAAGAGCTGGCAGGCCCTTGAAGACCATCTAACCAACCCACTTCTCAAGCACTCAAACCTCAGAGAGGTCAAGTGATTTGCCCAAGGCCACACAGACAGAACTAAAAGGCAAAAATGGGGTATGCCGGAGGGAAATTCCAGAAAACCACAAGTGGCTATCCTCCAATTAGCACTTTTCCAAAACATACAAAGCTGGACCACAATAGTGACCCCCAGAGTTGACATGAGACCCCCTCAGGACCCCAAGTTCAGGGGCCCAATACCACCCCAGTCCAGGTGGGATGACAAGGAGGTACAGAGATGAAGTTTATAAACCAGTGACCCAAGGCCAAGCGTGGTGGCTCACGCCTGTAATCCTAGCACTTTGGGAGGCTGAGGTGGGCGGATTGCCTGAGCTCAGGAGTTCAAGACTAGCCTGGGCAACACAGTGAAACCCCATCTCTACTAAAATACAAAAAATTGGCTGGATGTGGTGGCGTGCACCTGTAGTCCCAGCTACTCGGGAGGTTGAGGCAGGAGAATCGCTTGAACCCAGGAGGCAGACTTGCAGTGAGCCAAGATCGCACCACTGGACTCCAGCCTGGGCGACAGAGCGAGACTCTGTCTCCAAAAAACAAAAACAAATAAACAAAAAAACCAAAAGCAAACAAAAAAACCAATGACACAAGATGAAGAAGGTGAGCTGCTCACCTAAGTGCCACTATGTTTCTGCCGCCTCTCCATGGCTTGCCAATCTGCTTAAAAACAAAGGCTGGGCAGGTGAGGTGCTGTGGCCTTAGGCTGGCCACAGTACCTAGCTAAAATATACTAACCCTGGTTTTTTGTTTTTTTTGTTTGCCTATCTTTTTTGTTTCCCCTGTATGACAATAGATATAACTAGTTTCCCATTTGTGAAAATGGTACACATATTTTTAAAGTGAGTTGATCTAAAGTCAAGGAGTAAGTAAGCAATAGCACAGGTGGATATAGCAAAAAAAAATCATGGAGGTGGTCCATGTAACACTAAAATTTGGGAGATTGTGCTCCAGCCAATCAGTTCTTCATAGAAGCTACTTACTTACCCTTTTCCAAGGGTAAAGAATTACTGTTGAGAGGGGCCTCCTATTGCTGTATTAGAAGTCCCCAGATGCATGATTATCAGTGTTGGCAGGGGCGGTCCTTTCCCTCCAACAGGACGTCCACCTGCTAACAGCACACAGGCCTCCGTAAACTACAGGGACCTAAATTGGGGCAGGTCACATATGTTTGAACTTGTGTCTGTTCTGAGAAAAGGACAAGAGAAAAGGTGCTGCCAAGTTCACCAACACAGTAGCAGAGCTGGCAACTGACCCGAGTAAGGGTGGGGAAGCAGTGTGTCAGGGTGACAAGTTTGCAGGTTAGAACTTCAGAGCTGGTGAAGAACTGGTACGCAGAATGGCAGAAAAATCAAAATACTTGAGCAAATCACACCTCTGGGCTTCAAATTTTCTCTTATGTTTCAAATGGGAGTTGGGCGCTGATGTACGTCCCTTCCAAGTTTTAAGCATCCCAATATTCCCTTCCAAGCAAACTTTTTAAATTCAGGGAAATGGTGGGCTCCCCCATCTGACAAACAGGGAAACTGAGGCTCAGAGGTTGAAGCAGCTTGCCTAAGAGATGCTCTCTAGCACTAAATATTTACCTTCCAGATTACATTCATGAGACATTCAGCATGGTGCTGAGTGTAGAGGAGGCATCCAGGAAGCGCTGAATGAACGAATGAATGAATGAATGAAAGTAAGTGCTCCCAGAAACTACCGAGAATCTCAACTCTCATTTTCTTTCCGCTTATATTCTTTTTTTGACCCACATCTTGCTACATACACTTCTGGGACACCTCCACCCCCACCACACAAGATGAAGAGTCCAAGAAATTCACCTTGGTTGCTTTACAGGGACCTGACCCCCAAGGTCACAGACAAGGTTTAAAGTCCGCATTCCCCAAGACACTCTGCCCACAGACCGTGTCAACAACATCGTGGTCCGGGGACTCTAGGACATACATGGAGAGGGTGAATGTATGTGTGTGTGTGCAGCATGTGAGCAAAGAAATGCCAAACAACCAGGAGAAAGTCTGGAGAGGTAAGAGCCACACCGAGCTATCTCAGGCTCCATCTGCCTCTGCACATTATCTCAACCTACAGCGGCCTGGTACCCACCAAGGTCAGGTCCCGCTGGTGCAGGGCTGAGGAGCCTCGCCGCCCCCTTCCCCGATCAGGGAAGAAAGAGAGGAGAAAGAGGCGAGGGGCAAGGCTTTCCGGGAGGCCTCTCACCTCCATCTCCATCCTAACAGCTTCCAAGTTGCTGCCAGATTCCTGGATAACCAGTCTCCCTCATCTGCCCTCCCCCGCTTCTTCACTTCCTCCCCACCCTCGGGTTCCAGGGCCCCCTGGCTGCCCCTGTGCTGTTCTCAGCAGCTTCCAAGGCACCTGTCAAAAAGCACACCTCAGGTTGCCTTCCTCTGCGCCGAGTGCCCTCTCTCCAGTGGTCTCCCACGGAATCCTGGGGTCTTGACCACCCCCTCTAACCGGACACTTCCCCATCCCCATCCGCCCACCCCCCACGCTGGGTGGAAGCCTCCCCGGGAAGACCCGGCTTCACCCGGCTAGGTCGCTCCCCCAACCCCCGCCCCCGCCCGACCTCTCTTCCTAAAGGGGGCGGGCGGGGCTAGAGCTTAAGGTCAAAACTCCGGGCAGGTGCCGGCTGGGGCCTAAGTCCTCCAACTGGGGATGGCGGTGGGGCAGCCTGGGCCAGCTCCCCGGCAGGCGCCTCCTCTCGGTGGCCCACTGAGGCGGGAGCAGCGCTCCAGAAGGTTGGGGGGAGCAGGGGGTGGCGAACTGAAGAGAGCTCAAGAGGCACGCAGAGCTCCCCTGCCCCCTCCCAGTCCCGGCCGGCGGCTCCAGGGGCAGGTGGGGGCCCAGGCGGGGGTGTGGGGGCACGGAGGAGGGTTCCAGGGTCCTACCTGTCCCGCGGGTCGATCCAGCTGGTGGTGCGGTTCGTGTGGTCTATGTAGTAGACCTTGCCGTCGAAGTCGCGCGCCTCCTCCCAGCCCTCCGGCAGGGGCAGCTCCGGCCGGGGCATCTTCCCAAGCGCTGCCGGCGCTCCCCCATGCAGCTCCCGGCCGCAGCGGGGGCTCAGCGGCTCCAGCCGGCCGCTCTTAGCCCGGGCGGCCGCCGAGGCACCATGATCCGGGGGGTGGCGCCCGCAGATGGGGGGCCCTAGTAGGGGCCGGCCGGGGTGGCGCCGCTGTCCATGCGGCCCTGCAGCCCCGACCCGGCGCCGCCCGCTCCTCCCGCCGCCGGCCTCTCACGCTGCCATGTGCGTCCGCAGCGGCGCGGTGCGAGCCCGGGTGCGCGCCCAGCCGGCCGGGCAGAGCGAGCCGAGCGCCGCCGCCGCCGCCGTCTGCCCTCCTCCGCCGCGCGGCGCGCTGCGCCCTCCACGCCGCCGCTGCCGCTGCCGCCTCCCTCCTCCCTGCAGCCGGGTGCCGTCCCTCCTCTCCGCTCCACCGCTCTGAGCTCGCCGGGTTTGTGACTTCTGCCTCCGCCAGGTGCGGCTCGGGCGGTGCAGGTAACCGCGCTGCCCCGGAAACGGGAGGCGGAGCGCCGGGCGCCTGGGTTCCCGGGTCCCCTCCCCGCGCGCAGCGCCTCGAGGGCGGGTCCTAGGGCCCGAGACGCGCCCCCTCGTGGGACAGTCCCAGCCGCCGGCCACCCTTACGCTGCCCCTGCCAGGGGAAGGAGAGACCGCCCCTCACCTGCGTCCCAGACCTAGGGGGCTGGGCCAAAAACCGCTCTGCCTGTACTTAAAACGCTCCTGTCTCTCTCCACCCGGAGTAGCCAGGCTCTCGGCACAGGTGGCCCCAAATCTTAAAAACTCCCTGCTTTTCTGTGGTGTAGAATCAGGAGTCAGGCAAGAAGTGGTTAAATGGAAACATTCTTGCGAATTGGGAAACATAAGTTTTCCAGGATCTCTGGTCCCTTCCCCCAACACAGGCACCATCTGTCTCCTTCTATTCAACTCTCCCTACGACGTTTCGCCCACCCTCCACCCTTCCCCACCATTTGGAAATGTAGCTGGCTCCCCTCAGGGTCCCTAAAATTAGGAGCGCTGTGGATCCGCTTTCCTGGGAGGACTTCCAGAGGGTGTCAGGGAAAACACTTTGTAAAAGTAATAGTAATGCCATTGTTATTGTTAGCTAAATTGAGGACTTACTTGTGACAGGCTGTGGCTAGCAGCTTCACAGGCTTTCTTTCCTGTGATACTTTGAGGTAGGTGTGTTATGGATTTGGGAGAAGTGGGGCTATGAAAAAGAAGAAAGTAAGCAAAGCAAAATTCCATCTTGAAAAATGTTCAAGAGAATAAAACAATCAGAGACACAATGTTTCTTGAGAAATTAAAAATGTAGAATTAGTGGGTGCGGTGGCTCACGCCTGTAATCCCAGCACTTTGGGAGGGTGAGGCAGACAGATTACCTGAGGTCAGGATTTCAGACCAGCCTGGCCAACATAGTGAACCCCATCTCTACTAAAAAATAATAATAATAAATTAGCTGGGCGTGGTGGTGCACGCCCGTAGTCCCAGCTACTCGGGAGGCTGAGGCATGAGAATCACTTCAACCTGGGAGGTGGAGGTTGCAGTGAGCCAAGATCGCACCACTGCACTCCAGCCTGGGCAACAAAGCGAGACTCTGTCTCAAATAAATAAATAAATAAATTTAAAATGTAGCATTAAATACAAAAAGCAAGCTAGCATGATTGAGTGAATGATCAACTGGCTGTTCACTTCCCCATCTCCTCTTACATCTGTGTACTGAGTGGGAATTTAACCCTTTTTTGCCCTCGGCATATGGCAGGAAGCTGGACTGGTCGAATGAAGCCCAGTTGGGTGTCTTCTCTTGCCTGAGCCCCACGGTCTTCCAGAAGAACCAGCACCCTGTGCTGTATGGACCAGGGTGTTGCTGAGCCAGAGAGGGAATCATGTTTGTGGTCTCATCTCCTCTTGACAGAAAAGACCCACCAGAGTGAGCCTCGCCTCCAAATGCCTTCTTCATAGTTAATTCCTTCCCTGAGGCCAGGCCTCGGGGCTCAGTGCTTGGCCCTCCTTCATTCCATAAATACCAGGCACCAGAGTCCAGGGACACCAGCCTCAGACTGGCCCTCAACACCCAAAAGTTGGAATTCCCCATTCCTTTATGGGGGAATTCCCACAGCCCTCTACACTTCCTCTGTTTGGGTCAAGCCTTTACTACATAAAAACCCACTATTGATTAGAGCAGTAGCCCCAAAGCAAAGCCAACCTGGTGCTAGGTTCTTTGAATACATGATCTCAATCTTCATAACAACCCTCTGGCATAGGAAAGTCTATTTATTATACCCATTTTACAGATGAGGCTCCAAGATGCTTTGTTGTTGGCCTGGGATACAGAGCTCATAAGACAGACTAGGTCTGACTCTAGTGCAGTGTTCTCAGTTATTAACCTATACTTTCTTTTTTTCTTTTTTTGAGATGGAGTCTCCCCCCATCCCCCAGGCTGGAGTGCAGTGGCATGATCTCGGCTCACTACAACCTCTGCCTCCCAGATTCAAGCAATTCTCCTGCCTCAGCTTCCAGAGTAGCTGGGATTACAGGCCTGCGCCACCACGCCCAGCTAATTTTTGTATTTTTCAGTAGAGCTGGAGTTTCACCATATTGGCCAGGCTGGTCTCGAACTCCTGACCTCAGGTGATCCGCCCACCTCAGCCTCCCAAAGTGCTGGGCTTACAGACATGAGCCACCTTGCCTGGCTGACTTTCTTTCTTTCTTTCTTTTTATTTTTGAGACGGAGTCTCGCTCTGTCACCCAGATTGGAGACTTTCTTTCTTTTTTAAATCACTCTGCAGCCTCAGAACTTCCCCATGGTTGGGATGTGGAACATGACTGATACTGACAAATGTTCATCTCTGTTGATGTTTGCTTCATAGTTTTTTGGTTGAGAAGCAAGAGCTCTAGAATCAGGCTGTTTGGGTCCCAAGCCCACCCGGTTTTCTAGCTGTGTGACCTTGGGCAGCTTGCTTCACTGAAGTCTCAGTCTTTGATTTGAAAAAAAATCACATAACAATATGGACTCCTTTGGGCTTGTGGTTAGGGCAAAGCAGGAGGAGAAATGTGAGGGCTTGGCACTCAGCAGCACGCCTTCATCTCAGGGGCTGTGGTGCGGTGCATTCGGAGCACCGTGCCTGGCAGCAGACACACCTCTATGAAATGTGGACCATTTGAAGTATTTTCTGTTCAAAACACAAATCCACGTCCTTTCCCCTTCTGAAAATTATGCCTGCTTGCTTGCAACAGTCCTCCTAATTGCTGATTTTTTTTTTTTTGGCCTTATTTTTCAACCAAGCCTTTTTACTGGTTGGCATTGATTGTGAAGAGAAAACACCTTTTAGACTGCCAAGTCCCACTTTCGTTTTAGTCCAGCCACCCAAACCCTGGCATTTTCCAAATGGCTTGCTTCTTTGGACCTTTTGACCTGGCCTGGGAAGCAAGAAAGAGAGACCAGAGCAGGAATTGACTCCTGAATTAAGGCCTAGGTCTGTTCGCTCTTTTTACCTCCCATCCACCCCCAACGAAAGAATCCCAGGTTATCTCGCAGAAGCGGCAAGCAGGGTGAGGTAATAAAACAGATGACTGCCTGCCCCATGTGATGGCGCGTGAATCATCCCGGACATTCTGCGAGGCTGAGGGCAAACGTGAAAGAGATTAAAGGTAAAACCGGCTCAGCCACATGATAGGCTGAATTGGACGTTACTCTACAGGTGACTGAACTGCAGGAATCCGAACTGAAGACAAGAAGCCCAGCCCTCTCCTGGCCACCCTCCTGGGGCTGCGTCTGGCTGCCCGCGTGTGGAGTTGAAGGAGACAGGCTTGGGCAGTGTTGGGCAGTGCAGAAGTGACCACAGGCCAAGCCTTTCTAATGACAAAGGCCACATCCCGGTGGCCCAGAGGAATCACCTGAGCCTGAGACAGGCTGTCTTGTTTTTAAAAACGATGCGCACTTGAACCCTTTTCTCCACTGCAACTGCAGGGAAGAAAGGCCGTTATCCACACGTGTTTTAGAGTGTTTCAGAGAGCCAGAGTCACATATTCCATGAAGATGGTAAAGAGGAGAAATTAAATATAAAACAAAGGAACAGATATGTTAGCAAGTCCAGTTTCCTGTTCGCATCTGCATTCTTCAGGGGAAACTGAGGCTTTGAGAACCTCTGCTGAGATTTTGCTTCCTGCTCCATGACTCTACCTCCCTACCTCATGCCGTCCCTCCCACACATCCTGGGGAATGCACAGTTATGTTCTATGATGGAGCCAATAATGTCCCCTTTCTTGAGTCATGCATTATTTGAGGTTCATAAATGTACTGTGGACTCTTTTTTTCCAATGATGGGAAAACACGTCCTAAGCCAGAGAAAATGAGGGTGGAAGAAACCTTGGTAACACGAGAGCCGAGGCAGAAGAGATGGTTTTTTATTTACCTCTCGGTCCTCCGTGCTTAATTCAGTGCTGGGAAATCAACTGAAACAAGTCTTGCACAGCCTACTCATTTTACAAACAGAGAAATGGAGTTTGTGTGAATAATGATTTACTGCCCTAGTTCCTGCTGGTTCCATTTCATAGATGAGCAAACTGAGATTCAGAGAGGCAAAGTGACTTTTCTGTAGTCATGTAGATATCAACTTAGCTGCTTCTAGTGAGTTTTTGCTTCTGGACTCCCAGTGTGGGCTTTAGAGTGCCTGTGAAGGAGAGATTTCAGGGCCATGGTCTGGTTGGGAAAGGAGGTGGGGTGGCCAGGAGACTCTCCTTAAACTCCTACTTATGTTTGGGTTGTGCGTCTATTTGGAGTGGATGGAGGAGGCCATGGAGGTTGATGAGGGCATGCTAAAACTGGTCACAGCTGAGCTGACAATGAGAGGGCAGAGTTGAGGTGGGGTTCTCAATTCTAAGAGGAGGAGATAGTGCCCTGATCCCCCATTGCCTGCCCAGTGCTGTCCACAAGACCCCCCAAGGGGATTGGTGTAGGGGATTTCACAGGCTCAGCGGTCTCTGTGGGAAGAGGGGTACTTTTCTCCCTTTGTTGCCTGTCTTTCCTCCCCACTTGTTTCCTTGCTGGTTCTTTTTATTTATTTATTTATTTATTTATTTATTTATTTATTTATTATTTTTTTTTTGAGACAGAGTGTCACTCTGTTGCCCAGGCTAGAGTGCAGTGGCGCAATCTCGGCTCACTGCAACCTCTGCCTCCTTGGTTCAAGCAATTCTCCTGCCTCAGCCTCCTGAGTAGCTGGGATTACAGGTGCCCGCCACCATGCCTAGCTAATTTTTGTTATTTTTAGTAGAGTCGAGGTTTCGCCATGTTGGCCAGGCTGGTCTCAAACTCTTAACTGAGCTGATTTCTCCTATGTGAGAGGCTGAGGCTGCCAGGAGAGGTTGAGTCCATCCTATTTCTGACTCTCTCATCAAGGGATTCTCTGGGGACTGGGAGCTGTTGTGTCTTTCACTGAAGAGGAAATGAATTATGCACCAAAGGAGGAGGTGGAGATGAAATCTCAGTTTCAAGGGTGGGGGTGTGGAGAGGAGAGAGCAAGCCCATGAGCAGAGGGCGGGAGTTCTTGCAAAGCAGTGCTTTCCTCTGTTCCTCTACTCAACAGCAGAGGCGGAGCCCTGGTGGGAGACGGGGGTGGGGGTACAAGTGCAGTCACCAGCAGACTGGCTGAAAGAAGCCTCTCTCGGTATTTATAGAGCTTGCATCGCCATGGTACCCAGGCGCTTAAATTAAACTCTAGCCCAACTGCTTGGAGATGCATGGAATGAAATGCACTTTACCTGTCCACTGTACATGGTCTCACACCTCATTCTCAGAACTTCACCACTGCAAAGATAAGCAAATGGAGTGAATTTTACAAATCACCTGGCAAGAAGGGTATAGGGTTGGGTTTATACAACAACCTGTCTCAACAGGGTGGCTGGGCAGAGTAGTAGAAAATACATGGGCAGAAAAAGCAATCCAGATCTGAAACTTGGCTCTGCATCTTGGTCAGTGTGTGACTGTCGGCATGAGACTGCATCTCTCTGAGCCTCAGTTTCCTCACCTGTAAAATGAGATCACCAACAAGAAAAATGAGAGCAACAATGCTGCCTCACTATTGACTTGTGACAACTATATGAAATGATACAAGTGAAGTGCTTTGCTCAGCTTCTGAAATGCAGAAGCTCTTTTAAATATAGGTCTCCTTCCCTGTTCAGCTGTTATTCATTTATTCCACAAGAACTTTTTTGTCTGCCTATTGTCTGCCAGACAAGTATTGAGACATAAGGGTGATTTCTGGTCCCGTGGAGCTTACAGTTTAGTAAAGTAACATGTAATAAACAAGTCAACACATGAAAAAGTAATTGCAAGTTGTTGTTAATAATATGAAGGAAGGAGCGTGCTGTGAAGAATTTGGTAGGGTGTGGATTGGTTGAGAATCTACTTTAGACTGGACCAGAGGAGAAGGCCATTCTCAGGAGGTAACACTTAAGCAGAAACCTCAAGCAGCCCACAATGCGAAGAACCAAAGAACATGCATTGCAGGGAAAGAGAATAGCAGGAGCAAAAGCCCTGAAGACAGTATGTTCAACACACCCAGGGCGCTGTTCCCATTCTGCTGAAAACCACAGGAGGCTGCTCTTGTTGGGGGCACCCAAGCTAGAAGGTGGTAGCCCTAAAATGCCACAAGATTCTCTGCCCCCAAACCCATGGCTTCCTGTACCACCATCTCCACCCTGATCCAGGTGAACAGAGTCCCTGCTCCCCAGCCCTGGCTACTCAGCTGCAGTTGCCTCAAAGGTCCAATAAAGCCTAGTAAAGGTTGGATATTTTGCTACTTTGTCTTTAGTTTTCAGATATTTAAATATGTGTCTTGGCATGGATTTCTTTGGGTTTATCTCATAGTTGGGTGGGTGGTGGGGCTCAGCTTCTTTAATCTGTAGTTTCATGCTTCCTTTCAAAGCTGGGATGTGTTTGGCCATTATTTCCTTGAATCCTTTAACAATTGCACCCTTTTGTCCTCTCTTCTGGGGCTCTCATCTTCGTTATAGTCCCATGGGATCCCGGGGCTCTGTTCATTTGTTTTCAGTCTGTTTTCTCTCCATCGTTTAGACTGGGTAATTTTGATTGTTCTGTCTTCCAGTTCATGGATTCTCTTCCCTCTGTCCCCTCTATTCTGCTCTTGAGCCCATCCATGGAGCTGTTTATTTCATTTGTTGTATTTTTCACTTCTAATATGTCTATTTGGTTCTCCTTTATGTCATGCATTTCTTTGCTGAGACTTTCTATTTCTTTGTTGAGGTTTTCTGATTTTTCATTTGTTTCAAGTGTATTCATAATTGCTCATTAAAGCATTTGATTATGGCCGCCTTAAAATCTTTGTCAGACAATTCTAACATCTCTGTCATCTCAGTGTTGGCATTTATTGCTATTTTAATTTGGTTTGAGATATCTCTGGTTCTTGGTATGATGAGTGATTTTTAATTGAAAGCTGGACATTGGCCTTTTTAGGTTGTCTGCTTCTCCAGCACTCCAGCCTGGGATATGTGAGGCAAAAAGAAAACCCAGGGAACTCACCACCATGTCATTCCTCGGAGTGCGAGGTCCCTAGCCATCTGCCTTCTTCTTTGCACTGTTCTGAGTCTTCTCATATTTGTTTTATGTATAACATCCAAGGTTTCTAGTTGAACCAGTGGGAGGAATAGGGGAAAATGTGCCTACTCCATTTTCCTGGAAGCAGAAGGTCATTGCTTACTCTGAGCCAACAGCTTTTTTCTTCAAGCTGGCTTCTTCACCCCACTTTCCCCTCCACTCTCTACCTCCCCATTTCATATTCCCTACAGATATCTAGGTAGGAATTGTCAGCATCCTCCCTTCACAGCCTCCCTTATATCTCTTCCTTCTTTTTGACATAAGCCCTAGCTCAGATCTGATTCTTTTGTCTGATACTTGGCCATTTTAATGATATCTTCACTCATCTCATAAATAATTGTATGCTTAGAAATCTTCACCCCTCCAGTGTACCTCTTCTACCTCCTCATCATCTTTCTATCTTTCTTTCTTTCTTTCTTTTTTTTTTTTTTTTTTTTTTGAGACAGCGTCTCACTGCAACCTCCGCCTCCTGGGTTCAAGCAATTCTACTCCTCAGCCTCCTGAGTAGCTGGGACTACAGGCTCATGCCACCAGGCCCGGCTAATTTTTTGTATTTTTAGTAGAGATAGGGTTTCACCATGTTAGCCAGGATGGTCTCCATCTCCTGACCTCATGATCCACCCTTCTCGGCCTCCCAAAGTGCTGGGATTACAGGCGTGAGCCACTGGGCCTGGCCACCTTCTCTTTCTTTCTTTCTGTCTGTCTGCCTGTCTTTCTTTCTTTTATTTTCTCTCTCTCTCTCTTTCTTTCTTCCTTTCTTTTTTTTTTGAGACAGAGTCTCACTCTGTCGCTCAGGATGGAGTGCAATGGTATGATCTCGGCTCACCGCAACCTCCACCTCCCGAGTTCAAGCAATTCTCCTGCCTCAACCTCCCGAGTAGCCAGAATTACAGGCGCCTGTCACTATGCCCAGCTAATTTTTGTATTTTTAGTAGAGACGGGGTTTCACCATGTTGGCCAGGATGTTCTTGAACTCCTGACCTCAGGTGATCCACCTGTCTCGGCCTCCCAGAGTGCTGGGATTAGAGGTGTGAGCCACTGCGCCCGGCCTACCTCCTCATCTTTCTAAAGCAGGCATCCACAAGTGCATTCCTCAGAGTTAAACATAGTCTGAGAGCAATTACATTGGGGAAATATTGGTTTTTATAAAGTAAATAGATTTCTTTCCTGTGGGAATTCTCAGTGCTCTCAGGGTACCTTCATCGATGGTGAGTAGCCAAGAAAACAACATAAAATACAGAATGACCCAAATTTATTTGCTTAAATATTCTTTTTCTCCCTGAGGCATCCATCTCTGGAATACAATGTTCTAAGAAGGGTGTTCACAAACTTCTGTAAATAATCAGATAAGAAATATTTTCAGGCCAGGCATGGTGGCTCACACTTGTAATCCCAGCACTTTGGGAGGCCGAGACGGGCTGATCACCTGACCAACATGGAGAAACCCCATCTCTACTAAAAATACAAAATTAGCCAGGTGTGGTGGCGCATGTCTGTAATCGCAGCTACTTGGGAGGCTGAAGCAGGAGAATCATTTCAACCCGGGAGGTGGAGGTTGCGGTGAGCCAAGATCACGCCATTGCACTCCAGCCTGGGCAATAAGAGCAAAAATCCGTCCCCCCCAAAAAAAAGAAAGAAGAAAGAAAGAAATACTTTCAGCTTTTGTGGTTTATATCGTCTCTGTCGAAACTTCTCAGCTCGGCTGCTCTAGGGTGAAAGCAGGCATAGACAATATATAAATAAGTAGATGTGATTGTTGTTGTGTGCCCATAAAACTTTATCTATAAAAACAGAACACTGGCCCTCAGGTTGTAGTTTGACCACACTTGTTCTAAAGCATCATTTTAATTAAAGAGACCTAGGTGTCTTTAATTAAATAAAGAAATCCTAGGTTTCTCCCTTTATTCCCTATGTCTATTCTAACTACGACAGCCTAGGATCCTATCTCCAAAATACATGTTACATGTATTCCCGCCACTCCATCTGCCCTTCTAGCTTCTAGCTTAGATCCAGTCCTGTACCTTATGAAGCCTCCCGCTGGACTTCCTCTGTGCACGTGCTCCATCATTCCACATGGTGCTGGGATGGTTGTTGTGAAACCTCAGTGGCTCTTCGCTGGTCTTAGGAGGAAGTGTAAGCTCCTCCCCACGTGTTGTAAGGCCCAGTGTGGGTGGCCCTGGCCCTGGCCCAGCCCTCCAGTCTCAGCTTTCATGGCTCCCCCACTCCTACTGCACAGCTGAGCTCGTGCATGTGGTTTGCACACTCAGTTCTCCTCACTTCTGGACCTGCACGTGGGCTGTTTCTCTTGCTGAGAGTACTCCTCCTCTGTGTTTAGCTGGTGAATTTTCCTTCAGGCTTCAGCTTAAGTATGACTTCCGCCCTCACTCCCAAAGTTGGTTTGCATGCCCCTGCAGCTACTTTACCTTCAGCAATCTAATCTTATTTTAGTTCCCTGGTTTTTTTTCTCTCTCTCTATTTTTCCCCAGCTATAGTGTAAACCCTGTGAGGGCAGCTTTTCGTTTTTTTTCTCCCTCCTTTCTTCTACATCTCCAATGCCCAAATAAGGTCCAGCACAGACTGGCCTTCAGAAGACATGGGCCTCCCAAAGTGCTGATCAGGGCCTAAGACTCCATTGACACCAACTTTTAACCAGTTTTCTTTCATTTAGGGAGCAGATGGCATTAATCTATTGGAATAATTGGAAACCCATATGCCCCTCTAAGAAATAAGTTGCCCATCTGTAGTGAGGGTGAGAGCTATGCAGCATCCAAGGGTCTTTTGTGGAAAGATTTTTGCTTTTTGGTTTGAGTCCAAAGGTTCTTTCTCAAAAGTCACTAAGAGCTCTAGATCTTTCTTTGCAGAGCTCTATTTTTTTTTTTTTTTTTTTTTTTGAGACTCTGTTGCCCAGGCTGGAGTGCAGTGGTGTGATCTCAGCTCACTGCCACACCTGTCTCCCGGGTTCAAGCGATTCTTGTGCCTCAGCCTCCAGAGTAGCTGGGAGTACAGGCATGTACCACCAAGCCTGGCTAATTTTTGTGCTTTTAGTAGAGGTGGGGTTTCACCATGTTGTCCAGCCTGGTCTCAAACTCCTGGCCTCAAGAGATCTGCCCACCTCTGCCTCCCAAAGTGCTGCAATTACAGGCATGAGCCACCACGCCCGGCCCAGAGGTCTGTGTCTATTAAAACATTACAGGCTGGGCATGGTGGCTCACAACTGTAACCGCAGCACTTTGGGAGGCTGAGGTGGGTGGGTTGCCTGAGGTCAGGAGTTAGAGACCAGCCTGGCCAATATGGTGAAACCCCTTCTCTACTAAAAAATTAGCCTGGCATGGTGGCAGGTGCCTGTAATCCCAGCTACTTGGGAGGCTGAGGCAGGATAGCCACTTGAACCTTGGAGGCGGAGGTTCAGTGAGCTGAGATCTTGCCACTGCTCTCCAGCCTGGGTGAACGAGCAAGACTCTGTCTCAAAGAAAAAGCCAGAAAAAAACATTAGGAAGATGCCAAATGCAATGTGGGATCCACGAGTGGATACTGGGTTACTTTTAAAAAACAAAAAGCTACAAAGTACATTCTTGGGACAACTGGGAAAATGTGACAACGGAATGCATTTTAGGTAATATTATTATGTCAGTGTTACCTATGTCAGGATTGATAGTAGTATGGCAGTTCTATTAGGGGAATAAACCTTCTTAGGAGATATACACTGAAGCATTTAGGAATAAAGTGTCATGATGTCTGCAAATTACATTCAAATGGTTCAGAAACCATTTTGAGTATTTCAGAGGGAAGGAGGGAGGGAGAGAGTATAATGTGGCAAAAATGTTAACAACTGGTAATATGGGTGGATATTTTGTCCTCTCCAAATCTCATATTGAAATATGACCTCCAGTGCTGGAGGTGGGCCTAGCGGGTGGTATTTGGCTCATGGGGATGATCCTTCATGAATGTCTTGGAGCTGTCCTCCTGTAATAAGTGAGTTCTCACTCTGTTAGTTTACGTGAGATCTGGTTGTTTTTATTTTATTTTATTTTTATTGTTTGAGATGGAGTCTCGCTCTGTCACCCAGGCTGGAGAGCAGCAGCAGAGTCTTGGTTTACTGCAAACTTCACCTCCCGGGTCCAAGCGATTCTCCTGCCTCAGCCTCCCCAGTAGCTGGGATTACAGGCATGCACCACCATACCCAGATAATTTTTATATTTTAGTATAAAATATATTTCATCATGTTGGCCAGGCTGGTCTCAAACTCCTGACCTCAAGTGATCTGCCAACCTTGGCCTCCCAAAGTGCTGGGATTATAGGCGTGAGCCACTGAGCCCAGCCTTGGTTGTTTAAAAAAGCCTGGCACTTCCACCTGTTCCCTGACTCTCTCTCTTGCTCACTCTCCCCATATGATATGCCAGCTCCCCTTTTGCCTTCTGCCATGATTGAAAGCTTCCTGAGGCCTCAGCAGAAGCCAAGCAGATACCAGCACCATGCTGCTTGTACAGCCTGCAGAACTGTGAGCCAAGTAAGCCTCTTTTCTTTATAAATTACCCAGCCTCAGGTTTTTGTTTTTTGTTTTGTTTTTTGACAGAATCTTGCTCTGTCACTGGGCTGGAGTACAGTGGTGTGATCTCAGCTCACTGCAACCTCCACCTCCTGGGTTCAAGCGATTCTCCTGCCTCAGCCTCCCAAGTAGCTGGGACTACGGGTGCGTGCCACCAAACCCAGCTAATTTTTGTATTTTTAGTAGAGATGGGGTTTCACCATGTTGGCCAGGTTGGTCTCTAGATCTCTTGACCTCGTGATCTGCCCACCTCGGCCTCCCAAAGTGCTGGGATTACAGGCGTGAGCCACCATGCCTGGTCAGGTATTTCTTTATAGCAGTGCAAGTGGACTAACACAACTGGTAAATAATGATAAAAAAGGTCCTGTATTTGATATTTTACTCAACCTTCATCTCCCTTATCACAGTGTCTCACATGGAATATACCTCAATGAATGTTGGCTGAACTACAACAACAATTAGCAAATTGCCTAAAAATGTGCATTGAATTGCTTAAGATGCTCTATTGACTTCCTATCTTTTAACTTCTGATATGGGGGCTTTGAGCAGCTTTATAACCAAAGGGCCCAGCAAACAGCTATCTCTTTCCTATTGAGCCATATGGCTTGAGTTCCAAATACATTTATAGAGCTTATATTTCAAATCGCTTAACATTTTTACAGTAAAAGTCTCTATAAAGGAAAACAAAGGTAGGAGAGAAACATGGTATATTCCAAGTGAGGTAAAATAAATCTGGGTTTGATGTCACTATGGGTCATAATTTCTGTCCTGATCCAAAATAAGGATGGACACACTCTCCTGTTTGTCCTCCTAAACAACTCCCATGATGTCCCTGCAAGAACTCAGCTGCAGGTGGCTGCTGTCCACCCCATCATCCAGCTCAAGGACCAACATTTCCTGGAAGACCAAAGACCTGCACCTGCATGGAATAGCAGGAGTTCATGGGCAAGCAGAGCCCTTTACCTGACCTCAGTCTCTTGGTGTCTTCTGTTTCCATTTTATCATGATCCAAGAGACTCTTGCATTTGGCAGACCTTAAAGCAGTGGGATGGACTTTAGAGATTAGCCTGCCCTCTGACATGAGCTGTGGGCCAGAGGATGGGACTTGATAGAGTGAGCATTTAATGGGTTTGATCACTTCTGTAACCACGGGCTTCTCTCTGGGGCAGCAATGAGGCAATAATGTAATGAGTGGCGGATGACTGAGCACTTACTCTCCACTGTGCACTGATGGAGCACTCACCCTATACCATGCACCAAGGTGGCGCTTCCCACATCCAGTACTCATTCCAGACTTTAAAGTTAAGGAATCTTGGGGATGCAGACCCAGGCCAGCCTGGCATTAAAATCCAGGCTTCAGGCTGGGCGTGGTGGCTCATGCCTGTAATCCCAGCACTTTGGGAGGCTGAGGAGGGCGGGTCACTTGAGCTCAGGAGTTTGAGACCAGCCTGGGCAACATAGTGAGACTGTCTCTACAAAAAATACAAAAAATTGCGAGGCACAGTGGCTCATGCCTGTAATCCCAGCACTTTGGGAGCCCGAGGTGGGTGGATCACTTGAGGTCAGGAGTTTGAGACTAGCCTGGCCAACATGGTGAAACTCCGTCTCTACTAAAAATACAAAAATTAGCCGGGCATGGTGGCAGGCACCTGTAATCCCAGCTACTTAGGAGGCTGAGGCAGGAGAATCGCTTGAACCCAGGAGGTGGCGGTTGCAGTGAGCCAAGATTGCGCCACTGCACTCCAGCCTCAGTGACGGAGTGAGACTCCATCTCAAAAAAACAAAAAATTTAGCTGGGCATAGTGGTGGGAAACTCAAGTGGGAGGATGGCTTGAGCCCAGGAAGCGGAGGTTGCAGTGAGCCGAGATTGTGCCACTGCACTCCAGCCTGGGTGACAGAGTGAGACTCTGTCAAAAAAAAAAAAAAAAATCCAGGCTGCAGAGTAGCAGGTGTAACAGAACCGTGCCACACCCCTGGGAATATGGAAGACTCCAGTGGCATATGCAGATCTTGCCTCTGAGTGTTTAGTGAAGTTCTAGATTAATTTAAAAGGTAATCAGGAGTACTTCTGTTATTCTGACTGAGCACTTACTCTCAGTCAGTAAAAGTCAATGCCCATGCTCCGCTCCACCACCTCAGAGGAGAAACTAATTTCCAGTCAGCAAGTTAACAAGTAACATGGTTGCCTCCAAGGTGGGGCAAGGTTCGCCTGTGTGCTTGCTGTCAGTGAGTGTCCAGATTGGGCAGGGGAATGACTGGAGGAGGTAAGAAGCAAATCGGCCGGCACTTGGAAGCACACAGTGTGGACACGGTCCACTGCCTGGAGTTTGTTCAGCAAAGTCCTCCCACTGGCAGCGTGGCCAGGAACTCCCTTCTTCCAGGTGGTGGGGAAGCTTGCCATCTGTGCAGCCTCCTCTGGAGGAGAGTGAGCTGGGGCTCAGATCATAAATGGAGCTTCCGAGCCAGAAAGGTGGCAAATGGGATGAATTCATTTGTTGAGGCTGAGGCCACCCAGTTCTTGCATCCAGGGTCCCTGGCTTGTCCCTTTAGAACACATGAGGAGGTCAGGTGGAGCCAGCGTGAGCTTGAAGTTGGGAGATGGGCTGCATGCGAGTCTAGCACCTGGTACAATGAGTGTACATCTCAGACTCCCAGTCAGTATTTGAGGAATGAACGAATGCACGTTGTGAACTCTGAAGGGTTATGGAAAGGTGAGCAGCAGAGTGTGGAGGCCCTAACTGTGTAGAGGATTTGAGTGTGTAGAAAATTTGACTGTGACAAGGAGCTGACTCCAAGGGCTGAGACTGATTCTTCAGCATCACCTCTTCCACTAAAGGTCAGTCACGCTAAGTTCTTCCCCTCCCCACCCAAGAACCAGGACCTGGAAGGTGGGCTGCATGTTTGGGACAGCGTGTGTTTAGTGCCTGGAGGTAGAAAGGATGTGTGTATCTGCATGCTCACATCTCTGCATAGACAACAGTGCAGGTGGCTCTTGCTGCAGAGGTCCCGTGTGTTGCTAAATCCAACAAGCAGGGGGTTTTTTTGTTTTTTGAGACGGAGTCTCGCTCTGTCGCCCAGGCTGGAGTGCAAAGGCGCAATCTCACTGCAACCTCCGCCTCCCAGGTTCAAGCAATTCTTCTGCCTCAGCCTCCCGAGTAGCTGGGATTAAAGGCACCTGCCACCACACCCAGCTAATTTTTGTATTTTTAGTAGAGGTGGGGTTTCACCATGTTGGCGGGCTGGTCTCAAACTCCTGACCTCAGATGATCTGCCTGCCTCGGCCTCCCGAAGTGCTGGGATTACAGGTATGTTGCGCTCAGCCAACAAGCGGGTTTTATTCTTTTGTCTCCCTCCCCTTGCTGTAGCCTGGAACACAAACACCAGCTCTCTCTCTCACACACACACACATTCACACACACACACACACACACACACACACACTTCCTTGTGTTTCTCCCCAGACTCCCTGCACCCCCGTCATAGATTGCTTGACATCCCTTTTCCCCAGCAAAACACACTGTGTTGCACCTGTTCTGAGGAAGCATCCTGCACTAGCTGTCTGCAGGTGCCCAGCCTATTACAACTCGCACCCCCACCCCTCCACCATTGCAGAGAATGACATGGTGTGGGGCTGGGGAGGGCGTTAGGTCTCCTGGGCAGGGGGTCTCTGCAGCACGTCATTTTCCCTTCTTACAGGAGTGGGGTAGAGGGTGTCTTTGTCGGGTTTCCCAGGAGACAGACTTCGAGCTGGAGAGTTGCATGCAGGATGTTTTTTAGAGACAGCAGGAACAATGCTTGGGAGGGAAAGAGTGAGGGGTGCAGGGATGGGCAGATGGAGACATTGAGCTGTGATGATGTAGTGATAGTGGCCTCAGCCGATCCCATGGTGAGCTCTGGAGCTGGGACAACTCTTCAGAGATGCCGCAAGCAGCCAGGCCTTTGCCTGACTGCTTTAGTGGAAGACTGACCTTTAGTGGAAGAGGTGATGCTGAAGAATCAGTCTCAGCCCTTGGAGTCAGCTCCTAGTCACAGTCAAATCCTAGCCTCGACACTCTGCTGCTGTGTGGACCAGGCATTGGACATAGGCTTTTTCTGGGGAGGGGGTGTGACTGTGCCCCAGGCAGTTCCCTTGCGGAGGGTGGTGTGTGGTGTCAGCATTTGGTATTATTGGGTAGTGGGGAGCTGAGCAGCCCAGGTGTGAAGAAGGGAATCTGCATCCCCAGTGTGTCCCAAACAGGCTGCTGTGACCTGGCCTGACACCCCGGCAGAGTGGAAGAATGCAGAAAACGTTCTCATGCTGCTTCTCCCACAGTTTTTGTGGTTTTTTTTGGCTTTTGTCTGATTATGTTTTTCATGATACCAGGCCTGAGTCCTTTTTTATTTTTTATTTTTTATTTTTTTTGAGACGGAGTCTCGCTCTGTCACCCAGGCTGGAGTGCAGTGGCATGATCTCGGCTCACTGCAACCTCTGCCTCCCAGGTTCAAGTGATTCTCCTGCCTCAACCTCCCAAGTAGCTGGGATTACAGGTGCCTGCCACCATGCCCAGCTAATTTTTGTAATTTTTTTTAGTAGAGATGGGGTTTCACCATGCTGGCCAGGCTGGTTTCGAGCTCCTGACCTCAAGTGATCCAACTGCCTCGGCCTCCCAAAGTGCTAGGATTACAGGCGTGAGCCCCCGCGCCCATCCAGGCCTGAGTTCTTGAGCCTCGGGTGTCAAAGTGCCCATATTTCTGAGGTCAACAGAGAACACTTTAACCCATGGCCATCCTTTCTCTTCTCTTCTCCCAACGGCTCTTTGACATTTTTATTCTCTTTTGTATCTGCCCCCAACTCTGCCAGTCTCATAGAAATTTCCCAATTTTCCTGGTGTAAATGCTTCCACTTGGCTGATTTCATGCTACCAGTGTGATGTCACCGAACATGGGGCTGGGAAGAGGCACAAATATCTGTCTTGTGGGTGGGTTCCAGCACACCCCTGAGTGCAGGTGGGTTTGAACCCCAGGAGAGGGATTCTGGGGTGAGGACTGGAAGCAGCCAGTAGGGCTTGTGGAGTCCCTGGCAGGGATGGGCTTGCCTTCCTCCCTAGGTTCTCAGGGCCTGCACCTGTCTGGGTATTGAATGGCTTCAACTGTGTTTCCATCCTCTTGCCCCCCAATGCTTTTTTGTCCATGGGATGTGCCTCTGGAAGTGAATCTCATTTATATTGACCCAGCTCTTCCCCTCTGTCAGGTTCACTAGAGGTGAATGCAAGGGTTTAGAGAGGTGAGGTTGCAGAGGGAAAAGGTGCCTTCCCAGCAAGGATTCTGCCCTTGGGATATAGCAAGCCTTTGGAAGAGCCCAGCTTGTCTGTCCTGCAGAACTCTTTGAGATGATGCAATAGGATGTCATTTCTGCTCTCCTCCAGTTAGCACAGAGCTGACATTTGGGAATGTGCCCCTTTATGTGTGTGATTTACCCCTGGTTCTCCTCTAATTGCCATGACCACCACAAGCAGTGGGTAGCTTCCCTTCTCCGCATGTTGCTAATGAGAAAACTGGGTCATAGGATTGTTTAAGATTTGTCTAAGACTTGTAGCAAGTACATGGTAGAGCAGGGTTCAAACTCAAATCATTGATTCTAAAGCTTATGCTAAAAACCATTTCACCATATATCCCCTCAGGAATATAGACTGGCATGTGTCCTGTCTTAGGAGGTTAAAAAAAATGAATGATTAAAGTGGTCCTTCAGTTGTACTTTTGTCTTATACATATAATGCTATGGCTTGAATGTGTCCCCCATAAGTTCAGGTATTAGAAACTTAATGGTCGTTATAATGGTATTAAGAAGTGGGACCTTTAAGAGGTGATTAGGCCAGGAGGACTCTGCACTCATGAATGGATTGATGCCATTATTGCAGGAGTGAGCTCCTGGTAAAAGGATAAGTTTGGCCTCCTTTTTCTCTGTCTCTTATGATGGGCATAGGTGCCATGTGATACCTTCCACCACAGGATGACCCTCACCAGATGCCAGTGCCATGCTCTTGGACTTCCCAGCTTCTAGAACCACGACCCAAATAAACATCCTTTCTACATAAATTATCCAGTCTGTGGTATTTTGCTATAATAGCAGAAGATAGACTGTGACACAGTAAATGTCACATGCTGAGTATTATTCTACCTGATCCTCCTGTCTCTACTTGGTACAGAGAAACACAGGTGTGAATATGAGAATGAGTAAGAAACCTCCACTCAGTACTTGCCGAGGTATTTTCTGCAGCTTCTGCACACACATCTTTGCTCTGCATGTTCCATTGTTCCAACATTTCCACTAATTACACATCATGCATCACCCACCCCCGCACCACCAACCTGCCCCCAGTATGTGTCTCTAGTCCTCACACTCTGTGTTACACCTTCAGTTACACCTGGTGTCTTTGCACCTGCATGCTTCCTCACACCTGATGCCTTTACACCTATGAGCATCTCCTTGAAGCCTGTGCTATACATTACCCTTGATATTTGCAATGTGTTACACACACACACACATGTTCTTCCTCTCCCTGGCAGATTTGTGCTACTGAGAAGAATACCACCTCCTCCAAGCAGCCTGTTGAAGCCTCACCAGTTGGGGACTGATAGATATCAACTCCTATTCTCTCTAGAAATGCTATTGAGCTCCATGACTGCATCCCTGGCACCTGTCCAGAAAATATCATTTGGGCACTATCAATTACCATCAAGTTGCTGTTTCAAGGGGCTCTGTGATGGCTGGCACAGGAACAGGACAGGAAGGAGGAAATAAAGTGTTACCCTGTCATCTCAGGGCCTGGCATCCCTCCCCCAGGCACCAAGGGAGGGTGCTTGGAAGTCCCCAGGCTCCTCTCACTTGTCATTTTCTCATGTGGATCACTCTATGCTCCTCATTATAGCATACTCACAGGGCCATTCCCTACTGCACACAGCCCATCGCTCCTGTCTTAGGATTATCAGCATCTCTGCCTTCCTCCAAGCAGTGGCAGCTCCTCAGGAGGTCTGTGGGGTGCAGAAGGGACTGGGGTGTTGGGGCAGTCAATTCACTTTTTCACACTCAGCTCATGAAGTCAACTGAGGTAGTTGAAGAGGAGAAGAATCGGGGTAGAGACCTCAGAGAAGAAGAAGAGGATTGGGGTAGAGACCTCAGCCTGTAGTTCTAGAACCCTTGGCTTGGGGAGTGTCACTTGGATGAACATAGGAAGTATCAATAAATGTCTCCTTAGGGAGAAGAGGCTCCTTCCTTAGGAATGCTGGGATCTTGGGTGAGGAGAAATGAGGGAGAAGTGGGTGGGGAGAGAATGCATTAGAGCAGTGGCTCGCTACTGGGGTCCATTTTACCTTTCACGAGGACATTTGGCAATGTCTGAGAGGCTGTCACGAATAGGCAGGGGTGGGGCGTGAGGTGGGTAGAGGCCAGGGATTCTGTTAAACATCTTCTATGCACTGGATGGCTTCCCACAACAAAGCCATCTGGCCCAAATGTCAATGGTGCCGCAATTGAGAAACCTGGTACTAGGCACATAGGATGGTCCCATGGGCAGAACCACCTCTGCAGAAAGTGAAGGGAAGTCATGCTCCCCATGTGTGGAGTGAGGGAGTGGGGATCCAGAGTGAAGGAGCAGCAGACTTCTAGCCCCGCACAGACCAGACCATTCTTCCCAGGGGACAGGCTCTCCAGGCTGGTGTTGCTTGGTGGCTTCCCACATTCCCAGAAGAAGGGAAAGGCCATGGTATCCTCAGGGCGGGTAGCTGAGAAACCCTGCGGAGCCGGGTGACTTTTGGCTGTTCAGATTCAATCTAGATCCTCCCAATGCACTATTTGTGCACCCATCCAAGTGCTTTCCACCAAATCCCCATCAAAGCGGAGCTAACTGCCCTTCCCCAGTGTCCTTGCCATACCATAGCAACTTCTCTTCCCAGCACTTCCACATTATTATTATTTTTTGAGACAGAGTTTCGCTCTTGTTGCCCAGGCTGGAGTGCAATGGTGCGATCTCGGCTCACCACAACCTCTGCCTCCTGGGTTCAAGTGATTCTCCTGCCTCAGCCTCCCGAGTAGCTAGGATTACAGGCATGTGCCACCATGCCCGGCTAATTTTGTATTTTTAGTAGAGACGGAGTTTCTCCATGTTGGTCAGGCTGGTCTCGAACTCCCGACCTCAGGTGATCCACCCACCTTGGCCTCCCAAAGTGCTGGGATTACAGGAGTGAGCCACTGCGCCCAGCCACTTCCACATTATTATTATTGTTATTATATTATTTTGAGATGGAGTCTTCCTCTGTTGCCCAGGCTGGAGTGCAGTGGCACAATCTCAGCTCACTGCAACCTCCTCCTCCCAGGTTTAAGTGATTCTCCTGCCTCAGTCCCCAGAGTAGTTGGGGTTACAGGTCCCTACCACCGCACCCGGCTAATTTTTTTTTGTATTTTTAGTAGAGACGGGGTTTAACCATGTTGGCCATAGTTGGCCAGGCTGGTCTCGAACTCCTGACCCAAAGTGATCCGCCCACCTCGGCCTCCCAAAGTGCTGGGATTAAGGCGTGAGCCACCGCGCCCAGCCCACTTCCACATTATATTGCGTATTCGCTTCTTGGTGTTTCCCATTAGACTCCTCCTGGATGGCTGCGTTTCATTCATCCCTCTGTCCCCAGCACCTGGTTTGTCCATTGAGCACCTACGGCATGTCAGGCACTATTTGTGGACAGAATGGACAGATACCCTCATGATTTCAGTAGATGTTGGCAATTAACACGTTTTCGTCTAGGCAGTTATTTTCCTTGTAAGAGCCACTCCTTTCCCGCTCTTTATGGCCCCGGAAAGGCTGATGGGGTTTGGGCAAATTCATGGTCTTCTGTTGATAGAGGGAGGGTCTCTTTGACATTCCCATGGGTGCTGCAAGGATATAGGTTTGGGCCTGTTGGCAACCATCTTTCCTACATATGGAATAAATCACTGTGAAGATAAGGCCACATCCCAAGGGCAGTGGCATTGAGAGGTGGAGCAAAGACAGTACCTTGTGAGCATCTTTGCGCCCTTGGATCTGACCAAATTTGAAGCCAGTCCTGCCTTTGGATATTCTGGTTTTTGCTTTGTGTTAGGGTTCTGTCACTTACCCCTGCACCTCTCCTGATTAATACAGAGATGCTGCTTGGGGGCAGAAGCCAGCTTGTGTTCACTTTCTCCATCTTCATTGCAGCATTCTACGTAATAGATGTTTCCTAAATGTTCACTGGTTGACTAATAGCTAGTGGGGCAGATTCCTTCTGGCCAAAGGCTCTAGCCTGAGAACAAAATCTATATGTATGTGGCCGAGATAAGACCAAGATAAGGGATTGTTGAGGGAGTGGCCTGGGAATGGAAACAGCCAGAGAGCTGACTGAGAACCGAAGATTCCCAGCCACCTGGGAGGGGCCTGTTCCTGATCTGTGGTGTGTCCTCTCTAAGGCTCAATTTTCACACTGTTTCACAGAGTGGCTGGGAAGTTCAAATAACAGCAATTAATTTGGATAGAAGCGTTTTATGAATGCATGAGTGTAAGGACATCCCTTTTACTGCCCCTGGAATTGGGCTCAGTTCAGGGACACTGATCATCTCTGGAAGAGTGGCTACTGGGTAGACTGTCCCTAAGAGGGTATAGGCTTTGCTTCTTCTGTCCTCTCTTCCCTGGAGCCTTCTAGAAGAGCAAGTCCCCAGGGCTTTACGCAGCTCTTGAAGTGGGAGGATGGGGTGGGTGGAGCTCCTTACTCTTGAACAGGTCAAGCTTCAGGCTGGGATCACACTTCAGCTCTCACTGAAGGCTGAGAATAAGAAAAGTTAGTTGCCAATCAGTAGACATCCCCTTGAGGGAGGCTGAGTGTTTACAACAGCAACCCTGCCAGATGGCAGTATCATCTCCACTACACAGGGGAGGAAACCCAGGCTTCGGAGGTTAGATAAGAAGCCCAGGCTTAGCTAGAAAGGTGTGGTTGGGAGTGAAAGTGAAGGATTTTTTTTGTTTGTTTTGCTTTTTTTTTTAATCTAAAGACGATAACCCCCAAATTCCACAATTTTCCTTTAATAATAGCTTACCATTTAATATGCATTTGTTAAATGCTGGGCCCTTGCCAAGGACTTTACATATATTGTTTTTATTAGGCTTTCCAAATAATCCCATACAGCAGTTATTTTTATCCCTATTTTACAAATGGGAAAGGTGAGGCTCAGGAAGTCCAGGTGGAAATGTACTCAGTGGGCAAATGGTGGAGGCAGGCTCGCAGTCCAGTCTGGCTGGTCCCAGGACTGGTCTTCTTTGGAATCTTTTTCCTGGAACCGATTCCACGGGCCTCTTTCAGGAGTCCAGGGCTCTCCTCGCAGTCTCTGGCTGCTCGGCGACTTCCCTAAATCCCTTTGAGGCGCCGGGCCCACCTCCAAGCAGATTTCATGGGAAAGGCTGCCACCTCGTGGCCAGATGGCAAACCCAACATTTGCCGGGAGGAGGCGAGGGCTGGTGAGGGAGGGGCTTTGTGGAGCAGCTGGTGCAGCCTTGCTTTCCGAGGGCGGCGTGCAGCCACAGTGCCCGCTGCGGGTGCTGGGGAATGGCGCCTTACAGGCTGCCCACCTGCCTCCTCAGGGTGGAAGGCGGGGCTTGGGTGTGAGCGTGCTGAATCAGAACTTTCCTGGAAAGTCGCCACTTGGTGTGGTCAGAGGATCACTGAAGTAAGTAAGTAATCAGAATATCCCTTCTCCCTAATTGTTTCACCTGGCTGGTCGTGGAGGAGGGAGAGGCGAAGGAGAAGGAATGGTGCATGCACTGGAGAGAGGATCCTTGGCCGGGATCTGTTCTCGGTGTTCCACCCCGTATAGACCCTGTCCCCAACTCTGGGCAAGTTACAGAACCTCGTCCTCATTTCCCAAATCTGAGCCGGTTTGAGGAGCGCTCCCTCTGTTCTGACCGCCCCAGCCTTCCTTCAAGCCCTCATCCAGACTGTTGCAGATTCTCCCGGGCTCTGGGCCTTCTGCCACTCTTCTCTCTCCACTTTGCAAACCCAAAGATTCCCTAATCGTGTTTCTCCCTATGTACAAGAGTCACACTGATGTCCCTCATGACCTGGCAGGAGAATACCCAGCTTCTTAGCCTGACTGTTATTCCTGCCTCCTTCCCTCCAACAAACCTCATCTCTGGCTGTGCCCTTCCCGCTGAGCTCCAATCCCCTGCTCCTCATTTCGGGCTGCAGGTGAAACTCACCTACCCACGATCAGACCTTTCTTCCAGAGGTCCTGATCTAATTGGCCTGGGACCCGTGTCTAGCGCGCTCGCCGGTGGTTCTAATCCTTAGCACCTGCCCCGGCCTCTCTGAACTTCTCACCTGTCTCTTTGCATATTTCTTCTCCTTCCTGCTACCCCCTCCTGCCTTGTCTGTCTTGCATTCTCTTACTTGCCAGTGCCCAGCTCAAATGCTTGTGGAGGCTGGGCACGGTGGCTCATGTCTGTAATCCCAGCACTTTGGGAGGCTGAGGCAGGTGGATCACCTGAGGTCAAGAGTTCGAGACCAGCCTGGCCAGCATGGTGAAACCCCATCTCTACTAAAAATACAAAAATTAGCCGGGCGTGGTGGTGGGCATCTGTAATCTTAGCTACTTGTGAGGCTGAGGCAGGAGAATCACTTGAACCTGGGAGGTGGAGGTTGCAGTGAGCCGAGATTGCACCATCGCACTCCAGCCTGGGCAACAGAGCAAGACTCTGTCTCAAAAAAAAAAAAAAAAAAAAAAACAACAAAACTTGTGGAGAGAACTCATACTCCTGTCCTCTGGACATCATGTGTTTGCTCATCACTTGTGTGCCAGCCCTGAGCCTACTGTGCTGTAGTGATTGATTGGCTTGTGAGTTTGTCTCACACTTTAGACCATGTTTTATTTATCTTTGTCTTCCCAGCTTCTGACAGTGCCAGGGACAAAATTGTGCTTGGTGACTCTGAAAGTAGAATGCCTGAACAGATGTCCCTTGTTCACATGGCTAGTCTTCACATGGCTGAGACCCTCCACTTTCCAGATGTCACCCTTTCTGAAAAGCCCTTGAAGCCATGAAGAAGGTCCACACACTGAAAGTACTTGTTCAAGTTACCCAGGCCCAGGAGAGGGGAGAAGCTGAGATTGCTCTTGAGGACATGAGATTTGAGGGAAGATCTTTCTCCATCTTCCCAGCTCCCGCATACAAATCTCTCCCCCTGTGAAAATTGTTATGCTTCAATTTCTACTCTTAGAAAAATCAGTGTTTGGAAGAAAGTTTCTAAAATAATAAAAATGAGGTTGGGCACGGTGACTCACGCCTGTAATCCCAGCACTTTGGGAGACCAAGGTGGGCAGATCACTTGAGGTTACGGGTTCGAGACCAGCCTGGCCAACATGGTGAAACCTTGTCTCTACTAAAATTACAAAAAATTAGCCGGGCATGGGGGCAGGCTCCTGTGGTCCCAGCTACTTGGGAGGCTGAGGCAGGAGAATTGCTTGAAACCATGAGGTGGAGGTTGCAGTGAGCCGAGACTACGCCATTGCACTCCAGCCTGGGGAATAAGAGTGAGATTCCGTTTCAAAAAAACAACAAAAAAAGAACATTTATTGAGTACCACATATCCATGATACAGGCAATATCTCATTTAATCATCAAAGCAGCCATCCTCATCCCTGACCAATGATGGACTATTATATAAGTGAGAAGCTTTTCTTCTGCTAACTTGAGTTTATCTCTTAACACAGCGTATGATATTTACCTTAATTAGCACATGTGACCTTCCCAAGTTTCCATGTTCGTTTAGTGAGTGGTAGAGTCAGGACTGGTTCCTAGGTGGTCTGACTTCAGAGTGCATGATCTTCACTAACCCATAGGCTGTACCGCCTTTCCAGAATTCTTTTTTTTTTTTTTTTTTTTCGAGATGGAGTCTCGCTGTGTCGCCCAGGCTGGAGTGCAGTGGCGCGAACTCGGCTGACTGCAAGCTCTGCCTCCTGGGTTCACGCCATTCTGCCACCTCAGCCTCCCGAGTAGCTGGGACTACAGGCCTCCGCCACCACGCCCGGCTAATTTTTTGTATTTTTAGTAGAGATGAGGTTTCACCATGTTAGCCAGGATGGTCTCGATCTCCTGACCTTGTTATCTGCCCGCCTCGGCCTCCCAAAGTGCTGGAATTACAGGCATGAGCCACTGCGCCCGGCCCGCCTTTCCAGAATTCTGTATCAGTCTGTCCTGGTCATGCAAGGACTGGCCCATGGAAAGGCGGGAAAGGATTTCTGCCCCGAGCCTGTTTCCTTCTCCCTTAATATGTGTTTGTGTAGTGTGTTATAAGAGCCTGGCCTAGGTGTAGCAGAAAACCCATGGATAATTGAAAGATGGTTAAACCAAAAGAGGAGAGTTTCAGGCCTGGGTGGCATTCTGGTGACATGTGGTTCCCTTTGTGACACACTATTTGCCCACCCTTTGGGTCTATCACCCTTTGGGTCTACCCAAGAGGCTGGATGGGGCAGAGAAGCCACAGGCCGAGTGAGATCCCCCGGCTTCTGGCCTGGTGTGAACTCCCTGTCCTGGTGGGCACTGCTGGCTGCATCTACTGCAGGAGGATAAAACACAGTGGCCAGTCCGCACGAAGCTCCCACCAAACCAAGATTTGAGCGGTCCTCATGACCCACTGGAAGCTGTTCTGTGAGATTTCTCCAAGTACTCCTGACACCAGCCAGATTAAACAAGGCAGGCAGCAGCTGGGCCCAAGCAACTCAAAGACAGAGAAGCTGTCTGTCTCCTGCTTCCCATCCTCCTCCTGAAGGGAAACAGCCCAAACTCATGGCCCTGGGGAGATGCGGCTGTTCACATGTCCTTCCAGAGGGAAGTGCTCTGGGCCATTTTCATTGCCTGCTTGCTTTACTAAGTCATCACTGGCTCTGCTAGTGACGCTAGGAGGGCTTGTGAAGTCCGGTACCTGGGTTCAAGCAGGCCAGCCCTGCTTCTCTCTTTCTTTCCTTCCACCTGTGGGTGATGGGACCACAGGAGGCCTTAGACTTCCTGGAGAGGGTTTGGAATTGGCCACAGCTGGGCTGGAATCTGATCCCACCACTTACCCGCTGGGTGATGGTGGCCTCAGATTTCTCACCTCCAAAGTGAAAGATACTAGGAGCTCATCCGGGGCATGCATCCAGTCAATTTTTTAAAAACTAGCTTTAGCTTAGGTTGATGGCTTTCTTGGCCTCCTCCTTCATCTCACCTAGGTGACCACATTGGCTTCCCCTCCCTGTCCTCCACACTGCAGCCACAGCACTTTTTATGAAATCAAAACTCACAACTTTATTGCTTTGCACATAAAAAAAAAAATCGAACCTCTAACTGTGTCTTGTGAACCCTGCCATCCTCTCCTGTGCTCGGGCCTAACCACCCACCTTCTGTGTCCTTCTTTTTTTTTTTTTTTGACACGGAGTTTTGCTCTTGTTGCCCAGGCTGGAGTACAGTGGCACGATCTTGGCTACCTGCAACCTTCGCCTCCCAGGTTCAAGCAATTCTCCTGCCTCAGCCTCCCGATTAGCTGGGATTATAGGCATGTGCCACCATGCCCGGCTAATTTTTGTATTTTTAGTAGAGATGGGGTTTTGCCATGTTGGCCAGGCTAGTCTTGAACTCCTGAACTCAAGTGGTCCGCCCGCCTTGGCATCCCAAAGTGCTGGGATTACAGGCATGAGCCACCACCCCCAGCCCATTTTCACTTCTTGATGCCATGCTTTTCCTACTGTCTGTCCACTCCTGCCCATAGTTTCATGAGGCAAGGGCCCATGGGTGTCTACTCACCTCTCTTACCCAGAACTTAGCCCAGAACTTCCCCCTGGCACGAGGGAAGCTCTCAAGAAAATGTCATTGAATGAATGAAACGTGAGGACGAACTAAAATATTGCATGCAGAGCCCTTAGCACTATGCTGGGCACCAAGTAAGCACCAATAAATGTTAGCAATTAATGATAGTATTATTCTAACTTTAGGAGTGATGTAAAACAAAAGTTATCCAAACCAGCAGTGCTTTTCTTATTGGGTTGTCCCAAATAGGCAAGATTTGGGGTAAGTTGATGTAGTCTGGAAAGAAATATGAAAGCACACACACACACACATGCGCGTGCACGCGTCTCCCGGTGTAGTGAATGCTCCCCTTTAATTTCTGCCAGCATCTCTCAGAACTAGAATGTGGTTGCAGGGAGGAGCCTGAATGTCCCAGGAAGGCTAGAGGGATCTGTCCATGCTTGGGGAGGCTCTGAGGGTCCTCACTGCCCACCCACACCACATGCAGACTGTCCACCTCTGCTCCATGCAGAGAAAAGGCTGCAGATGCAGGCAGAGTTAGCTCTAGAATTGGGGAGCACTAAGATACCTCTAACAAAAGCTCCTCCAGGCAGGGCACCGTGGCTCACGCCTGTAATCCCAGCACTTTGGGAGATTGAGGCAGGTGGATCACCTGAGGTCGGGAGTTCGAGACCAGCCTGGCCAACATGGTGAAACCCTGGCTCTACTAAAAATACAAAAATTAGCCAGGTGTGGTGGTGCACCTGTAATCCCAGCTACTCGGGAGGCTGAGGCAGGAGAATTGCTTGAACCCAGGAGGTGGAGGTTGCAGTGAGCCGAGATCATGCCATTGCACTCCAGCCTGGGCAACAGAGTGAGACTCTGTCTCACAAAAAAAAAAAAAAGAAAAGAAAAAAGCTCCCCCAGGTGTTCAAAATACCAGCTCAGCCTCCACACGTTTGGGCAGCTCCTCTTTTTCTCCAGTAACGCTTGCCTTTTTCTCATCTCAAATCATTTCCACACAAGACCAGTGTCCACAGGAGTTTTAGAGACTTTATTTATGTATAAACAATTTAAACACTTTGCCATAAATTATCTTTGCCTGTCCCTAGTCTTTGCTTAGCAGCAAATTAAAATTAATATAAAAACTCGATGAACAATTCATACATGTATATTACAAAAAAGTTCCTGTACCAAAGTTCTTATTAGACTTTATTTTTGTTTTTTTAATTTTTAAAATTTTTTTTGTTTTTATTTTTATTTTTTAAATTTTCTCTCCTCGTGGTGACTGTCATGTGATTGTCTCAGTTTCTGGACCAAACAAACACACTAATAATTTTAAATCTGAAACAGTGATTGTGCCTTTCGGCTCATGTATGTACAGGGTGATCAGAAGTGGTACCTGTTAGCAAAAGTGTCACGATGCTGCACCTCTACCGAAACTGATACCCACGAACTACGGAATCTAAACAGACTACACCCTGTAACTGCGTATTACTGTCCACAATGGAATCTCCAAAGACAAAAGAGTATGAAATTTATCTGTAGTGATTATAGCCACCATTTTGAATTAAATTTTACACTCTGCGCTCAAATAAATTAGCTCAGGCCAGACTTAGTTGGGACCTGAGAGTTAAGTGCTGGATGGTATTATTTCACTTTGATTTTTGATAGGAATTTCTTTTATTCCCTCATGTTTTTTTTTCTTTAAAAAGTATTTCCAGTGCTCACTCCTCCTCTTTTATCCCCCCTCCCCAGGCGCTACACACAAATCACCCCCAAAGTCGTGTTTTAAATGCACCTGTATTTGCTTAAACGAAAATGTCAGAAGTATTTGTCCTACAAGCAGTCTGAGTGGTTTGTCCCGCAGCTGGTCTGGTGACGCTGGCCCTCGCGGATGTCTGCGTGTCGCTCACATGTGAATGAGTGAGGTAATTGGATATGAGGCCTTCTTTCTTATCTTCGCTTCTTTGTTTATTGGTCCGTGTGTTTGTTTTGTTTTGTTTTTGTTTGTTTTCTTCTTTGCTTATTCGTTTTTGTTCTTTTGTTCCTTTTGGACACTTTGCGTCTCTTTTCTGCGTAGACCCAGAACAAGTGGGTCATATTTTAGGGGAACTTGGAACATTGTGTGTGTCTGTTCATTCATTCGTTTGTTTTGTTTTCCTCGGAATTTTCAGCCGGGCTTTAGTCTACTTCAGGATGAGGGACTTCTCGCTTGGACAGTAGCATTTGAACTCAAAAAATGTGAGCTTTCTTGCCACTTGGTCTCCTAAAGCAGCCCAGCCGCAGTGCCCCTGTTAGGTCTTCATCTCCTTAGGAGAGGAGATAACAGTTACTCCTGCTGAGCCATTCAGACAAGGAATGGCAGCAGATTATTTTGTTACCTCTTTCCCATCTCATTCTGTCTTAAAAACTGGATGTTGCTGCTACTGTCTGCAAGCTCTGGGTATTGCTCCACGGGAAGCACGTAATATCCCTCGTACCCTTGCACGCGCCCGGTGCTCAGAAGCTGCTGCTTCTCGCCCTCAGTCCACAGGCGGCTCCCCTCTCTCCCGTCCCTGGCTTTCTGCTGCTCCTTGGCCCAGGCCGTGCCCAGGGCCCTCTGTCTCGCCTGGTCCAGGACGCGGGCCTTCTCTTCGTCCAGGGTGTCGGGGGTGAGGCCATAGCGGATGCTGAGCAGCAGCGTGGAGTACTGGAACTCAATGTTCGTGAACCTTCGAGTCCTGCCGTTGACCAGCAGCGTGGGCTGGGACACGGTCACGTTCACCCCGCTCTCTAGCACCTTGCGGCCGATGGTGGTGCCTAGTGTGACCAGGTCGCCATCGGCTGAGCCAATCTTCACAAAGTAGTGGGTGTCCTTGCCCTCGATGCTGTAGTGCATCTTGTCCAGGTAGTAGGCGTTGTTCAGCACAGATGCCACCTTGCGGCTATCTTCGCTGGCGATGCTGGACACGCCCGTGGTCACCCGCCCTTCTTTGATGGCAAACATGATGCCTTTGCCAATGATGGGCGTGGTGGTGGCAAACCAGTGACCTGCTTTCTCTCGGATGCTGGCGTGGAGCTTTTTAGTAATGACCTGTCCTTCCAGAGCCATGAAGGCCTGGTTATGTCTCTCTGTTGTCTGTTGGACACCTGTAATGAGCTGTGGGGATAAGAAAACAGAGAAAGCTGAGAAGATGAGCTGGGCAGCTCTCTCAAAAAGAGTCACAAAGAGAAAGGCTTGGAACTCTCCTGCAAGAACTAGTGTTGGGTCTATCCAGATCTGAGCTGTTGGGAGTCCTACCTTTTGGAACTATGGTTGGCTGGTTGATTACCAGTGCTCTGAACTATGGATGGCTGGTTGATTACTAATGCTCTGATGGTGTGGTCTGTCCATCTTGCAATTGCCACTAACTAAAAAAATGGTAAAGGAGGTTCACCCTTTGCTGGCATGGGCACCTGGACCTACACACTTACCGGGTCATGCCACCACTCGGGAAGTGCCCTGTTCTGTACTCTGATGGTTGGCAACTGCCTTGCCCGCTTTAGACCCAGGAATGTCCTGATGCGAAGGGCAGGATGTTGATTTGAACAGCCTCGAACCCCACCACTGTAAGCTAGATTTCCTGGAGGCCAATGACTTGGATATTCATTAACTTCCTTGGGTTAAGACCTTGCCACTCAAAGTATAGCCAGCAGCAGAGGAATCACTGGGACCTGCCCTGTTCAAAAAGCAGAATCTCAGGCCTCACTCCAGAACTACTGAGTCAGAGGCTACGTGTGAACAAGATGCCTTGGGTGATCTGTGTGCATATGAACATTTGAGAAGCACCAGGCTGAGAGAGTCAGGCTTTGAGGGCCAGAGGGAATATCCCCTGGCTTTGAGGCAGTTGTTTTGGATCCTCGCCCTGGTTCTGCAGGGGATGAAATCACCATTATCTCCTTGGCCTTGAGTTCTCCACTCGCAAATTACAACTTGTCTCAATTGGTGGTTGGGGGACAGGCTGGGATAATGGGAGAGGCTGCGTTTGGGAGGTAACGGCACTTAGATAAATGAGAGAAATGATGGCTATTCATCCACTGAGTGGTCCCCAAGGGGCAGGACTGAGTGAACGCTGTTCTCAATTACCCAGCAGCTCCTCCTTGCCTCTCTATAGTTACACAATCTGGACAATTATTCAGAGCAGCTGAGACCTTTCAGACTTTGATAGTGCTGAGCGCCGGTTCTGTAGCAGGGGTTATCTGAACGCCTCCCATCTGATTGTAGCAGAGGTCTCAGCTGCACCCAGATGGAAACTGACCACCCCTCGGTCATCGCAGAAAGACCCAAGCACAAATTATGTTCTGAAAACTCAATCTGTATATGCTTGGCCATAAAGCGCCGAGGTTTTATGTGGGGCATAAAAATGTTCTTTAATGGGACAGAAACTGCAAACCACAGTTTTATGACATCCCATAAAAGCTGAAAGGGTTATGATCTTATAGGCAGTGCAGATGGTAGGTTGCTGCTAGATTTCTCTGTGCTGTTGTTAATCAAGGAGTGACTCAAAGGTATTCTACTGAACAGATAATGATACCACAATTAAGGCAATAATCGAAGTTGGGAAGAAATATGTGCTGTGCCAGACAGGCGACAGCACTGACATTCGCTTTCCTGGGAAGTCTCAATGTGTCCTGCACCTTTTATACCCAGCTCCAATGTTTTCCTGCGCTGACATGCCCCTGGCTCCCATGAGGTTCTGTTTGCAAAAGGGAATGATGACAATCATTTGGATTCTTGGCAGGAACCTCTGCTTACCTGTCCATTCTCACTTGCTTGACTCTCTGACAATTCATAGGGAGGAGGCACGAAATACATTTTGGCTCTCGGGAAGCCAGGAATGATGTTGCTAAGCTGAAATCCAAACATCACAAGCCAGCTTTTCACATCTATGGTGGAAAACAAAAATAAAGGTTTCTGAAATCATGATGGATGGAGAGCAGCAGCAGAGCTTAAAGAGAGAACAAAATAAAATGGGTGGTTGGGTGTAGGGCCCAAAGGGGAGGGAGGAAGAGCTTATGACTGTCTCCTGAGTCCAGACCCAGGGCTTCCATACATGGGTTTTAGGAAGCAGATATCAAACTTGGTCAGTTGATAACCACCATGTGGTGATTAAGAAGACCCTTGCTCAAGTAAGACAGATCTAGCTTCGAATCCCCTGGCTGTGTGACCTTGGGCAAGTCCCAGCCCCACTCTGAGCCTTAGGTTCCTCAGATATGAATTGGGATAATAATTGTGTCGGTCTCATTGGGTTGTTATGAGGATCAAAGGAGAAAATCCACATAAAAGGCTTTTCGCAGTGCCTGGCACATTAACTGCTCAATAAATATCAACTCCTTTATTTAGCAAGTGTTTAAGGGAGCATCTATCACAGGCCACGCAGTGTGTTTAGAGGCTGGATATACAGGATGGACTGGAGGGATAAGTGATGATTCTTACTGTTGTGCAGGCCTTTTGGACTGGGGCCACTGCACTGAGGCTGGCTCACTATGGAAAGGGGTTTCCAAGAGCTGGACACAGATGGAAAGCAGAGTCCTCTGGACCATGAGAGGCTTTCTCCAGCCTTCCTACTCTCTTTTTTTTTGAGATGGAGTCTTGCTCTGTTGCCCAGGCTGGAGTGCGGTGGCGCAATCTCAGCTCACTGCAAACTCCGCCTCCCAGGTTCAAGCAATTCTCCTGCCTCAGCCTCCCAAGTAGCTGGGATTACAGGCATGCGCCACCACACCTGGCTAATTTTGTATTTTTCAGTAGAGACAGGGTTTCTCCATGTTGGTCAGGCTGGTTTCGAACTCCCGACCTCAGGTGATCCGCCCTCCTCAGCCTCCCAAAGTGCTGGGATTACAGGCATGAGCCACCGTGCCCGGCCCAGCCTTCCTACTCTTTAAAGAGAAACCAAGAAAGGGTACTGACTGCCCAGAGTAAGACCACCTGCCACACAGGCCAACATCAAGTCCTTGCATTGGGAATTATGCCACCTGCCCCAAGTGTCCTGCCCTCTGCTGAATGGTCTAGGTCCTTAGAAAAAGACTCCTTCCACACTGATCAATAGAGATTCCTGGATGTCCGTGCCTTGAAACACTCACTCAGCCTCCTGAGTAGCTGGGATTACAGGTGCCCGCCACCACGCCTGGCTCATTTTTGTATTATTATTAGTAGAGGCGGGGCTTTGCCATGTTAGCCAGGCTGGTCTCCAACTCCTAACCTCAGGTGATCCTTCCACCTTGGCCTCCCAAAGTGCTAGGATTACAGGTATGAGCCACTGTGCCTGGCCTAATCATTTCCCTTTAAAAAAAAAAATGTAAAACTCATATAAAATTCACCATTTGAAAGTGCACAATTCAGTGGTTTCCAGTACATTCACAATGTTATGCAACCATCATTACTAATTTCAGAACATTTTCATCACCTCCCAAAGCCCCTCATACCCATTAGTAGTCACTCTGCATTACCCCTCCCACAAACTGCTTTCTGTCTGTATGGGTTTACCTGTTTTGGACATTTGACATGAATGGAATCCCATGATACATGGCCTTTTGTGTCTGGCTTCTTTCACTCAGCATGATGTTTTTAAGGTTCTAAGTTTCATCCATTGTGGAGCATGCAGTGTGCTTTGTTTATCCATTTACCAGTTGATACATATTTGGGTTGTTTCCACTTTTTGGTTTTTTTTTGAGACTGAGCCTTGCTCTGTCACCCAGGCTGGAGTGCAGTGGCGCGATTTCGGCTCACTGCAACCTCCGCCTCCTGGGTTCAAGTGATTCCCTTGCCTCAGCCTCCCGAGTAGCTGGGACTACAGGTGCATGCCACCACACCCGGCTAATTTTTTGTATTTTTAGTAGAGACAGGGTTTCACCATGTTAGCCAGGATGGTCTCCATATCTTGACCTCGTGATCTGCCCGCCTCGGCCTCCCAAAGTGCTGGGATTACAGGCATGAGCCACTGCACCCGGCCTGTTTCCACTTTTTTACTATTATGAATAATGCTGCTATAAACATTCCTGCACAAAGTTTTGTTTGAAAGCCTGTTTTCCGTTTTCTTGTGTGTATGTGTAGGTGTGGAATTGCCGGGTCATGCAGCTAAATCCTTTACTTTTACTTTCACAATAGGTCCTGAGTATGTGTCTCCTCTCGCCACTTCCACTGCCTCTACTCAGTTCAGCACCTCCCGAGGGATGTCTAACTGGCCTCCATGCTTCCGCTCTGCACCCCACATTCCTTATCAGCACAGCAACCTGAGTGAGCCTTTCAATCAGGAGCTGGCCGGGCACGGTGGCTCACGCCTGTAATTCCAACACTTTGGGAGGCCAAGGCAGGCGGATCACCAGGTCAGGAGGTTGAGACCAGACTGTCCAACATGGTGAAACTCCGTCTCTACTAAAAATACAAAAATTAGCTGGGCGTGGTGGCGGGTGCCTGTAATCCCAGCTACCTGGGAGGCTGAGGCAGGAGAATCGCTTGAACCCGGGAGGCAGAGGTTGCAGTGAGCAGAGATCGTGCTACTGCACTCCAGCCTGGCAACAGAGTGAGACTCCGTCACAAAAAAAAAAAAAAAAAAATCAGGAGCTGCCCATGACATTCCTGAGAAGTTCAGAGCACCCCAGGGTCTCCCCACTTCTTTCATTGAAAAAGCCAAAGTCCTTCTAATGGCCTGGAAGGGCCCTCTCCACGACCTGTCTGACCACATCTCCCATGCTCTCCCTCGCTCCTGCCTCTGTGCTGTTCTTTGAATATGCCAGGGATGCACTCATCTCACCACCTTTATGTTGGTAGGCCCTCTGCCCAGCGGGCTTTTCCCTAAACGTATCCTCTGCCTCTCTTGCTCTCCCTCCTCTTTTCAGTCTTGCTCAGACTCTGCCTGCCCGGTAAGGCCAACCCCAACTGCCACCCCCCATCCCCACCTCTTGCAATCCCTAGTCCCCTTACCTTGCTCATGTCCCCCCAAAACAACAGTCACATTCTTCTAACATGCTGTGTCATTTCCACATTTATTGTATTTATGGTCTCTTTCACTCCAGCTTGCCTGGTGAAGGCAAGCTCCACCAGCATGGGGAGTTTAAAAACCTGTTTTCTTCATTGATGTCTCCCTAGGCCCTACAACAATGCCTGGCACAAAATAGGTGCTCCGTAAGTATCTATAGAATGAATGAATGAATGAGCACAGGACATATGTGGCAAGAGCTACCCTGACTAGTAGTAGTGTGACAGTGGATCTGTCTGTGCCTAAGAACACACTTCTGAAGGGGCTCAGGCATAACTACCTTCTGCCCTGGGACTACTGTGAGGTATTTAACGTTGACATTGCTGCCAAAAATATGGATATATAAGAACCCTCTAAGGAGAAGGAATCTGGGAGCTTTGATCTATCCACCTTCCTTGGGCACAGACTAGTCATTGAAAGACTTGGCATCTACACACATAACAATAGTCCATTTAAGAAACAGGTTTGAGGCCGGGCGAGGTGGCTCATGCCTGCAATCCCAGCATTTTGGGAGGCCGAGGCGGGTGGATCACCTGCGGTCAGGAGTTCAAGACCAGCCTGGCCAATATGGTGAAACCTCGTCTCGACTAAAAACACAAAAAATAGCCGGGCGTGGTGCACGCAGCTGTAATCCCAGCTACTCAGGAGGCTGGGGCAGGAGAATCACTTGAACCCGGGAGGTGGAGGCTGCAGTGAGCTGAGATTGTGCCATTGCACTTCAGCTTGGGCAACAGAGCAAGACTCCGTCTCAAAAAAAAAAAAAAAAGAATACAAGTTTGAAATTCCCTTAAAAAGTACGTTAATATCAAGCAGAGAGAAGCCTGGCTTTAATCTGGCAACAGCCATATATTTACAGAGCATCTACTATGTACCAGGTAGGTCCTGGGTGGAGAGCACTGGTTTCTCAACTTTGAATATTCATGGCCACCTGTTGCTAAAAATATATATACATATATATACACATATATATACATATAGACATATATATATATTTGCCATATCTAGGTATCACTTGTATTATTATTTATTTACTGATTAAAAAATAAATTTGCCTTTCCATTTAGGTAAATCCATTAAAAAAATAAATTCTAGCCAGGCGCGGTGGCTCACGCCTGTAATCCTAGCACTTTGGGAGGCCGAGGCGGGCAGATCACGAGGTCAGGAGTTCGAGACCAGCCTGACCAACATGGTGAAACCGTGTCTGTACTAAAAATACAAAAATTAGCATGGCATGGTGGCGCCTGCCTGTAATCCCAGCTACTCAGGAGGCCGAGGCAGGAAAACTGCTTGAACCTGGGAGGTGGAGGTTGCAGTGAGCCGAGAGTATGCCACTGCACTCCAGCCTGGGAGACAGAGTGAGACTTCGTCTCAAAAAATAAAATAAAATAAATAAATAAAAAATAAATTTTATGTCACTACCATGAATGGGAAAGTAGGCTTACTTGGCGTAAACAGAAAATAACTGTAAAATTAAAACAAAGAAAACAAAGTCAAGCAATTAAATTAGAGTACTTGATTTTGTTACCTGCCACTGAGGGAGACTTAGACCTGCTCTCTCTGTTGAAAAGGGAGATTAGAACTGTTAATGAGGCCAGGCGTGGTGGCTCATGCCTGTAATCCCAGCACTTGGGAGGCTGAGGTGGGTGGATCACCTGAGGTCAGGAGTTCGAGACCAGCTTGATCAATATGGTGAAAGCCCGTCTCTACTAAAGATATACAAAAAAATTAGCTCAGCTTGGTGGTGGGCACCTGTAGTCCCAGCTCCTCAGGAGGCTGATACAGGAGAATTGCTTGAAACCAGGAGGTGGAGGTTGCAGTGAGCCAAGACCGTGCCACTGCACTCCAGCCTGGGTGACAGAGGGAGACTCTGTCTCAAGGAAAAAAAGAAAAAAAAAGAAGTGTTAATGAGGTGTAAATACATACCAGCATCAAGTGAGACTTTCTCCTCTGAATTGAAAGAATTAAGAGAGCATTGAAAAGGGACTATCTCTCCCCATCTGTGTTTTTTTGTTACTTAATACTTCATCTGTATACCACATCAAATCGTCCCATCTTTCACCAGGGATAGGGTATGTAGGGAATTCCAAGAAAAGCAAGAGAAGTCCTTGTCCTTTTTTCTTTTCTTTCTTTCTTTCTTTTTTTTTTTTGAGACAGCGTCTTGCTCTGTCACCCAGGCTGGAGTGCAGTGGTGTGACCTCGTCTCACTGCAACCTCTGCCTCCCAGGTTCAAGAGATTCTCCTGCCTCAGCTTCTCTAGTAGCTGGGATCACAGGCACGCACCACCATGCCCCGCTAATTTTTGTATTTTTAGTAGAGAAGGAGTTTTGCTATGTTGGCCAGGCTGGTCTTGAACTCCTGACCTCAGGTGATCCACCTGCCTCAGCCTCCCAAAGTGCTGGGATTACAGGCGTAAGCCACCGCAACTGGCTGAGAAGGCCTTGTCTTTAGAAGACTCTCCTCATTGGGATCTTTTTCCTCCAGGGATCTCTCTCTCCCTAGCTCAGGATCCCTTGAGGAGGTGAAAGTGATGTTAAGAGCCCTCCTGCCTCTGTGACCAGGAATTTCAATGGCCATTCCCATGAACAGCAATCCTTATGTCCTAGTTCTTGTAGTTCTTCTTTCTCTTCTTCTTCCTTCCTCTTACTTTTCTTTCTATTCTTCCTCTTCCTCCCTTTCTTCCTCTTCCTCCCCTTCTTCCTCTTCCTCTTCCTCCCCTTCTTCCTCTTCCTCCCCTTCTTCCTCTTCCTCTCCCTCCCCTTTCCCTCTTTCCTCTTCTTTAAATTTTCTAACATGGCTGGTTTCTGAGCCTCAATCCCTTTGGAAATGTTTATTCTAGTGACTCCGCTCCATGCTGCGGAAGGCATTTCTGAGACAACACAACACCCCTCCTCCTTTAGAAGTAATTGGTGTTATCTGGTAACAGCCTCCCTAAACAGTCTGTCTAGAGGGAATTGCTTGGGCAGGAGCTGGCACTGTGGCACCGCCTAATAGCTCATGACTCTCCTCTTCTCACGTTCTTCACAGCGTGTGATTATCCACCGCCAAAGCGCGTTCTCCCTCTGAACACGCTGTCAGTGCAGCACCTTCAGGTGTTAAGTGTAAATATGAGAAGAGGATGATGTGAGAAGGAGGTTGTGTCTTCCTCCTCACTTAGGTAAATTAAACTTTACAAAATCTGACTTTAAGCTAAAGTGTGCCTGGGGTTCGTAGCCAAAGACCCAACAGGGAGAAAGGGATAGGGGATATATGCATCATCATGGGCCACGTCTAGGAGGGTCACTGAACTCAAATTTTATCTGGGGCTTTGCTAAAGCAATGCCATTCAGAGCAGGGTTGGAATCTATTTCAAGGTGGATCGGGAGACCGTTCTCCACATACCTCAGAAAATAATACAAAGGCAGTGTCCTCACTCTTCATCTTTGAACTCCCCACCTCCAAGTCCATAGCTGCTTATAAATAATGAGTGCGTAGCCAGGCGCGGTGGCTCACGCCTGTAATCCCAGCACTTTGGGAGGCCGAGGCGGGCGAATCACAAGGTCAGGAGATCGAGACCATCCTGGCTAACACGGTGAAACCCCGTCTCTACTAAAAATACAAACAATTAGCCGGGCGTGGTGGCGGGCGCCTGTAGTTCCAGCTACTCCGCGGGCTGAGGCAGGAGAATGGTGTGAACCCGTGAGGCGGAGCTTGCAGTGAGCCAAGATCGTACCACTGCACTCCAGCCTGGGCGACAGAGTGAGACTCTGTCTCAAAAAAAAAAAAAATAAAATAATGAATGCATTTATTAGCTTTTTTTGCTCTGTGCTTTTATTAGCCTTTGCTCTGTGCTAGGCACTTTACATGTCATGATGCATTTAGTTTTCAAGACCCCATAAGGTGACTGCTATTATTATCATTACTATTTTGCTGATGAAGAAATTGTGGCTCTGCCAGGCGCGGTGGCTCACGCCTGTAATCCCAGCACTTTGGGAGGCCGAGGCAGGCCGATCACAAGATCAGGAGATTGAGAACATCCTGGCTAACACAGTGAAACCCCATCTCTACTAAAAATACAAAAAAATTAGCTGGGCGTGGTTGCACATGCCTGTAGTCCCAGCTACTCGGGAGGCTGAGGCAGGAGAATCGCTTGAACCCGGGAGGCAGAGGTTGCAGTGAGCCAAGATCATGCCACTGCACTCCAGCCTGGGCGACAGAGCAAGACTCTGTCTCAAAAAAACAAAACAAAACAAACAAACAAAAAATACTGTGGCTCTAAAGGGTTGAGATATTTGTCTAAGTCACACAGCAAGTGATTGGCAAGGTTAGAAGTAGTGCCTCTTTTCTTTTCTTTTTTGTTTTTTTTTTTTGAGACTGAGTTTCGCTCTTGTTTCTCAGACTGGAGTGCAATGGTGCGATCTCAGCTCACTGCAATCTCTGCCTCCCAAGTTAAAGCGATTCTCTTGCCTCAGCCTCCCAAGTAGCTGGGATTACAGGTGCCTGCCACGATGCCTGGCTAATTTTTTTTGTATTTTTAGTAGAGACGGGGTTTCACCATGTTACTCAGGCTGGTCTCAAACTACTGGCTTCAGGTGATCCACCCGCCTCGGCCTCCCAAAGTGCTGGGATTACAGGTGTGAGTCACCGCGCCTGGCCAAGAAGTGGTGTCTTGAGATGGACTCAGGTTCTAATATGAGAGAGAACTGGCCTCAGAATAGGGCAGAGCTGGGGGCAGGGTATAGATCCCAGTGTGTCCAAGACGGAAGAGTTTCCTGGGATGCTAAAATTGGAAAAGTCTAGGCCATTGCAGGTTGTTGGGAGGTAGTCTCCCAGTCTTTTTTTTTTTTTTTTTGAGACAGGGTCTCAAAAAAGAGTGCCATGGCACAATCACAGCTTATTGCAACCTCAATCTCCTGGGCTCAAGCAATCCTTTTGCCTCAGCCTCCCAAGCAGCTGGGACCACGGGTGTGCACCACTACACTTGGCTAACTTTTAAATTTTTGGTAGAGATGGGATCTCTCTACATTGCCCAGGCTGGTCTCAAACTCCTAGACTGAAGTGATACTCTTGCCTTGGCCTCCCAAAGTGCTGGTATTACAGGCCTAAGCCACCATGCCTGGCCCAGTCTTTCTTTTACACTCTTTCTTCTCATATCTTTTCATCACAGGTATGTCAATCATCCATATATTACCTTAAAAAGTAACTGTTCAAAAGAGTGCTGCTTTGCAGCCTGTAAGTGAGAAGGAACCACTTCTTGCCCCCTCCGCCTGCTCCTGGAGGCTAATTTGTGTTCCTGCCCAGATGTCTCTGAGCTCCTACCCAGTCAGTACTCTGGGTTGCTTTCCTTTGTCCTCACATTCTTGGGCAGAACAAATAGACCCTTCTCTGGCTTCAGGAGCTGCCACTTGCATTCAGAGAGTTCTGTCTCCAAACAGCCACCATTCTTTTGCTGCTACTGGGTACTGGAGAGAAAAGGTTCTGTTCTTTGTGTTCCTCCCGACTACATCTTAATTACCTCTTCTGCTTACATTGTGAGCAGTGAGTTCAGCCACTCTGCTAGTCTCCTAAGTGGCAAATTAAGACTAATTTAGATGGGGTTTACAGATGAGCCAAATGTGAACAGCAGAGAATGATTTGGTGTTCTCCACTTGGATCCCCACTCCCAGGTCTCTGCCCGAGCGTGGGCTGTGCCTGGTCCGGCTCCTTCTCTCCCTTGGCTCCCACTGAAGACATCCACCCTGTGCACGCCGCTTCTCTGACACCACCCTTTATTTTAGACTCTCTAATGGTTTCTGGATTCAATTTCGTTGGACTTAGTTCAACTTGATTTGATTCCCATTTATTGAGTCTCCATGAAACACCGGAATGAGAAAAGCAGTATTGCTATTCAGAAAACCCTGCTAATTATTTTTTGGCCTTTTCTGGAGAGCCAGGTAAGTAGCTGAGGGGGTCAGTGAGGCTGACTGTGCCCTGTGAAATGATTTTGTTTGCGTCTTGGCAGCGGGACATGTCTGTTCAGCCCACACTGTGGGTTTCTCTTTATTGCCTCTCTGGCTGATTCATTCCCAAGGTGTCTGATACCAACCAGGCTTCTGGAAGGGACATTCTGTGTGGGGCAGGATTCTCTCCTATGGCTAAGGTAGGCCTAGTCAACCTCCCCATTCACAGTTTCCTGTCTCTGGAACACTCCTCCTCTCTCCCTGCACTTCATAAATGTCTGATCAACACTACCTGCTCAGAAAGGCCGTCCGTGATCCCCTCCATAAAGGAGACACTTCTCATCGCTCTCCATGTCCTCTTCCTATTTTTTCATCTTTATATCATGTATCATTACCTAATATTAATACTATATATGTGTGTTTTCTTGAGACTTATTTTAATTTGCAGCTGCAGTGATTTCGGGGATAAAAGTTATGCTAAGCATGGGGTAAGCGGGGAAGCCCTGGCAGGGCCTCGATGAGGCACGGGGGAGGAGGACAGGAGGGTTTACAGATGTTAGCCTAGGTCGCTTGGCCATAACTTCCGGGTCCGAAAGGTCCCAGATGCTTCTGGGGCTTGGGGATTCTGGGTTCGACTTCCAAAGGTCCGGGGCTTGTCACTGAAGCAATGCATGGCCACAGTTGATCTTTAAGGATGTTTGTTTATTTCTGCAGCATGGGGCTTAGATGGCAGCACTGTGCTCCAGGTAGATGCTGCTTCCATTCCTGCCTTGGGGATGGACAAGTGGCCTCAGTCACCTGAGTGTCGATGCCTCCTTGGCCCATGACCAAGAGCTGTGAGTTTTCTGGAACTTGGGGTTCTGGTCTTGGGTCCTCATTATTGTTTCTCTATACAAAGCATAAACAGGTGAGATGGCCCCAGCCTGCTTGCTGAAAGTTAGCCCTTTGGGGCCCTGGTCTCTTTGGATCTCACTCTCTCTCTCCCCTTCTCTCTACCTACCTACCTACCAACCATCCATCTATCCATTCATCCTCCCATCCACACACCCATCCATCCATTCACCCACCCATCCACCTACCCATCCATCAATTTATCCATCTATTTACCCATCCATCCATCCATCCATCCATCCATCCATCCATCCATCCATCCATCCATCCATCCATCCATCCACTCATCCAGCCAGCCAGCCATCCAGTCAGCCATCCATCCAGCCATCCACCCAACCATCCAGCCATCCTGATTTCCTTGCTCATTTCCCTGAGGACAGGGACTTTATCTTTCCTCCCATTGTGTCTCTAGTATTTAGTACAATTTAAATACTATACAAATATTTGTTGAATGGGTGAATGGATGGATGGAGAGAGACTCTTATTTCACCAATTTCTTTTTCTTTTCTTTTCCTTTCATTTCTTTTTGTGAGATGGGTTCTCACTCTGTGCGCAGGCTGGAGTGCAGTGTCATGATCATAGCTCACTCTAGCCTCCAACTCCTGAGCTCAAGAGATTCTCCCTACTTAGGCCCCTGGGTAGTTTGGACCACAGGCATATGCCACCACACGCAGCTAATTCATTTCACCCATTTCTCACTTATCACAGAGAAGTAGATAATCTGCCTTTCTTGGCCCCTCCTTTCATGCTATTCTCCAAACTTCCTATGTCCTTATGACATTTGTTCATAGCCTTCCTTCAGCCTTGAGCTCACTTCTGCCGGCCAAGGTCCCATGAATTCTTCAGGCCCATTTTGACATGAGCCCTTCTGTATTATGCCAATCTTGAAAATCTGAATTAATCTGCACACACACACACACACACACACACACACCTTGAGAGAACGGTATTTGTCTTATTCACCATTGAATCCCCAGAACTTAGCACAGTGCCACTTTATAAATGCGTTTTGATAAACAACTGAACAGACACCTATATGGTAGCAAAGACTTAATTCTACTTTGCATTATCGTTGGTTATTTGAATATGTCTCTCACCAGATGAGCCTCTGGAGGTCAGGAACTGGGTTACAGTCATCTCGATACTTACGCTCACTCATTGCTTCTCTAGTAATGACAATGTTAATAACACAAGCAGATACCATTTCATGATCATCCACTAGACTATAACTACACAAGTTCATTTACTTTTTTTTTTTTTTTTTGAGACAGGGTCTTGCTCTGTCACCTAGGCTAGGTGGAGTGCAGTGGCATGATCTCAACTCACTGCAACCTCTGCTTTCCTGAGTTCAAGTGATTTTCTTGGCTCAGCCTCCTGAGTAGCTGGGCCTACAGGCATGTACCACCACACCTGGCTAATTTTTGTATTTTTAGTAGAGATGGTGTTTCACCATCTTGGCCAGGCTGATCTTGAACTCCTGACCTCAAGGGATCCATCTGCCTCAGCCTCTCAAAGTGCTGGGATTACGTGGGTGGCATGAGCCACCATGCCCAGCTGTGTTCATTTACTTGTCATGATCACTCTGTAGGATGGTTTTATCAGTGCCCTTCACAGGGAAGGAAACTATAGTTCAGAGAGATTGAACAACTAGTCCAAGGTCCTTTGGCTTATAAATAGAAGAGAGAGAATTTGAACCAGGTATTTCTGACACCAGAGCCCTATTCTCTCCCCGCTTCTTACTGCTTTCCTCTGTTGGGGTAGGAAGGGCTCTTATAAAGTTATTTCAACTGACTGGACATGAAAGTGGTTGGGACATCTTCAAACAGTCCTCATGACTGCTCTGTACTGCCGTCTCTCTACTTTTCTAGACTCTGTAGTGCTGCCAACTGCACTGCCTGGGCTTTATGGCCCATGGGCTTCTCCTACCATAAGATGGGAGACCTTCCTCCCAAGTTCCCCACAGCAACAAGTACCCTGGAGGGAGCCACTGCCCACCTTTGGTGGCAGAATCCTCACCTGTCACGTAGTTCTTCAAATCTAGCTCACTGCTGAGAGGATTGTTGCTCTTGAACATATACAGGTTAAAGGGGGCCGGCTCCTTGCCCACGTTTTTCCACATGGTATAGTCTGGGGAGGTCCATCGTCCTGCCAGCACATCATAATCACGCTGAGTGAAGTGGACCAGCTTGGTCAGGGGGTCATAGAGTCCCCCATGGAAGCCAATGACCATCTGGAAGTCGGGGTTGGAGTCATAATAAATCTCCCCATAGGCCGTGTACTGCAGCTGTTTGATCATGAGGCCGTTGATGCTGAACACAGCCAGAGGAGTCCCTGTGTTATCAGAGGCAACATAGTACTCCTCCCCACTGCTGCTCTCCATGGCAAAGAGGTGGCCCTGGAGGTCGTAGTACAGTGAGGTAATCTCCGAGTTGGAGTGATTGTAGACATGGGTGATGCGCGTCGGGTTGTGGAGGTCAGAGTAGAAGTACTGCAGGTGGTGGCCCAGGTTGGTCTTGTAGGAAGCCCGCCGTCCTACGCCATCATAGCGGTACTGGACACTCCACCCGCTGGCCTTGTTGTAGGCTCTTGTTAGGAGGCCCTTGGAATTGTATTCGAAGATGTCAGACCCTCTCTGGCACAGATAGCCATCGTCGTCAATTTTGTACTGCACATCCCCGAGTCTGGTTATCCGATCCCGGAGGTCATAGCGCAAGGGCATGAGGCGCACACTGTTGCCTGGGTTCAGTAAGTGGAGATTCCCATTAAGGTCATAGCTGTAGCGCCAGGTCGGGCGGTCATTGACGGCCACGCTCTGGAGCTGCCCGTCCCCATCGTAGTCATAGGTGTACTTCGTGGTATTGGCATAGGGCCCCAGTTTTAGCTCCCTCTTGATCACCCTGCCCATGCTGTCATATTGCACCGTCATCCAGTACATGAGGGACCGGAACATCTCATACTGGACCTCCTTGATCCGCCCATGGGTGTCGAAGTGTTTGCTGAGGGTCATCACGGCAGTGGTGATGATCTGGTTGATGTCATAATAGATGACTCCAAACTTACCAAAGTGTTCCACCTTGCCAGAAATCTCATCATAGCGGTAGAGGTCAACGGGGAGGGGAGTCTCACTTATGACGGGCTTGATGCTTGCGATGCGGAAGCTGTTGTCATGATAGGTGTAGTCAAACCTGGCATTGACCATGCCTTCCTCGGAGAACCTGTAGATCTGCTTGTCCACCAGGGGGCCAATCTTCCGGTACCTGATGGTGCAGGAGAAGCCCCCACTTTGGAGGTTGACCATCTTCAAGACACCAGTGGTCTCGTCATACCCGAAGGTGACGGCGGTACTGTCGTAGACAATCTCTGATAACTTGGAGAGTTTCCCATACTTGTAGAACACCTGGCGTCCGGTGCCCAAAAAGGAGGTCTTCAGGATGCGGCCGTCATCACTGTAGTCAAAGATGACCGAAGCATTGCTTTCAGGCGGGTTGTAAATATTACGGATGTAGCCGATGGAGGTGTGTGTGGACATGCTGTGCCGGGCCACGCTGGGCATGGTGACGGCAAGGAGGCGGTCAGAGGAGTCATACTCAAATATATACTGACGTTGGCTCTGAAGCAGGAGGACCATGGACTGCAGAAAGGAAAGGGGAACAGAACATATCAGTTGGCTTTTGAGGACCAAGCATTCAAACAGACAGAATTTAGTCCATTTCCCCAAATGTCAACTCAAAAGTCATGAAAGATGGGAAGCTTAGACCAGATTAAACAGATTTATTTCACTGGACATGCCAATTTTGATGGATCATGGTGGTTGCCTAGACCAGTGCTTCCCAAATTTAATGTGCATGCAAAATACTCAGGATCTTGTAAAAAGGCAGAGTCTAATTTGGTAGATCTGGGGTGGGGCCTGAGAATCTGCATTTTGTAACAAACTCCCTGCAAATGCCAATGTTGCTTGGATGATACTTTAAGAATTGAGGGCCTGGACAGCTGAAGTAAGAGGCATGAGGTTTACCTCCATGCTCAATAACAAGGAACCCCAAGATTGCTTAGAAATGACTGCCACTGGGTCCAGCAGGGGAGCTGTGTGAAACACATACCCTGATTAAATTTAAAAAAGAGAAAACACATCCTGCATTTTTTTTTTTTTTTGAAACAGAGTCTCACTCCATCACCCAGGCTGGAGTGCAGTGGTGCAATCTCAGCTCACTGCAACCTACTCTACCTCCTGGGTTCAAGCGATTCTCCTGTCTCAGCCTCCCAAGTAGCTGGAATTACAGGCATGCACCACCACGCCTGGCTAATTTTCATATTTTTAGTAGAGACGGGGTTTCACCATGTTGGCCAGGCTGGTGTCGAACTCCTGACCTCAAGTGATCAGCCCGCCTCGGCCTCCCAAAGAGCTGGGATTACAGGTGTGAGCCATTGCGCCCAGCCACATCCTGCATTTTGAAGCTACTGCAAAGATGAAATAACCTAGAATCACTGATTCTTTGGGGGAAAAAAATGACTTCAATTAGAGGCAATTGGGAGGTTCCTGCTCCCCTGGTCAATCATTCCTGTGTTTCAGGCATAACAAGGACAGCATTCAGGAAGGACCAAGGGGACAGCAGTTCTGTCTTGCAGAGGGGTAACAGCTTTGTCTGCAAGTCACCGCTGTAATGAGTTGGTGAGAAAGGAAGGAATGGACCTGCACCAAGGGGAGTCTAGGTGAGAGGCCCGGGTTGAGCAAGCCCTGTCTAATGACTACATGGCCAGGGCAGCCTTCAAAAGTCTTGATACGTGCCCAAAGGGACCTTTTTTTTTTTTTTTTTTACCGCCACTCCAACCTGACCTTTTTCAAGCATGAAGACCTGAATTTGGCACTTTCAGACACAGGGAATCATGTAGAGAGAATTCATGGGCTGTTTCAGCCAACAGGGCAAATAGGAGAGGGTTGCTCTGTGTGCTTGAATTTTAGGCAAAATTCCCCATCCTGACGGCTTAATTTAGGGCAAGACAGAAATGAATCACTGCATTTCCAATTCATAAGTAATGATGAGCCACGCTGCCAGTGGGATGATTCTGTCCGCTTCAACAGTACTTTTTTCTTTTTTGAAATAGAATCAGACAATTCGTCCTTTTTGCCATTACTGAGCGTCTAGCACCCCCGCCCCCCACCCCAATGGTAATAGTGCTGAGCTATGAATAACATTTGCCTTCAGATTTTCTTCCCTCTGTGAGGGTGGGAGCAGGAGGGAAGTCCTTGTAGAGTCGAAGTAAAGATGTTAAGATGTCTCATGGCAAAACATATCAGGCTAGCTTACAAGAGCAGCAGAAATGGTCAGGTGCGGTGACTCATACCTGTAATCCCAGCACTTTGGGAGGCTGAGGTGGGCGATCACCTGAGGTCAGGAATTCGAGACCAGCCTGGCCAATGTGGGGAAACCCATCTCTACTAAAAATACAAAATTAGCCGGGCGTGGTGACATGTGCCTGTAGTCACAGCTACCCAGGAGGCACAGGCAGGAGAATTACTTGAACCTGGGAGGCAGAGGTTGCAGTGAGCCGAGATCATGCCACTGCACTCCAGCCTGGGCAACAGAGCAAGTCTCTGTCTCAAAAAAAAAAAGAAGCCGGAATAACAGAAATAACAGAAAGCCCTTGCTGTCAGGGCAGCATGTTCACCTACCTTGTCAAGGTAGGAGTAGCTCCACACTTTCCCGTCAGCGAACATGCGGGACACGATGCGGCCTTGCTTGTCGATGTCTGTCCTCTCGCTCATGGCCCCACGCTGAAGCCCAGCCAGGCGCCCATTGAAGAAGTATGACACGTTGACAGCTGCCAGCCCGCTGCTGGGCAGCCAGAGGAAGGGGCGGCCCACCTGGTCATAAATGATCCTCAGGGTGAACTTCCGGTGGTCATCATAGATCTTTTCAGTCCGAATATTTCGATCATAGTCAATGGACAAGAGATTTCTTCCATGGACCTAGGAAAACACAACAGGCCTTGTTTGAAAGACATCACCCAGGCATGCCGGCTCAGGCTTCTGTGGAGGACATGGCTGGCATGGCCAGGGCTTAAGTGTTCACTGGAGGAAGAAATAACCCCAAAGTTAGAGTAGTGCTTTCTAAGCTCCTTATCATGGCACAGATAGAAAATGGCAAAATTTGGCCGGGTGTGGTGGCTCACGCCTGTAATCCTAGCACTGTGGGAGGCTGAAGTGGGTGGATCACCTGAGGTCGGGAGTTCAAGACCAGCCTGGCCAACATGGTGAAACCCCGTCTGTACTAAAAATATAAAAATTAGCTGGCATGGTGGCATGCACCTGTAGTTCCAGCTACTGGGAGGCTGAGGCAGGAGAATCACTTGAACCTGGGAGGTGGAGATGGCAGTGAGCTGAAATTGTGCCATGCACTCCAGCCTGGGTGACAGAGTGAGACTCTATCTTAAAAAAAAAAAAAAAAAAAACCAAAGAAAAGAAAATGGTAGTATTTGTATGGTGCAATATGCAATAGAATATAAAAATAAGGCAGCTTATGGACAGAGATGATTGACCTGGGCATGGCTGTGATGGGCAGTTGGGTAGGCTGTGCACTGCACAATTACAAAGGGTGCCATAGGATCGTGGAAAGTGTGAATGGTGAAAATTGTGCAGTGTGCAAATTATACAGCAATATACAACAGACTTGAACCCTGGAGTTTTGCCTGGGCTGCCTGGCCACCCTGGGGGCAAGAGAGTTTGCATATTTGCACACTTGGAACTCTTTTTGGCACATCATTAGCTGAGAAGCTAATGATCTTTAAGAACAGGTGCCATAATTTCTTATGAAATCTTAAGTAAAGTTACCTAGAAGAGTGGAGAACAGGGCTTAGAAATCCATATTTTACAAAGATTTGGGAATATGAAGCCTCATTCCTATGTGAACTTCTTTCCTTCTAATATCTAGAGAAAAATCTTGTCACTGTCAAGAATGTGAGACATCAGTGGGGAGGCCTCAGCAGGGCTAGGGGATTTCCAACAAAGGGATGAACTGATTTACTTAGATTTGAAAGGAATAGGGAAACACATCAGACATAATTTAATATTTATTTAGAAGTTGATCTGATCAGAGAAGAAAGCCTATCCCAGAAGGCAGAGCTGGGAGACTAGACTCTGGTGAGGGGCAAAGGAGAGGGGCTCCTGAGATTCAGCTAGCCCTGAGTGGGTGGCTGGAAGTGAATGAAATGAACCAGACTCAGCCCAGGCTCTCACAACTTCACTGACTGCAAATCCAGACATCCCTGGGGTGGCTGCTGAAGGCAAGGGATGATGTAAATAGGCGAAAGGAAGAGACTCGAGAGATGTCTGGTACCTCCTCACTTTACCCTAATAATTCAACAGCACTTACTGGTAATAATGATGGTAGTGATGGTGGTGATGATAGTAATAATAAGTTTTTTTTTTTTTTTGAGATAGAGTCTCACTCTGTTGCCCAGGCTGGAGTGCAGTGGTGCAATCTCAGCTCACTGCAACCTCTGTCTCCCGGGTTCAAGTGATTCTCCTGCCTCAGCCTCCCTCCTGAGTAGTTGGGATTAGAGGCATGTGCCATCATACTGGGCTAATTTTTGTATTTTTAGTAGAGACGAGGTTTCACCATGTTGGCCAGGCTGGTCTCGAACTCCTGACCTCAGGTGATCCACCCACCTTGTCCTCCCAAAGTTCTAGGATTACAGGTGTGAGCCACCACGCCCAGCTGATAGTAATGATGACTTTAATATATGCTGAGGACGAATATATACAGGCATTGTGTTAGGCATTTTGCATCCATTGTTTGAGTTGTTGCTCACAAAGACCATTTGACAAATGATAAAAAAAGCTTCAAACAGAGTGGTTACAAAACTTGCTCAAGGTCACACAGCAGTGAAGTGGTTGGATTGGTCTGGAACTTAGGCCTTCAGACTTTAACCAGTTAACTTCTTATACACTTCACCAGCTTTACTGCTTCCTGTATTGTATGTCCATTGAGTGCCCTGAAATGTGTCAAATGATGAACAGACTGTGAAGCATTTTCACAGCCCTTGAACGCTCCACATTGCAGCTTTGGGGGTGTGAGGGGGTGGGACAAGGAATAATTCTAATACCACAGACACTTGCATTCTGGGAAACAGCTTTGTGCCCAGGTAATGAAACACATTTCGCAGCTTCCTTCAGAGATACGGGTGGCCAACAAGATGTAAGTGGTTGTTGTTGGCTGGTCTTCTGGGAAATATTCTTAAAGGAAATTGACTCAGCTGAGAGCTAGGCAATCTTTAATTCTTCCCTTTCCTCCTTTTCCTGGGTGAAATGTGTATGTGATGGCTGGAGCTCCAGCATTTACCTTGTGACTATGAGGTGACTTTGGGGCTGGAGACCTCCAGGATGATGGCCTATCCAGAGAAAAAGAGTCTAGATCTCTGTTGATCTAGGTGTCTTCAGTGTTCATCCATACAGCCAAGGATTGCTTTCCCTAAGCTCCTTTCAGATCATAGGAAAATAATAAGCGTAAATCCTGTTTAAACCCTTGCTATTGCTAATCTCTGTTACTAGCGGTGGAAACAAATCTAAATTGATACAAGCCCCTGATACTTTGGCAGGTGCTATGCTAGGTACTTTACATACCTGATCCCATTTTCACTTTCATGACATAGAAACTATCTTACATAAGAGCAACTGAGGTCTACAGGAGTCCCATAACTAGACAAGTGGCAGAAGTGGAATCTGAACCCAGGACTACAGATTCTCCAAACCATTGCTGTTTCTATAAGGTCATCTCAGAGAGAGGATAGAATATTTATTATAGGACAATTAGAAAAGAGGATGCATAGGCCAGGTGCGTGTGGCTCATGTCTGTAATTTCAACATTTTAGGGGGCTGAGATTGGCAGATCACCTGAGGTCAGGAGTTTGAGACCAGCCTGGCCAACATGGTGAAACCCTGTGTCTACTAAAAAAAAAAAAAAAAAAAATTAGCCAAGCATGGTAGCATGTGTCTATAATCCCAGCTACCCAAAAGGCTGAGCAGGAGAATTGTTTGAACCCAGGAGGTGGAGGTTGCAGTGAGCCAAGATCATGCCACTGCACCCCACCCTGGGGGACAGAGTGAGACTCTGTTTCAAAAAAAAAAAGAACAAAAAGAAAAAGAAAAGAGAATGCATCAAAGCATGGGGAGGGAAATAAAGGTGGTGAGTTCTTGGGATTATAAGGAACCCTAACTTCAAGTGGAAGATTCCTATCAACAACTTCCAGCAACTGGGAATAGTCAAGAAGGCAAAGGCTGAGTAGTAGGATTTTTTATTTTTTTAAAAACAGGTCCAAAAGTTAATGCCGTCTGAATTATACGGGATTGGAGCCATCATTTTCAGAGCAAAACACACAGTGGTGGTCAGAAAGATAGGTCTTCTCCTCTGCCAACAGAAGCTTGGTCACATCGGGTTGGTTCATCTGGGACAACTGCGGAAGGCCACCATCATTCTTAAACCTATGGGTTTCAGATTTTGGTTCAAGACCTCTCCAACATTTTGTTAGGCAGAATGAATGATGCAACAATGAGGAAGGATTTCCAGGGTTTTTGGAGGCAACTGCTGGGGACTTGCCATCATGCCTACTTATTTCCATCCCCTTGGCCATCCTTAGTTTTTCCTCCTTCCCTTTTCTTATATTTTTTTTTCTTTTTGCTCATATCATAGGGCCCTAGTGCATTTATTAATTATTGAACATTGAGTGTCAGCTAATGCCAGGCTTTGGTGTCTGCTCTGGTATACAAGGAAGAAAAACCACAGCAACAGCAACATGTTGAGCATTTACACAGGCTGAGTGTTATTCTCAGCATTGCCCTTGTTTTGTCTAATTTACACAACAACACTCTCAGGCAGGCATTATTATCATCCCCATTTTGCACACAAGATATAGATGGGTTTAAGTGACTTGCTCAAGTTTAGATAAATACTCAGTGGTAGAGCTAGGATCCCCATACAGAGCTTGCTGTCTTAACCTCCAGGTTGTACACCTCTAGGATTGAGGGGTGTTGGACTACAGGCTTTCCATCAAGCATGCAATTCTAAACCACATGGGACACTCTCTTAAAGCTCTGCTGCTCGGCTGGCTCCACGCCTGCTGAATCAGCTCCTCAGGGAATAGGGGTTTGGGTCTTGTTGATTTTTATTTGTTTGAGACAGAGTCTCGCTCTGTCATCCAGGCTGGAGTGCAGTGGCACGATCTCGGCTCACTGCAACCTCTGCCCCCTGGGTTCAAGTGATTCTCATGTCTCTGCCTCCCGAGTAGCTGGGACTACAGAGGTGCACCACCATGCCTGGCTAATTTTTACATTTTTTTAGTAGAGACGGGGTTTCGCCATGTTGGTCAGGCTCGTCTCAAACTCCTGACCTCAAGTGATCTGCCTACCTCAGTCTCTCAAAGTGCTGGTATTACAGACATGAGCCACCGTGCCCAGCTGTGGATTTTTGATTTTTAAAACCTCCCTGGGTGATTCTGATGTGTACTCTTGGTTAAAATACACTCAGTGTGATATAAGGCCTTATCTTTAGTTACCTGGGAAAGACCAATGGGAAAATCACATATATAACCATAATATAATCATATGTGTGTATAGATGTACATATGTGTGCATAATATACTATAATATGTAATCATGGGAAAGACCAACATGTAAATAATATATGTGATCATGACTATCATAATAAGGATGATATTAGTGTGTGAGGGTGCTTAGATTACAGAAAGAACCCTGAACATTCCTGGTCTCATAAGCTAAGCAGGATCAGGCCTGGTTAGTGCTTGGATGGGATTACAAAAGAACTAAATACTGGGTAAACAAAGAAGAGGGGTCCCTAACCTCTGACTGCCACCCTGGGATTTACTGCTGTTACTTAGAGCTGAGAGGCCTCTGACCATTGACCCAGGTGCACCAACTATAAAGAAGTAATGATAGGTGCTAGCCATTAGCCATGGATAACTTAGGGTGGGTTTTTACTTGCAAATTTACCATATCCCTGGGACAATGGGATTTTTTGATAGCACAGGTTTGAGTTAACTTTGAAATGTGAAAATTTCTATTAAAATGCCCAATCCTTCTAATAATTAAATCTGAAAAATTCACTGGAAGGTGAGCCAAGGAGTTCAGGCCAGTTGTGTAATCTAATCAAATTTCTTTAATTATGAGGGTGCCATTTATAAAGGGGGGTGCCCCGGCTGTGGGTGCGAGATGCTGGAGGGTCCAACAGGCACGATCGGCCCTTTGAGGATACCTGCCCCCCCAGTTTAGAGCATGTGGGAGCTTTAATTTAGCTGCAATGTTCTCTTATTCTGAATTAAATTACCCAGCTAGCAATATTTAAATTAACCTTGAGGCTTCCTGGAGAACATAAAAGTTATTTTGAATTATTTTCACTGCCGGGATCAACACGATTCCCTTCCCAGTCGGCTTGGTAGGAATTCAGTGATAGAGAAACCAATTTTTAAGTTAATACAATTTTGTGTTTGTAAGGAAGCCATTATTTTTAATTATCGGGCATTTTCCTCAGCCTGGCTTCCCCAGTTAATAAAACTCAGCTATTTAGCATGCTTTTTTATTTTTGCAGAGGGCAGACTTTGGGAAGTGGTTTCCCCTGCAGAATATCCCCCCAGAACGTTTTGATCTCACCAAGCATACGCCTGTCACAAGGAAGCTCATAAAAAACCTGGAGAAAAGGAAACGCTGTCTTCAAAACGGCCCTGCTGGGCCTATAACTGGTGACTCTAACTTAGCTCCAGGCGCAATGACGGGAGCTAGTGATTTGAGAAACATGAGGGAGGAAATTACACTGGGCTGGATCCCCTCCAGGAAACGGAATTGTAACACAGCAGGAGAGATTTCAGTTAGACGTATAGAAGAACCCTTTGCCCATCCTGCTTTGAGTATGGGAAACCCAAAAAAGATTAGTGAGGGGGGTCACGAGAGTCTCCCTGTCTGGCGACGTTTAAAAGCAGAAGAGTTTGCCTTGGAGAGTTTAGTTATTTACCTACCCAGAGGTAAAGCCTGGCCTAGAGGACATCTTCATTTTCTTTCCGGGTCAGTCTTCTGGGATTTTTTCTTTTCTTTTCTTTTCTTTTCTTTTCTTTTCTTTTCTTTTCTTTTCTTTTCTTTTCTTTTCTTTTCTTTTCTTTTCTTCTCTCTCCCTCCCTCCCTCCCTCCCTCCCTCCCTCCCTCTCTCTCTCTCTCTCTCTCTCTCTCTTTCTTTCTTTCTTGAGATGGAGTCTCACTCTATCTCCCAGGCTGTAGTGCAGTGGCGCAATCTGGGCTCACTGCAAGCTCCACCTCCCGGGTTCACACCATTCTCCTGCCTCAGCCTCCTGAGTAGCTGCGACTACAGGCGCCCGCCACCATGCCCAGCTAATTTTTTTGTATTTTTTTAGTAGAGACGGGGTTTCACCGTGTTAGCCAAGATGGTCTTGATCTCCTGACCTTGTGATCTGCCCGCCTTGGCCTCTCAAAGTGCTGGGATTACAGGCATGAGCCACCGCGCCCGGCCTGGGATTTAAAAAGTAGCTATCCCCAGCTCCCACACAACAAGACTCAATGCTACATTGGGATCAGTGCTTGTGGAGACAAAACAACTTGCTATAAATTTAATATTAATAATTAAATATAAATTTAATATAATAATTAAATAATGCATCATTAGAAGGGTAAGCCTCTGCAAACACATTAAATAATGTATTCCCCAAGCAAACATTATGTTTGGATGACTTGCTGTTTTGGATGGAGGTCAGGTGGAAAGACCCGAGTTTGAGTGGCGGTTTTGATACTCATCAGTGTCACTGATTAGCTTTGCCATACCAAAACCATACCTTCACCATTCATGTCTCAGTTTCCTCATCTGTAATAGCCTGGGAACTGGTGAGTCGGGACTTTATCTTATTTTTCTTAGTGTCTCTATTTTGTTTTGGAAAGTGCTTGGTGCTCAATGAACATTAGTGAATAAGCAGACTGAATCAGACTGGGTACAAGAACCCTGCTAACTCTGATGATCTAAAGTTCCAACGTGGAAAATCAGGAATAGAAAATATGATTAGGCTGGGCATGGTGGCTCACACCTATAATCCCAGCACTTTGGGAGGCTGAGGCGGGTGGATCGCTTGAGGTTAGGAGTTCAAGACCAGCCTGGTCAACATGATGAAACCCCGTCTTTACTTAGAAAACACAAAAATTAGCTGGGCATGGTGGTGCATGCCTGTAGTCCCAGCTACTTGGGAGGCTGAGGCAGGAGAATGGCTTGAACCCGGGAGGTGGAGGTTGCAGTGATCCGAGATTGTGCCACTGCACTCCAGCCTGGGTGACAGGGCAAGGCTCTGTCTCAAAAAAAAAAAAAAAAAAAAAAAAAAAAAAAAATATATATATATATATATATATATATATATATATATATATATATATATATATATATATATATGATTAGGACATCTGTGGTCTCAAAATATCTGAAAAGCTTCATTCCAAAGACCTATTAGAGTCATTCTGGAAGGCCCCTGGGACCTGGAATTCATAGGCAAACGTGGGAGGGAGCAGATTTTCATTATGTCAGTGGAAAATCCCATTCATTCATTCATTCTTTCATTCAATATTTACTGGGCACCTACTCTGTGTTTGTTACTGGGACTGTTGTAAGATAGAACAAGACAGTTATGACCCCTGCCCTAGAGGGGCAGGCCACAGGCCAGAGGGGGATAACGACAGGTGAGCCAACAACAAAAACCATTTTTAGTGTGGTAATGGCAGTAGACACAGGGAAGGAACTGTGGCAGTGAGGAAGGATGTGGAACCAGAGCTGGGACTGATGAGGATGATTTCCCAGAGAAAGCGCTGCTCAGTGGGGGCCTGGGTATGAGTAAGGCTTGGACAGGTGAGGGTGGGAGAAGAATCAGGGAGAATATTCCAGGTGGGGAGGGTCAGCAAATGAAAGCACAGGGGATGAGCAAAGGCCTTGCACAGGCAGAGCATGGCTGTTTTCAGGTGATGCTGTGAGTATTCTAGTGCAGGTGGGTGGTCCATTGGTAGGGATGTAGTGAGAAGGGGCAGAGGGTGTCTGGTATGGAGGCTCAGCCCAGATGACCGGAATAAGCTATATTTGTTATCCTTTGACCTGAACTTTCAGGAGTCAGGTATGTTGTATATTTCCTAGTGTCCAAGAAGGAGGCTCCCGATGAGGGCTCATTTGCATGTACCGGGTGGATAATCTGCAGAAGACTTCTGTATTTCTAAGATCCTTAAAAGGGCCAACAAGATAAGGCTCTACCCCTTGACCTTACCCTCAGCTGGTTTACTCCAGCCACACTGGAGCTCTCCTTCTGTTCAGGATACAGGCAGAAGTCTCTTCTGCCTCAGGGCCTTTTGCACATGCTAGGGCTTTAGCATAGAGGCTTTTCCCCCAACTCCATGCCTGGGAAATTCCTACCTACTCTTCATTCAGTTCTCAGTTCAAATGTCATTTTCTCAGAGAGGGCTTAACCTATATCATATATTCCGTATTAGCTCCACCGTACATTTTTCCCAAAGCACCCATCACAATTTCTTTTTTTTTTCTTTGAGGCAGAGTCTCACTCTGTCACCCAGGCTGGAGTGCAGTGGTGCCATCTCGGCTTACTGCAACCTCTGTCTAGCATGTTCAAGTGATTCTATTGCCTCAGCCTCCGAAGTAGCTGGGATTATAGGCGTGCCGCACCACACCTGGCTAATTTTTGTATTTTTAGTAGAGATGGGGTTTCGCCATGTTGGCTAGGCTAGTCTTGAACTTCTGACCTCAGGTCATCCACCCGTCTGGGCCTCCCAAAGTGCTGGGATTACAGGCTGTGCCCAGCCCACAATTTCTATATATTGTTTGTACATTTATTGGATTATTATCTCCTTGCTAAGGTATAAGAGGTAAAGGCATAAGCTCCATTAGGGTTTTTCCACTTTTCCACATCATCATCCCAAACAGAAGCCACCCAAAAGTAATGTTTGCTTGGGGAATACATTATTTAATCTGTTTGCAGAGGCTTGCCCTTCTAATTATGTGTTATTTAAACTAATATTAAATTTATCCCAAGTTCTGCCTGCACAAGTGCTGCTCACCATGTAAGGTGAAATCTTTTGTTCACTAATGTACACTCAGTGCCTAGCGTAGTGCCAAGAACACAGGAGGTGTTTGAAATATAAAATATTAGTCACGTGAAGAATGAATGCATTGTGGCAGGAAGGAGCTGTGAAAATTCAGGCTTTCATAATGACTTGTGTGTGTTAACAGACCGGCTTGAGTGGGCTCCACGCAGAACTGAGTTCATGTGTGTGTGTTCACATGCACATAGGCACGCCCATCCCCCCACCTCCCTCCTCTGTCACTGTGATTTGCCACATAAGTAAAAGTAACACATGCCAACACGTAATTGCAATGTCATATTAATTATATGGGAGCCAAAACAAAATTACTAACTCCCACTTCTTCTTGGAATACTAATAACACTAATACCAATATCATGATGGAAGATTATCTTGGAAGCAATTTTTCTTTTGTTCTGCTACCTACACATGTAGCTGTTTCTTGCTTCTGCAATCTCTATGTAAATCACAATCAGGAAGAAATATCCTAGAGCGTGGTTATATGCTTTCCTTTACAAAGAAAGAGAATCATCCTGCACAAGATCCGTTTTAGGAAAGGGTAGAAGTTTTAAATCTTAATAGAAGGGGTTGATTTCAGTTCTCTCTTCCAAAAGCCTAGAAAAAAGGCTTGTTGGGGTGGGAGGCAATAGAGCCTCAAGAGATCCTCAGGGCCAGGAGTTTTAGATCCTCAGGGCCAGGAGTTTCGCCTTATGATTAGGCTTCGGAGGGATGGAGGATGTAGACTATATTTGGGATATTTATATTTTAACCTTGTATCTCTTTCTTTCTTTTTTGGGTACGGCACCTCTTTTTTCTAGGGCTTCCCTGTCTAGGTGCTTTTACTGAGATGTCTATTATAAGATACAGGTATGGTCATGTGACCTGTGCCTGCCTGACTCATCACAGATCCCCAGCTCCCTGACCAGTGATTTGCCCAGGAATGTGAACTCCCTCTGCCAGGTCAATCTTTCTTCCATGAGATATTTTATGAAAAATAGAAATGCTGGGGGAGATACCTTCCTTTTTCCTCTGGGTTCACTTAGCTGTGATGATGTAAGCCTGGAGTCAACTTTGGCTAAGTCTGCCTGACCACCCCCCACCCCCGCAATGTGAAGAGGACATTAGTCTACTGTAGGAGAAAATTAGGTCAACTGCCGAGAGAGAAACCCTGCCATGGGATGGAAGGGGGCTGTGAGAAACAGAAAGAGAGACGTCCATCTGATATGGTTTGGCTGTGTCCCCACCCAAATCTTGATTTGAATTGTATCTCCTAGAATTCCCATGTGTTGGGAGGGACCCAGGGGGAGGTAATTGAATCCTGGGGGCCGATCTTTCCCGTGCTATTCTAGTGATAGTGAATAAGTATCACGAGATCTGATGGGTTTATCAGGAGTTTCCGCTTTTGCTTCTTCCTCATTTTCTCTTGATGCCGTCAAGTAAGAAGTGCCTTTTGCCTCCCGCCATGATTCTGAGGCCTCCCCAGCCATGTGGAACTGTAAGTAAGTCCAATTAAACTTCTTTTTCTTCCCAGTCTTGGGTATGTCTTTATCAGCAGCGTGAAAACAGACTAGTACACCATTTAATGACATCTTAGAGTCTCTGAGGCCAGCTTCTCCCTTGTGGTGGCCCTGTTAGGTAAGACAGCGCCTACTCTTCTAAGTTAGTCTGAATGCACTTCCTGTCTCTTGCAGTGGAAGGATTCCAGACAGATGTAGGGGCAATGTATTTGTGAATTTATACCCACTGTGGTGGGGGAGCATTTACACATTAAGAAGGCGCCTATAGAAGGCACAGTTATTACATCTTTCTTTGTCACCTGTTGTCTGAGTACCCACCACATGGCACTTGTCACCAGGGATACAGGGGCGACCTGGTCCCTGCACTTATGGAGCTCACAGATGCCATGATGTAACTGCTTCTTTTTTTTTTGAGATGGGAGTCTCACTCTGCTGCCAGACTGGAGTGCAGTGGCACGATCTTGGCTCCCTGCAACCTCCGACTCCCTGGTTCAAGCGATTCTCCTGCCTCAGCCTCCTGAGTAGCTGGGATTACAGGCATGCGCCACCACACCCAGCTGATTTTTGTATTTTTAGTAGAGATGGGGTTTCACCATTTTGTTCAGGAGGGTCTTGATCTCCTGACCTCGTGATCCACCCGCCTCGGCCTCCCAAAGTGCTGGGATTACAGGCGTGAGACACCACGCCCGGCCTGCTTCATGTTTTTGCAAGGCCAGAGTGAGTGAAGAAAGGAATGGAGGACAATGCGGGAAGGAGGGGGAGGACTCTTTCAAAGGAGATTCTTTGAGGAGTTCTTGGGAGGCATAATGAAAATCTTCCCTGCACTGAGTTTGGGCAGGAATGAAGGGACTAACACTCCATTACAAAGCTTTTGGTGAAAGGATGTGGTCCCGGTCTATCCATCCGCCATCATCTTACATTTCCCCAGGCTGTAAGGAAGAGCCACTGATACTTTCCTCCACTAAGAGATGCCTCCGTCTGGAGGATTGTGGGAAGAAAGGGTACCTAGGTGGGTTGGAATTTCACTGGGCACTGTTCTATTGTGATGGCTTCACTGAGATTGTTGGTCTTCTCTAAACTCCAGGAATGTTCAGAGCCTTGGGCCCTCACACCCCTCAGCTGACCAGGCTCCCAGGAGCTTGCCAGTCCCGGGGACGTTCAGGCTATTTGCTTCATGCATGATACCCACACATTCTCTCCAAATCCCTGCTCTCCACATGGGGAGCAGTGATTACATGGAGCTGGTTAAGTGGCTGCATTTCAAAGTTCATTTAGTTTCTTCTCCATTCCAAGAGGCAGGGCTGGGGCCACCAGAATCTTACATCTCTGGCTTGGGTTTCAGCTCCCAGCCACTCTCTTTTACAGAGCCCACAAAGCGTGGACGGCCACCCAGCCTTCCCAGTTTACATGATCATGGGGAGAGCCTGTCAAAAGGTGAGCATGACACAGCAACCCTGCTAGTTGCCCAATCCTCGTCCTCGTGTGCTAGACATCTCTCAAATCTCTCCCCCTACCTTCTTTCTTTCCTCGCTGCTAGTGATTTAGTTTCTTGTTTGGACTAATGCAGCACCCTCCTTACTGTCCCTCTCCTCCTATCATCTATCTTGTCCCCTTCTCATCTGTCTTCCTCCATACCTGAGGAAGTCAGAGAGATCTTTTCTTTCCTTTTCTTGAGACAGGGTCTTGCTCTGTTGCCCAGGCTGGAGTACAGGGCATGATCAGAACTCACTGCAGCCTCAAACTCCTGTGCTCAAGCAGTCCTCCTGCCTTGGCCTCCCGAATAGCTGGGACTACAGGCATGTGCCACCATGACAGGGTCTCCCTATGTTGCCCAGGCTGGTCTCCAACTCCTGGGCTCAAGGGATCCTCCTGCCTTGGCCTCCCAAAGTGCTAGGATTATAGGCATGAGCTACTGTGCCAGGCCATGGTCGGCTATTTAAACTTTTTTTTTTTTTTTGGTTGTTGTTGTTGTTTGTTGTTGTAGAGACAGGGTTTTGCTATATTGCGGTTTTGCTATATTGCCTAGGCTGGTCTTGTCTTGAACCCCTAGGCGAAAATGATCCTCCCACTTTGGCCTCCCAAAGTGTTGGGAAAACAAGCATGAGCCACTGTGCCCAGGCTGGAGAGAGCTTTCTAATGCCACACATCCCAGCACATCACTCTGCTAATGAAGTCCAGGTAGGGCTCACCATTGCCCTCAGGATAAATGTTAGCCTGGCACCATGTTCTTTTCCATGTGCAGTCTCTGGCTGCATCTTCTTTTTCTACCCTACTCTCTAACACATCCACTGCCACACTGAATTAGTTTTCTGAAATGCCATTCCCTTTTTGGCCTCTTGGCCTTTCCACTGGCGACATTCTTTGTCCTGTCACCTCTGTTCCCTATCTCTGCCTGGCTGATTCTTACTACTCTACAGAAATGATTCCAGCTCCTCTGTGAAGCCCTTCCTGATCTCTTGTCAAACGGGAGACCTGATCACTCTGCTACGTGCTTACCAAGTCTTTGTTCATCTTCTTCTTCTTAGGCACTCAGAAAAGACAACATTTTCCAGGCTTCCCTGTGGTTCAGTTGAGGTTCCCTGATAGTGTTCTCACCAGGGTGGGTGGAAGTGAGGCCTGCCGTATCCAGGCCTGCTTATTAAGCTCTCGTGAATCACCCAAACTCTCTTCCCTTGCTGCAGCAACTGCACAGAGCCTGTGCTTAAGATGGCAGGATCGCAAGACAGAGCAACTGGAGCAAGTCCTCATTAAGAAGAGCCGCCCGATGCATTTGGACTGCGATGTGTTACGCCCATGAGATTTCAGGGTTAATTTGTTACCTGGCCGTGGCCTATCCTCTTCCAGCAGATACAGTTAAGTATCCCTTTCTTTGTGCTTTTGGCCTGTATTATAGCTTACATCACACTACTAATATTGTCTTCTCCATGAGACCGTTAGCTAGTCGGTGCCACCCAGTTTTCTTTATCTCTCTAGAGTCTCCTTGTTCCGTGGTACTGACTGTAGTGTTGGCACCTAATAAACATCTTTTGAATAAATGAACTTTCATGCCCTCATGTGACAGTGGAGCAGGGATGAAAAGACACAGCAAGACTAAGATAGATAGATAGGGAGAGAAGAGCCCATCTTGCCAATGGTGAGACAGCCTGCTAGCCTTATGGGGCCAATGGGTACCTTCGGCTTAGGGGCTGCAAACTCCCTGCCATGGGCTCACGAAACATCTGACGAAATGGCCACTCCCCAGTTCCCTCAATCCACATCACACCCAACATTTCCCTTATACCTTCTTCCAACTGCTCTCCTGCCATTTCCAGAAGTTGCTTTCATTTCATTCACTAAACAGTTTACGAACTGAATTAAAATAAATGAGATGCAAATAAATTCCAGGCTTTCTCCCTCATTTTCAAATTACATTTTCAGTCCACTCAACCTGTTATAATCTCATAGTGATTTTCATTTAAGAGAGCTAAATGGATATGTGATTGTTGTTACAGGAACTAACACCAGACAATTAAATGTTGAGGTGTTGATAGATAAAACTGTGTTTTGATTTGCATAAACACGATGCCAGCAAATCTAACCCTGGCAGAAATTCAGTTATAAGACTTGTGTGCCTAACTTGGGCTAATTACCACAAGTACCATTATTAAAGAAAGAGTTTTAATATTTGGAGTTGGGATTATAGCCACTTTATTTTAGGGCCACATTTATCTTTATTTGGAAAACTTAGTCAAAATGCATAACTGATTTATCAGAGAAAAGGCACGATTACTACTTATAATCAACTTCTACAGTGCAGCATATCAAAAATCAATTACACAGCCCTGAAATCCAGTCATTAAGGATTTAACTACTAATCTCATTCCATTTTTGTCTTTAGGAGGCTACTGCAGTTTGCAACTTTGCAGATACCAGCAGAGGAAGAAAAACCTGGGAGACTGCTGCTAACCTAATGTGGAGACTTGACTTAAACTTCAGCCAGACAAAGGCGGAATCTTAATATGGAGGGGCCTGGCTCTGCAGGGAGGTCACCTGGGCTGGCTGGATTTCAATCCAGTTACACAGCAAAAAAGTTACAACCCAAGCTTTGGCGATGCTGAGCCTTCTACTCTCAGGGATTCCAAAGCATTTGATAAACTCTTTCTTTGTTCCATTGTTTACTGACTTCCTAGTGCTTGTCTTGTTCTGCAGTTATTTATTTATTTTTATTTATTAGTTTTTACTTATGATCTACCCCTCTCTCCCATCTCCCCGCAACCTGAAGGTAAGGTGCAGGAAGTTATGGCCTTTGCTTTGTATGCCATTACATTCCCCCTCCCCAGGGAAGGGGTTAGCATGATGGTAGGAACTGTTCCCTCTTGGTGACAGATAAGTGACTGGAGCAGAATCCACTTCTGCTGAGAAGCTCTGGATGACCACGGATAAGCAGGAAGGCATGTGACATATTGGCAAGTGAGTCAGACAGAAAGAGAGACGTGGGATCGAGTCCTGGCATTGCCCTTTCTAGCTATTGTGTCCTTGGACAGGTAATTTAGCTTCCCTGAGTCTGTTTTCTCATCTGAAAAATGAAGATAGTAATAATTATCCTCGTGGGGCTATTGAAAAAGTTAAAATAATACAAGCAAAGCATTTAACATAGGGTTTACATTATAATATTATAATTATACATATAATTATACATTAATTATATATGTAATTATATATAATGTAATGTATATTATTATGTATACATATAATGTATTATATATGTATATTATGTATACGTATATGTATATTATGTATACATATAATGTATATAATTATACATTATAATATAATATAGGGTTTACATTATAATATAAAAATGTAATATAAAATTACATTATATAATAATTATAATAATAATATAATTAATGTTATATATTGGTTTTAAAAAGATGTCACGTGGGGCAAGTTGCCTGGTCTGGGAAAACGAGGGTTGGCTAAAACTCCCCACTGAGGTTCAGTTGTTACTTCCTCTTGGGAAATCTTCCCTGAACCTCTCAGGCTGAGTGGCATCCCTCTGGGATCCCATCAGACCCTGCATGTACCTCTGTCTTTTCACTTAACCTGTGATCATCCTGTGTCTGCATATTTTATCAGACCCTCAATTCCTTGAGTGCAAAGAACATACTTTAAAAGTTTTGTTCTTCCAGCACTTAGCAAATTACTCAGCACATAGTAGGCACGAACACCAATTCATTGGTTGAACTGGCCAGACAGTGAAAACTGAGGAAGAAGAAGACAGCAAGTGTGAAAAGAAGACCAAAGCTGTCTCTAGTTACAGCGTAATGTAAATCCCCATAGCAGGAAATGGCCGCCTTTTTCAGTCCTAGGAAATGGAAATGGAGAACGTTTTTCCCAAGGTATGAGTCCCAAAGGGAGATGGATTCTACCTTCTGAGTGGAGAGTTTGCCTTTTCCAGGGAATAAAGGGGTATTAGAGGCTTTGAAGCTGGGAAACTTTCTCAGCTCTGTGAGGAAAGTGTATATCCCCTCCCACTCTGTGGTAACAGAGAAACTTTCTCAGCTCTGTGAGGAAAGTGTATATCCCCTCCCACTCTGTGGTAACAGATTGGGTGGAACCACTTACCCGGAGCTTCCTGCCAAAGATGGTGACTTTGCCTTTAATCTGTTCCTTTCTTAGGCGCCACTCAATGGAGTTTAAGCCATTCTCCATAGGCAGGGAGATGTTGCAGCGTCCAATGGTGGGGGTGATGGTGCCCGCTAGGACATGGGGCTCGCTGTGGAAGCTGATACCCATCCCATTAGCATACATCACCCTCAGGGTACCATTATTACAGAGCTGGTAGCTGTTCCGAACTTGATCTGGAAAAATGTAAGTGGGGGTGGGGATAGGGAAATAAATTATCCGCTCTATTAGTCAGAAGAGAATAGAACCCCTATTTTTTTTTAATAGGTTTCCATGGTACTTTGCAGCCATTAGTCGAAGGCTGCCTTCAATTAGCACACATACATACCATGTGAAGGTAAGTAGCAGAGATACTACTGATCCACGTAAAGAAAAACATAATATGTGGCACTCCAGAAATAATTATGCCGTGATGTTTCTTTTACTCACTGAAGACTATTAATAGCACGTTTAAACATTTAAAGATGTCTATTGCCTACACAATTTGTGTCAATCAAATTCCCGAAGCTTAACATATATATTTTAGCTTATACCAGGAAAAAAAAAAAAAAAAAGAAAGGCAAATGACTTCAGTTTTCCTCCTTTTGCCTGCCGTCTAACCCAAGGTTGCTGGTCTAGCCACAGGCCAGATCCACTACAAATCAAAGCCCAGGATTCTTTCTTTGAGAAAATGGAGAGAAGAAGTCAACCTTCCCCATCCTCATGCTTTTACTGCCGACTGCACCTGATACCACCCCCACTCAAGAGAACTCTGAAGAGACTCAAATACATCAGGGAGCTGGAGTCAGTGGGTGGGTGCTGATAATGTGTTTATCTTCCCCAGTGGAAACTACACGAGTCAATCAGACGTCTGACCTTTTCCTTTACCGAAAAGTTACGGGAAGGAAATGTGAGTCAGAGACTCCTTTTACAGATACACTGCTTCCTGACTGTCTGGGCAAAGGAGCTGGCCTGGGCTGGCCTCTGAGATGTCAGCTTTTGGGGCAGTGAGCAAGTGTGTACCTGTCGCTCCTGTGACTCCAGCCGTCACACGCAGAAGGACAGAATCTACATCATTAATCATTTGGCAGAGCAGAAATAGAGTCATTGAAACAGGCTCCGCTGTGGGATAATAGTCCAGAAATGTCACCATTTATCTACTGAGAGGACACTTTTATCCTCTGACAACGGGCTAGCCCACCGACATTATATCTTAATTAAAAGAAAAATTAATCGGCACAATTCATTTTCTTGCCAGCCCCAGTGCTTGCCCTGGACTGCAAAACATGTCTAGTAGCAACAATAACCACAGGGTGGGCAGAGACCTTTGAGATCCCAGTCTTGGAGAGAGAATGTTAAAGAGCTCCAGTCCCAGGGCAACCAACTCATCAAACAAATGCTTAAAAGAGAGAATCAGGATGGAACAAGAAAATATGAAGTCTAGTGGTGAGCCAGGAGAATAAATGGCCTTTGAGAAGATAACTATGTGTTTTGGGTTGGTGGGGAGAGGTGGTGATGGAAGGGTAAGAGGTAGGGAGAGAGTATGTGGGGGGCGGGTGGAAATGGACATTTTCAGATAACTATGTAGACAGTTCAAATATCTAGACATTTGGCTGGGTGTAGATGACATTCTGTTCTATCTGATTAAGTCATTTTCTACAAGATTGACCTCTTATAGTTTGCTGTGGACACTTGAATAAAATAGAAAGCTAGGGGTACGCTGGGTCTCTGGAAGTCCTCCCAGGCTGCATAACTCACATGTTGGGCTTGGCTGGGTTCTGGGTCTATGGGTGAGTTTGGGGGTAGGATGGTATGGGTGGAGGCTCACCTTGTACCACTGTGTAGGAGGCCTCTACTGAAGAGAGGTTGGTGATGACAGTGACGTCATCATCACGGTTGGAGTTCTCAATGTCAATGGTAATAGATTTCTCCATTTCCCGGTGCAGACTGGTTACCACCCCCGTGGGGCGCGTCACGTTGGTCAGGCGGCCTTCGTGGTCATAGCTGGGGGGAGATAGATAGATAGATAAACCCTGGTTAGCAGCAGTCATTGGGGCTGACAGTGTTCCCAAGACTCACAGGGCCAGAGAAAGAGCTGGGAAGGTGGGTTGGCTGGGTGGCGCATCTCACTGAGGCCCCTCGTCACAGTCAAAACCCTATTATGCCCGGAGAAACAGCTGTGATGCTTTCTTCTACCCGCTGATATAACTGACTTCAGCTCCTGGAAAACATTTCACCTGGTCTCAGGCTTCCTCTAGTTAGTTAGAGAAAACAGCCACTTGTGAGCTTCTCTTACTTTTCTGTTTCTTTTCTTTTTTTTTTTTTTTTTTGAGATGATGGAGTCTCACTCTGTCCCAGGCTGGAGTGCAGTGGCACAATCTCCGCTCACTGCAACCTCCACCTCCTGGGTTCAAGCAATTCTCCTGCCTCAGCCTCCCGAGCAGCTGGGATTACAGGCATGCACCACGATGCCTGGCCAATTTTTGCATTTTTTGTAGAGATGGGGTTTTGCCATGTTGGCCAATCTGGTCTCGAACTCCTGACCTCAGGTGATCCACCTGCCTTGGCCTCCCAAAGTGCTGGAATTACAGGCGTGAGCCACGCACTTGGCCCTCTCTTGTTTTTTAATTTAGGTCTTCTACAAAGCCATCAAATCAATATTCCCCAAATAGCAGTTTCACCATGTCAGTTCCCTGCTGAACAAACCACACTCTTTTCCCATTGGTTGCTAAATCAAATAAAAATCTCGCATTTGAGACCATCCATGCCCTGAGTCTTCTACTGGAGTCCAACCTTGTCTCACTTGTCATCTCCTAGGCCTCTGGACAATCAGCCTGTGCCAAATGCCACCTGCACAAATTGGCTCAGCATAGAAGGCCTGGCTGCATGGAACCTGTTCTTTGGTCCCCACTAAACCGCCATGGCTCCACTTCCCAAGCAGCCTTCTTAGACAGTTTCCCAATGACTCCCTTACCATCAGCAGTTGTCCTTAGCACCCAAGTAAGTCTAGGGACACCAGTGATCATGCCCTACTGCCTGCAAATGGCCTGACACTGGGGCCTCCTTCTTTATGTATATGTGTCGTCTTTCCTCTTTTCTCACACCGTGGAGTTTTCTCCCCACATCACCTTTAGCAAGAAGCCTTGTTCTAGTTGGGACAGCCTTTCCCCACTTTGGAAGATCCACTGTACTCTGAGAGCTGGGCCCTTCTCACACCCAGGAAAGGAAAGCAGGCTCGTTTCCAGGCCTTTGAGCTCTCCCAGATGAGTTTTGTTACTGGAGGAGGAAGGGGAGGAAGAAGGCGGAGCTATGAAGACATTTTGCTTGGAGGGTAAAAAAGAAGGGAAAGTGGCTCAACTCCTGCGGGTTACTCCCTTTGGACTGGGGAGAGGGAAAAAGCTGGCAGGGTCTGAGGGATGGGAACTGGAGCTTGTGCAGCGCGTGGGGATGGGGGGTCCTCAGAGAAGGATCCCTGTGGGGAGGGCCTGTGAGCGGTGGAAAGGACCGCTGTGGCCTGTTGGATGTTGTCGCTTAGGGCTTAGGATGACAACATCAAAGACAGAGAGCACTCAGGAAATGTTTTTGGAATAAAGAATTGCAGACCTGGCTCAGGCTTTCAGGGATCTGAGAAACTTTGCTTCTGGGAAGAACTAGAAGCAGTGAAGCTCTGCAGAAGTTTGAAAGCTGAGAGTGCAATCACATTAAGCTGTACACCGCGCTGCCTAAAGGTGTTGGGGGAGAGAGGAGGGAGATCTTGGAGCAGGAATGTCTGTGAGCTCAGGATCCACCGCTATCACTCGCCCAGGGCCCCAGGCATGGGGTGGCGCAGACCATGCACTCCCTGGAAAGCCCTGGTGTTGTAATCAGGGATGGGGACTTAGGTCTGCTAAATCAATAGGGCTCCTCTGTGCTTTCTTACCTGCTAAAGAAGCCACCTCTCAGGCAGGGGGACAAAGGTGCTATTTACAATAGTGACAAATTAGAACAACCTAGATGTTCCTTGATGGGAGATTCATTAAATAACTGATGATCTATCCATAAAGTAGAAACCTATGAAGCCATCAGGATCGACAACATGGGTTTCTATTTATTGGCATACACAAATCTACACGTGTTGAGTGGAAGTGTGGGGTACAAAATATACTCCCTTGACAGTAGCTTTTTTTTTCAGGGAGGGGTAAAAAATATCAGTATCTATATGGAGCAGAAATTCTCTGAAAATATAGACATTTAAATGTTAATGGTGGTTTTGCTGTATGGAATTTTGACGAATCTTCATTTTCTTCTTTGCATTTTCCCATAATTTAGAAATTACTTGTAATCAGCCGGGCATGGTGGCTTGTGCCCGTAATCAATCCCAGCACTTTGGGAGGCTGAGGCGGGTGGATCATGAGGTGAGGAGACTGAGACCATCTTGGCCAACATGGTGAAACCCTGTCTCTACTAAAAATACAAAAATTAGCTGGGCGCAGTGCCGTGTGCCTGTAGTCCCAGTGCTCGGGAGACTGAAGCAGGAGAATCGCTTGAACCTGGGAGGCGGAGGCTGCAGTGAGCTGAGATTGTGCCACTGCACTTCAGCCTGGCGACAGAGCAAGACTCCGTCTCAAAAAAAAAAAAAAAAGAAATTACTTGTAATCAATACTTTCATGTTTAATAAACAGAAACAAAAGGTATTTAAAACATCAGAAAACAAAGCAATTCTAAGTATTTGGATACGGGGTGTCTAGTGCGGTACTCAGTAACAGACAGTTTCTCCTCCTGCTGACAAGTACATTCTCTGGGACCAGGGCAAGGATTTTAATTCCAATCCACTGTAGTTTGGGGACACTTACAATGCATAGGCTGCTGAGTTTCCTTATGAGAGAAGTAGTAGGAATTGGAGTTTCTACTTTAGGGAGCAGAGCTTTAGGGTAGGGACTAGAATCTCATGGGCCAAAGGGAGAAAAACAGATTTTCTTTAACTTTTAAGAAGATTCGGCTGCCTCCAGCTCTACTTACTTCCCCCAAGGAACGTCTTCAGATGTAGGTCTTTTTGCAAATGACTGCATGTAGGAGTGAAGCGCTGTAAGTTCCAGCAATGGGATCTCAATGCCAACCCAATGGAACTGGCCCAGCCTTGGCTGGAGTGGGGCTGGAGGCTGCCTTTGAATTATGTAGTCAATAAATATTCATCAAGCACCTGTGATGTGCCAAACACAGTTCAAGGCACTGGAGATACGGCTGGGAAGAAAATGGAGCAAAATTCTTGCACTCATGCTAGCTGAAGAGGGCAAAACTAAACCAAGATAGAAAATAGACAGCATGTCAGATGGTGAGTAATAGGTGCTAAGGACTAAAATAAAGAAGGGAGGGAGTGGAGAAGGAGAGAGTATAGGGAGTAGAGAGTGTAATTTTAAGGACAGTACTGTTCTTTTCAGGAATACAGATGCATCTTCCCTAGTCTGGGAACTTAGCAGGCATGATAGGGTTTCCAAAAGGCATTCTGTATCAGCTCTATTTCTGCCCAGCTCTTCACTTCCCAGGACAAAGAGGAGAGAGAGGCAACTTTTAAAGGGGCCCATTCCAGCCTTCATGAATTGCATGGCAGCTTATTCTGTAAAATCACTCTTGAACCCCACACCATGGGAAGTCAACTTCCATCTTTTCCTTTGATCTGACATTTGCCCCTTCCCCAGTTGCTGGATTGGGAGAAGGAGTTGAACATGACTAAAGAGGCTCTTTATCATTTCTGTCTTCTGGAGGGCCTCTTTTTAAGGGTGATGTGTTTTTCTGCCCCTCTGAGCCCGAAGTTTGCTAAGGCAGACTCTGCTCCTGCAGGGGATGAGAGACCAGCAGGCAGCACTGGGAGGTGGGAAGAGAGCAGGAGAAATGCAAAGTGAGGTATTAAAAAGACCTAATGTGCAAGCTGCATTCTTCAATTCTGCTTTTCCAAAATAAGTCTCTATCTGTCTGACTCTTGTATCCACTCTACAGTTAGTTGAGTGAAACCTGAGGGGTAGGAAGGAGACAGAGGTGTGCTTAATAATTCCTCTCAAATCCCATTAGCCTATACTCTGAGTTAAACTTCTATATGCCAAGCGCTTTGCTAATTTCTAAAAATGTATTATCTCAGTGGATTAGCACAGGGCTCCTGTTGTTAATTTGCATTTTTATCCCCATGTAACAGATGAGACATTGAGGCTCAGAGAGGTTAAATAACGTGTCCAACGTCAATCAGTAAGCATGTGGCAGAGATGGACTCCACACCCCTGTCATCCTGGTCCTAAGACCTAGGAGCTTTCTGGTATAAGATGCTGCCTTTTGGGGAAGACTGTGAAAACCTGAGTTCCCTCAGGGATGAAACTAAATCAGGATACTTCTTCTATCAAGACCCAGTGGCCTGCATCTGGGGAAATCTTAATTCCACGGTTGGATGTCCTGGAAGTTTCTGGAACTGGCTGATCATAAAATGGGTCCAGGAAGATTCGATAGTGTTATTTTTTCCTACCCCTTTCTCTCTCCTGCTTCCAGAGTCATTGATAGGCTGGTCTTATTGAGTTACATCTTCCCAAAAATTCAGGGACAGTTCCCATGTGGAGTCTGAAGGTGGAGTTACAAATTCCATTCATAGCCCTGCTTTACAACGCTAGTGTGCAATGCAAAGAACGCTGGGCTTGGAGATCTGGATTCCAGTCCTGCTTCACTACCAACTCCCTGTGTGGTCTTAGGGGAGTCACTTCGATTCTCTGAGCCTCAGTTTCTTTATCAATAAAATGGGGATAATCAAATCCATATTTAGACAGTCACTGTGACAACACGGCAGATAAATGGCTTCTGTACCTCATGTTCTATGCAGAAAAAAAAGATATGGCCACTCTTCTCACCTATAGGGGGATTTGTACTCTGCCCCCTGTAACAGAGTGGGAAGAGAGGAATCCCCCTAAGGAAGCTCTCACTGAAGGACAAATCATTTTCTTTCTTTCTTTTTCTTTTTTTTTTTTGAGACAGAGTGTTGCTCTGTCGCCCAGGCTGGAGTACAGCTGCGTGATCTCAACTCACTGCAACCTCCACCTCCTGAGTTCAAGTGATTTTCATGCCTTTGCCTCCTAAGTAGCTGAGACTATAAGTATGCACCACCATACTTGGCTAACTTTTGTATTTTCAGTAGAGATGAGGTTTTTCCATGTTGGCCAGGCTGGTCTCAAACTGCTGGCCTCCAGTGATCCTCCTGCCTTAGCCTCCCAAAGTGCAGAAATTACAGGCATGAGGCATCACTCCCGACCAGGACAGACTTTTCTAGTAGCCTCACAGCCTCTGTGTGGTTTTCTTCATCACCCTTTCTCTAAAGTTTTGGCTAAGGCTATGCAGTGTTGGTCTTGACCACACTGCCCTGACAGGAGGTGAAGTTATGTCTGATTTTTAAGTTGGCTGTGTGTCTTCCAATTGGCTGATCATGTGCCAAAAGTGCCATAAAACAAAAAGAACTCACCATCTTTTCAGGTAGAAAAGAAAACCCTATACATTTGAACCCCACAATGGAGAATTTGTGATCACTGGATTTATCTACATTATGAAAAAAAGGGCAGCTTATCAAATTAAGATAAAAAAATTCAGTTTCAATGTAACTTCTGAACATTTTAAAACACAATTACGAGTCATGCCTATGTTTTCATTAAACTAGGGACACTTTCTGGAAAATACTTTCCCTTTTAGAGTTCAGATCTGTGGATGCACTTGAACCCAAGCTTCTTTATGACAGTCTGTAAACCAGGCCCAGTTCAGGCTGGCCTCCCTGAGAGGGATGTTTTTTCCCCCTCTTTCAGGAGAGCCAACAAATTGTTTCTGAAATGCATTAGGTCTTTGGTTGAAACTGTCAGAAAGGAAGATGAAAATCTCGGAGGTGTTTGGGTGAGTGTATAGCTTCAGCCTAATTCGGTATGAGAGCCAAGGACAGCACTCGGATGGTACCCTCGAGGGCAGAATCACTGGCTGGTAAAGTTTGATCAAAACTACAGTGTCCTGAAGGGTATTAAGATGCTTCAGAAATCTCAAGCATCGTTAAGGTGCTTGAGAAAGAGTTGCCCAAAGAAGAAAGTCAGAACCAGGGGAAGCAATTCTTCTGCAATGCACTAAATATCCAGCAGGTGGCAACAGCTTCCTTTTACATTCTCCCAAGACCATTGGCATACAAACAGGAAGTAAACATTGCCGGGTTTAGGAATGATCAACAATGAGGTTTTCTGTTCTCCCTCTTGTCCCCCGCTTTTTTTTTTTTTTTTTTTTTTTTTGCTGTGCCAACTCTCCCTAACTTAACTACATTCTGAGCTAGCAGCAGCATCCAGACAAAACACAAGCAAGGACTCCAAGTACACAGGGGTTAACACACTCCTTCATCACCTAGGAGAGCCAGATATTTATAAATTCTGCTCCAGTCTCAGCCAGCCACTGGGAGAATCATGCCTAGTAACTTCCTCCAACCAGCATCCCACCATTAGTACCTACAGCAGCAGACACTTTGACCAAGAACTGCCTGCAGGAGCTAGGAAAAACAGCTTTTTGCAAAACAAGCGTCAGGACTATTAAGTATGAGATAATTGTTAGGGGAAATATGACCAGCTCTCGCATCTTTTAATATACCTAATGCTTTATCTGTATCGATCTGCTTCTGCTAAGGAGGAAATTCAGAGTTTATCTACCTGTCTGTGCAATCAAGTGTGTTGCTGGACCTATTGGCAAATTACAGGAACCCCACTGGGATCTTGCCTTTTAGATTCTAATTTCCGCACCCATGGCAAACTTGAATAATCAGCAAAGTTAATCAACATTTTACCTCCCAGGTGCTGTGCATGTCCAATATCCTGAAATTTGAACGGCAAGCAGGCAACAGGAATTCCCAACTCTAGTAGGGAGGATGCTCAATATCAGAGATCCATTAGAGCAAATCATTTCAGAGTCAGGGAGAGGGGACATGAATGTCTTGAGGCCATAAGACATCATTAAAGTTAGAAAGACAACGTGACAAAGCAATTTAAAAAGCTACACAAGCGACCCAGTCCTAATGCCAGCTAGGGCAAGGGAAGGGCTCTTCAGAGATGCTTTACAAACCCACTTACTCATAGAAAGTCGTCCATCCTGTTTCATCGCTCTTGGTGGCCAGGAGCCCAGTGTTGCCATCATAGGTCATGAGACCAAGCTCCAGGTTCTGTGTGGACACGACTTTGAGGCCTCCATTGGTGCCCACGGTGAGGGTGATGATCTGGTTGTCAGGCATGAGCAGGTGACGGGGCATGCCACTGCTGTCCCGACGGATCTTCAGGGAATTCCCATTATTGTCAATCAATTCAGTGACATCATTGTCAGTACTATATGTGAAATTGTACAAGTACTCCCCTGTCACCAGGCTCACAGTGTATTGGTGGATGCCATCAGCGTTGAAAACATATAACTCCTGCTCTCCGGGGGATGCAGCCTCATACTGGTTGAAGGCATTAAGAACAGGCTTGTTCTTGCTGACCGCCCTGATCCGAATATTTCCAAGGTCTGCAATGTAAATGGTACCATCTGGAGCTACAGCTAAGGATGATGGGGAATTCAAGATGGCATCAGTCGCGTAGGCATCATCTCCTGAATAGCAGTTGCAATTGACATCGTTTTTGCAGTCGCAGTCCGAGGCTGCCCCAGCTAAAAGGCAGATCTCCCCGTTGGTTGTTACCTGGCGTAGACGGTTAATCTTCTTCTCATCTGTCTCAGTGATGTAGAGGACCCCAGTGTGAGAAATGGCAATGGCACTGGCTGACTCCAGGGCAGAGTGAATGGCTAGTTTGCTGAGTGAGTAGTCAATGCCAGGAACTTGGCAGTGCATGGGGCGTCCCGCAATGATGCTGACTTGGTGGTTCTCGGTGATTCGAAGGATGACATTGTTCTCTAGAACATACAAGGAGTTATCCATGGGATTGACAGCAAGGTCTGTTGGCCACTCCAGACGAACCTGTGGATGACGTGGTATCAGATTAAAGAACAGCCTTTAATATGTCCAACGTTTAACCGTACGGCACTTACTGGTTTTATATATCTAGGAAAAAAGACAGCTTTTTAATAACACATTGTATTAGAAATGCTCTTCATTGAACCAGCTGCTCATTGCCCATGATGAGTGGGTGTGATGGAGAAGAAGAGATAATATAATATATATTTTCTACCGTGTCACCTGCCATGACCAGAACAGGCCATCAGCTCTACCTATGATGCTGCTTCTCAGCTCCAGATGGCTGGACCAGCATCAGAGCTGTTACATATGGTTGCACAGGTAGTTCACTGCACAAGAGACCATGCCATCCAGCCCATACTCTGCTCTCCAAGCAGACGCCTACGGAAGCTATGTACATTTAGAGGCGGCACCTGTATCTAATTCACAAAAAGGAGCCATGTGACTTGGAAGATGGCTCTGATCCAAGGGGAGCCAAAGTGCAGGCTCTCCAGCAAACTACAACTTGAGTGTCTGCTTTAAAAAATAAACGGAACCGAACGCATCCTTCCTCTATGGAATTTGAAATAAAAATCTCAGTAGCAAGTTGTCTGTTGTGGAACTTGAGCTGAAATTTATGAGGCTCGCCAAGGGTTGAAAAGGCCGTTATAGAAAGGCTGAACGTATATTCCAGGCTGTCTGAGAACAAATGCTGTATATTTGAGTGAGCCTCTGTTCTCTGCCTCTCTAACAGCCCAAACTAAACACACACTTTGGGTGATATTGTAGAGGGCTCTGCTCTAGTTACTACTGCACAAAGTAAAGGTTTATATAGTGAGGATGCAGTCATTTCAGATTAAAGGGGAAGTTCTGATTGACATATAACACTGTACAGTACATTCTCAAACCTGCAATAATGATGGAGAAGGGAGGTAATTACAGAGCAGCTTCTACCCTGTAATCTGCCACGGCTGGAGTGTGTCACCAGTTCCACTTTTCTCAACAGTTTTCCCTCTCTCTTGCTCTCTCTCTCTCTCTCATACCTATCTGACATTTTCCACTCCATCTTACTGTTTAGCTCATCTCAGGCTTTCTCCAAACAACCCCGTGATCTGTATCTGTATCTCTCCCTCCCATTCCACTTCCAAACCAAACAGGAAACAGGTAAGAACCTCAGGCCAAGGGGCAGGTGTTGCTTAGTGAAGAGAAATAAGAAAGAGTCTCACCTGGGCTACATCCATGCTGGAATCACAGCTCAGCGGCCGGACGGCAGTGAGGTCATTGGAGCCCAGCAGGGTGGAGATGATTCCATTCTGGTCAACCTTCCGGATCATGGTGGCATCGACAAAGTACATGAGCCCATTCTTGTCTACTGCAATACCTGAGCAAGACAAGCGGTGTGGATTTATCTCTTGGAAAGGTGTAGGATTGCGGGGTGGAGGTGGGAGATGAGATGCCTTGCTGAGCACTCTGCTTAGACCAGAGACCTTACTGGAATTGATTAGTACCCTCAGAGCAGTGGTTCTCAGCCTTCTAACGCAAGATCCTTTCCCATGGGCACTGTGCTGGGATTTGTATAGTTCCTAGGGTGCTGGCTATATCACCACCTTCTTCCCTGCAACTGACGAAAGCATGCTCCTTGGACTGCAAATGAACCAAGGCCGCAAATGAATGAAGCAGGAAATAACTTTGCATCTGCTCTCCTTAGAAAAGAAGTTATTTCCTAAGTTCATTACCCTAAACATTATTAGTAGTAAGTTACTTGAATATACTTCACAACCGATTGCAGCAGTAATGCTGAGAAATGATGATTCTTGTAGTTACAAACTCCTAATTCAAGGTGTATGCTTCAGGAAGTATTCCCAGTTAAGCTTGACTCCAATCAGCACTTCAATGCCCCAGGGGGACACTGGGGCCTAGCATTCCCCTGTTGCAGCAGGGCTGGAAAGGCACAGATATGGCTTCTATTTATTTTGTGTCTTTGCCCCAGTGCCCAAGTACAAGGCTTTGCCTCCTTAATCCATGCTGCCCTGCTGCTTTCACAGTAGCTAAAAATGCTAACAGGAATTGGACTCTCAGATGACTGCTCCTTAATGTTAAGTATTTTTAGTCCTTTTCAAATAGAGACCCATGGGTTCCCAGAACTCCTCCATCCTGGACCCCTGGAAATTATACCCATTCTTAATTACTACCATTTATTGGGCATTTACAACATGTGAGGCACTGCACTTTCGACTTCATACACATTTGCTGTCTACCACGGAAGTCTGGGCGTGGCCAGAGGCCCCTCGCTGGGCTTTGTTCTGTCTCCAGCCCACACAGCTGGCACTGTGGCCCATGGAGCCAGGATTTCCTCTGATTCTCCTGACTGGCAGCAGTCAGAAATCTCCAGGCGCAATCCCCTTCACTTTCCACTTGGAGCCTATGTGCATGATAAAGTTTTCTTCAAATAAATAAATAAGGTTTTCTTTTTCTTTTTTGAGACGGAGTCTCGCTCTGTTGCCCAGGCTGGAGTGCAGTGGCGCGATCTCGGCTCACTGCAAGCTCCGCCTCCCGGGTTCACGCCATTCTCCTGCCTCAGCCTCCTGAGTAGCTGGGACTACAGGCGCCCACCGCCACGCCCGGCTAATTTTTTGTAATTTTTAGTAGAGATGGGGTTTCACCATGTTAGCCAGGATAGTCTCCATCTCCTGACCTCATGACTGGTTTTCTTTTTAAACACCCATCCACACACCAAAGCAATCTATCTGAGTTAAATGATTACAGGGAAAGCTGTGTTTTGGACTGCTGGACTTAGTTAAGTTCTGATGAGAAGAAAGCCAAGCTGGTGGCAAAGCTTTATCTGGGGCGGGAGACTCTTCCTTGATGTCCTTTACCTCTCGGGCTCATCAGGGTTGCATCTATGGCCTTCCCTCCATCCCCGCAGCGGGCTTCATCAAAGGGTAGACACTGCTCTCCCGTCCCTGCCACAACTTCCGAATTCCCAGCCAGGTCTTTGGTTCCACTCAGAGACTTGACGCGGTAGATTCTCCTGCTGTTGGTGTCGGACACGTAGAGCGAGCCGGACACGGGGTCCACTGCCAAGTAGTACTTGTGTGCTGGGTTGTTGCTTTAGTAGAAGAAGCACAAAGAGAAATGAGGAGGGGGCTATGGAGCTGGCCTCCTAGATCAAAGGAATGACAAAAATCCTAGCAAGACGCTTACCTTCTCTAGTGTCTTTCCACTTTAGTGAACTGGAAAGAATCTAACATCAAACTCAGTGTTCTAACACATCATGGTTCTTAGCTACTTCTAATTGGACTTATGCTTCTTATGCTATTAGAAAATTCATTTCCCACCATGCTAAACAACTGTTGCTTCATTTAGCCAGTACGAGAGCTCCCACTCCGATCCTGTTTTTGTAAGCAGGATAGTTATTCAAGACCATCTACAGTCCATGTGTGTGCAGTCTCCTTAATTTCCCCTTGAGGGCTTAGTGTATTCTCAAGTGGGATAGAGGAACACTTCCATGTGACAATGTTCTCATTTTAACCTATGCTTCCAGGGTACTAGGCCATTAATACCAGGGTGACCTGGAGTTTTCCTAATTTTATCATGGGAAGCACCCCATAACCGCCCCCAATCTCCAGGCTCAGAGCTTGCTTCTTTACTGCTCTTCAGTGTGGACATGGATAAAGTTGGCATTTAGTGTAAAGAAATGTGGGTATCTTGCTGGTACTGTGTCTGGAATCTGAATTACTGAGACAGGAGATGCACTTTTCAAATCTAGGTAACAGTGAGGTCACAGGCGTGAGCCACGGTCTGCCAGGGCTCCCAGCCACACTAGGGGATTAATACCTTTGTGTGTGTGTGAAGTGTATTAGGAAGGCGTGAGCCTCTGAGACCTGGGCTGCTTCCCCTGCCATGTGTCTGGCTGCCCTGTGTGAGGCTAACTAGGACAGAGTAAGACTTGTAGAAGTGGCTCAGGACTAAAACACAGGAAACTCTAAACTCAATTCTGACCCAGCTGGTGGTGACCTTGGTTAAGTCATTTGACTGTGTCAGGTCTTAGCTTTTTTGCAGGGGCTGGAGGGATTAAATCAATCATACTGGATATTGCTAATGTTCCTTCTGGCTCAAAACCCTGCAGTTCTTCCCTTTGTAGTGCCTGTCACTGGTTTGAGGTTGGGACCAGAATAGGTGCTCATGTTATTCCTATACTGGTTATTACAATCAGCACCTCTAGGATGCAAACAGTAATTGCCTTTCTGCCTCAGTGTGGTAGACTAGGTTTTGAAATGAGCACAGGCCCCCTTTATTTTCCCCTGCTATTTTATTTTATTTTTCTCAGAGACAGGGTCTCATTGGAGAGCAGTGGCACAATTCTAGCTCACTGCAGCCTGAAATCCCTGGGCTGAAGTGGTCCTCCCGCCTCAGCCTCCTGAGTAGTTGAAACTACAGGTGCATGCCACCATGCCTGGCTAATTAAAAACCTTTTTTTTTTTTTGGTAGAGATGGGGTCTCACTATGTTGCCCAGGCTGATCTCAAACTCCTGGCCTCAAGAGATCCTCCTGCCTTGGCTTCCCTAAGTGCTGGGATTATAGGTATAAACCATGCAACCAGCCTTTTCCTATTATTTTTCAATTTTACTTTGGGGTGATGGGAAGACAGGGGCTGGGAGAGGTGGAGGGAAGGTGAGAGAGATGACAGCATTGGATGCATTTGTCCTGTTGACATTAGCTAGTAAATTACTAATTAAAACACCACCATTTGGGGTCTTCTCTGATTTAAGGAAAAAAAAGAAAAGAACTAGGAAGCTATTTTTAGGAACAATCTGGGTGGAGTTGAGATGGTCTTTCATTCCCGTTTCTCTTCAGGTTGCTATTAAGACACATCCCTGAACTAGAAGTCAAAGTTTTTCTGAAATTCCAGCCCAGATAACTAAAGCGTAGACTACCTGGTTTCATTCCTTTCCTTTCCTCTTTTCTTCTTCTTTTTTGGCTATTAAGTCATTAGAGACTATCCATATATGCAAAACAAATTAGGGCAGAAAGGGAAAAATTCATGCCATTTTTTAATTAGATGCTGCACTCTGTTACTGAATGAACAGTAGCTGGCATTATCAACAGAAGGATCAAGGCATTGCACATCTGTGCCTACCTATGAGAGAGATAATTAATTTTGGACTTTCTAGGGAGCCTGATTTGAGGAGGCTTTTCAAAAGCTCTGGCAGAAGAGCAGGCAGTGGTGGGTGTGAGGTCAGTTCTTGCTTAGGGAGACCATTCTTCTCCATGGTCTCATACCTGTTTTCACCAAGATGCTTGCAGAGAAACTCACGTCAGAGGGACAGCCATGCCTCCATACCTGTGGCTGTGGCAAAGATCACATGAGGTTGGTGAATTTCCTGGAAAAATGTCCTTCCAGGGCATTTCTACTCATTTTTAAAATTTGGCTCAAATGGGGTGCCTATAACAGGCCAATTTTGGGGTGCCTGAGAAGAAGACAGAGGACTTTGTCAATGCATGGCCTTTCCACTGACTGTTATGATCTTGTGCAATTTGACTCTACTTTTTGTCTAATTTTGACCTAATATCATGAAGGAGAGCTGTCCATGTTTCATTTCAAAAAGTGAGCAGAAGCATTCCGTTGAGTAGTGGTACAGATTGCTTTGTTTTTTCTCTTCTTCTGAATAAAAATAAGGTCATTTTTCCTTAAGAAAGCTCACACTATCTTCATTTCAGTGTGGTTCATGTGTGAATGCACGTGTATGTGTGTTTTACACTTTATCTGTGAATTGTACTAGTGTGGTTTTAAATGATAACCTTGGATCAATGTAATGACCAAGGCGGTTTTGACAAAGAATACTTGGTCTCCATCCTTCAAACTATTCAAAAGTGATTTTACTCCATGAAAATTCTCAATGCATCTGACTGTTGGATTCATTCTGATCAGCAGATTGGCAATTAACTTTTTTTTTTTTTTAAAGATGACCATATATCCAGGGGAAAAAATCATTAATGAGTTGAAAATGAGTTTTTAACCCGTTTCCAGTTCATTAAAGCTTTTGTGAACCCAGTCCAGCATTTACAAAAGCCAGGAGTTTGCCTCAACTGTTTAGCCCAATTATGGACCGCACTGAGCAGTCGGGATAGAAGTTCGCTGAGGGTTCATTATCTTGCACTTGAATCTCCCGGAAATTCTAATTACTGTCAGCTTATTTGGTTGCTTTTTGACTGCATTTCATAATTGCTAAAGCTTATCATATCCACAACACACAATTAGCACATAAAAAAGTTACTATATTTGGTACATAAAAATATACAACATTACACAAGAAGCACAAAACAAAAAAAGCAAACACAAGGAAGCAAACGAACCATATCAAATTATATGGGAAAGAGTTCTTCATCTTACCTATGTTTAAACTCTTTATTTCTTTATAGAAAGAAAACAGAAAGGAAAAAAGAACAAACAGTTAGCAGAAGAATTGATGATAAAGCAAACATAACATTTTTGTTTCTTGTATAAAGGGGCCCAAAAAAGGCAGTCTTTTTCTTTTTTCCCCTGTAACTGACAACTCCTGGCTCAATAGCTTGAGAAGTGCCCCTGATTTTGGACTCCTCCCAGACATTGGACAATCTGGACAAGAAAGCTTGAATTCTCTCATCAGCAATGTGGCTGTCACAAGACAGAGGTGGCAACAGGTGAAATATGCCTCCTGACTAAGGAAGGGATGGCAAACAGGTTATATCTTGGGTGCCAACATGTGTTGGCCAGTAATGGCCACTGGGAGTGTGGTGGTAGAAGGATTTTGAAACCAAATTTAATATCAGGTATAAAGAGTACTGTGACTCACTTGCAATGTCCCCTCTGAGTGTGGGAGGGAGGATGGTGACACATGTACCACCTATTTGCCATTGGTGCATTTCAGGGTAGAATGAGTACCACCCAAGAGAGAGACCCTGCTCACAGCCTACTGCAGTTGGGCAAAGGCTGTTGAACCCTGAGACTCTGAACCACTTCCTTTCCCTGCTCCATGTCACCTTCATTGTCTCCTTTTAACTTGGGGTGGGACCCCAAATATGCATTCTTTCTAAAAGGTAACGTCCAATATTGCAATAACGTCCATAAATGAAATTTATAGGTAATAATATCCTCTTGGAATTGGAGTCAAAGACTCCAGTTATCATTTCTTATCAGAGAACTAGTAAAAATTTTGTTGTTGTTTTAAGGGAAGAAATACATTCAATTTCAATAGGAAATTGTGGCTGAAAATTGACGTGCCAGAGACGAGAAGATGCCAAGGTCTCAATTAAGGAGAACCACTCCCATTCTCGAGGCTTCTAGGCCAAAGTGGAAGAAACCCCTGACCCCTCTTTCCCTTTCAGTTGAGGAGAAAGGCTTCAGGGAAGGGACAAAGAGAGTTTAATGCCCTGATTTCTGCTCAGGTGTAGCTCAGTCCTCTGCCGGGGGCCATCATTAGTGGTGGGTTTGCACAGGGATTACGTTTTTATATTTTATTCCAATGTGTTAGTTTTTGCAAAAAAAAAAAAAAAGTTAATTAAATGATGCTGATAACTTCTGAGCTCTGACTGACATAGTGCAATTTAAGATTCATTCTGCAAAGCCTGGTGTGTCAGGGTGGCAGCCGGGAATTCTCGCGTCTATTTTATATTGCTTAATGAAAGTGAAATGTTATCTGCCACCAGTGGTAGTCATATTTGGCTCTTAATTATTGCAATATCAATTTCACTTTTTAAAGTCAAGATTTTGTAAAAATACTGGATGGGATTTGGGTCTGCAGGCCTGACCTACTTCTTTCCTAAGAACATCTGCTTTCAGTTGATTAATATAAGATCTATGTTGGGGGAAGGAGAAGGGCGGGGTGAAGGATCAAGTTGTTGGAGAGTGTAGAGCCTGAATGATCATACGAATATGAGCTTTGGAGAAAGGCTGAGGTCACTGCTATTCCAGTCCAGGATCACAGCAGGCTGGGTGCTTAGCAGGCAACAAACCAGAATAACAGCATCACCGAGTCAGTCTATGCAGCTGGGTACAGATGTCCTACTTACAAGGGATAGGCCTAGGCTTTGTGTGCATGGTTTTAATACCACAGACTCTTTAGGTGAGCCCTTTGAGGAAAAAGTGGTGTTTCAGATGGGAGAATTGAGATGGATTAGCTCTTCTTCACACTGCAGGGTCTCAATGATGTCTCTGGGAAGCCTTCAGGGTCTCTTGTGGCATTCTCAGCCCGTCTCTCAGAGCTGCCATCATGCTGTCTGGTGATTTATGTTTGTGTGCCTGTCCCCCTCAGTTCTTTGTGAATAGGACATGACTCAGTCATCTCTGAATTGCAGATACTTAGTAGAAGGCCCAGGAGAGAGTTAGGGCTGGAAAAACAGTTTCTTGAGTGAAGGAAGCAAGGAATGAGGCTGCTTCCCTTAGTGCTGGGCAGACTTTGCCTTGGACTAACTCCAATCCCTCATGTTCTGCTCAGAATTACAAATCTGTAATCAGTGGAGACTGTTGTCTTTTTTCATTCCAACTCTCTCTGTGCCACATTTTCCCCTTGAGGAAGGTGCACTTGGAGTAGCCACAGGGTTGTTTTGTTGTTGTTGTTCTAACTAAAGAGAAGTTGACTTGGGGTGCATTTGGTTTAGTTTCAGGAGGATGAGCTCATGTGGCTTGCAGTCCCTTTAGCACCCAGTTAAATGGTTGCTAGCCATTCTTGAATAGGAATGTCTTTGAGGAATGCTCCTGCCCTACAATGTTGATTTGTCTAGCATCACTGCAGAGAGTAAAAGTCCCCATGTAGAATTCATATTTCACTAATACAAGGACATCAATGACAAACTGGTTAATGAGCATCATTTCAAAGACTATTTAGATTATTCACTCCACAGGAAAATCTGAAATGCCCAGAGATATTAAAAAGGAAACTTGATAAAGATTTTCCCCAATTTTATAACTCTAATGATTTACACATCACCAATAATCAATTATGAACACAAAAGAAACTTTTCTAATTTATCAATAATATGAAACTAATTTTGATCAGCCCTACTAAAGACTGAAAATCCCTCTGTTCTTTCTATAGATAATGAAATTACAAAATAACTGTGATATTAAAAGATGATCAAAGATATGCAGCCAAAAAGTATAGAAAAACATGTATCATGGAAGTGTTACAGGAGTTAATTAATAAAAATATTAGGTTATTTGTGTGGATTTTGTGATGTTTGTGATAGAATTGGCTTTTCTAAACTTTGCAATTTTTTGGGTTTCCTTTCTCATCCTAAATATTCCATTTCATTTCTCATTTCATATTTATAATTTTAGTTTTTTCTTCTTAGATAGAGCCTCTGAAATTGTATTAGTCTTAGGCTTCATAAAATCTGGGTTCTACCCTTGGTAAAAAGACTTTGAAAATAGTGCCAATCAGTCTCCAAAATTTTATGGGGACATTGTTTTTACTTTTATTCGGGATTGAGTGCTTCATGACTTTTCTTTCCTGACCCCCATTTTCAAAGCCTGACCACATAGGAAAAGCATTTCCGTTCTTTAAGTGGAACCACATAGTCTTCCCTAACAGTCTACCTGGTCATCAAGCAGGGTCTGTCCTGGCTGAAACTCTCAGGCAGAGCTTGTCCTTGCTGACGCTTCCTTCCAATGTCTGCTGGCTTTGCCCGCCTTCCCAGGCTCCCACTTTCCCCCCGCCCGGTACTAACATATCTGGGTTGGACATGTCCCTTCTCTGAAGGTCTCCTCTAATGATTGGTGCCCTTGACTCCATGCTGAAAGCACCATCAGAATGTCAGCATGGAGAAGCGGTTTAGTTGGAAAAAAGCATGTTTAATATCATAATATTATTTTATGTTTAAAAAATAAAAAAATGGAAATTTCAAAAATTATGTAAGGTGTGAGATTCTTATGTTTATTAAAAGGAGCTAAGCTAAGAAAAGGGAGAGAGATACCGTCCCATCCCGTATAATTTACTGCCTCATATTGAGGTCTAATTCCTAAGATGTTCTAAAACTGGGGAGGGAGAAAAGATTTTGCTATGAGAGAAATTCCCCCTATAATGTTAGTGACTGACAAATTTACTCTGCTCCAGGGCTTTAGGTTTTCCAAAGACCACTTGGAATGGGCAGTGGGAACTGGACTAGTAAAGATGGGATATCAGGCTTCTATGGGACAGGAGTATGGAAATGTCCTAAATGTCTGCCTAATCAGAGCACGCAGGTGATAACCATTTTACCTAAGAGAAGGCTCTTTGTAGCATCAGAAGTTATTTAAGTGTATAGAACTTGTCCCTGCATGTTTTGGAGAGACAAAGGAAGGAGGAAGGGGGAAGGATAGTGAGAGAACCATGGAAACATTTCAATAGGATCCCAATTCAGAGGCTCAGCTCCGGGGTGGGTAAGCGAGATAGGGATGGGCACTGACTCCCGAAATGGAATCATTCAGCTGCCAACTTACAATGGAGAAAAGACATAAGCAAGACAGGTCTCTTCCTCCCCCTCCCTCCCTCTGCTGGTTGCTGTTTTGAAGAGAGGGGATTGACAGCCCTTTGTTTTCAGGTATGTAGTGGGAAGAAAAGAAGAATAAAACCAGTGTTCTTATAAAAGCTTAACTTCTAATCGGCTCTGGGTACCTGGCTGATGAAAGTAAGAACAAGTCTAAAGGCAGTTAGAAAAAAGAATCACACGGCTGTCGAGGGAAACTGGGAGCCACATTCCGCCTCAAGCTGTCCTAATGTCACCACGTGGGCATGGCGTGACTTGTTCTGATTGGGCCCTTAGCTTGCACCATTGACGTTGTGGCCTCCACAACTCGAGAGACGTGGAACCAGGGACCAACTCCAACAAGAGGGAGGAGACGGGTCTGTGTTTTCTTTAATTTAAGCAACCTATCTTGAGCACCTAGTGTGGGCCAGGACCTCCTCTAGTACTTAAAAGGACAAAGATGACCAAGGGGTCTGCTGCAGAAGTTCACATGCTTAGGCCCTAAAGACTTACATGGAGATAATGACAACAAGGCATTCAGTGGCATCAACTCTAATGGAGGATCAGAGGGTGTAGTGACTCAGAGGTGGGTGACAATGGTTTCTGCTGGGGAGATCAGGCTACGTGGAAGAGGGGGCCCTGACACTGGGCCTTGCAGGTGGATGTGATGTGGTAGATTAGGTAGAGAAGGTATTTTAAGCAGAGCAAGCAGCAAGAGTGAAGGTTTGGAGGTGAGACTGTACCAGGTGAGGGCTGATTAGCCTCTGAGCAGGAAGAACAGTGACAAAGGAGGAAGGGCCTGATGTGGAAGATTACAAGGGCCAGATGAAATATTTCCACCCTTTTTTCCTATAGGCAATGGCAAAGCACAGTGCTACCTCCACCCTACCCTGTCTTCTCCCATGGTTCTCTGTTGCCCACAGGGTGCCTGAGAAAAGGAGGCTTTCCTAGGATTAAAAAAAGCAAACAAAAACAACATCTTGGGAAGGGAATCTATATGGATGGGCAAGTCTAGGAAAAGCGATTTGTCTGATCGCCAGTTTGGCAGCGTGAGGGCTACCTGGCCTCTTCCCACGTGTGTCCTTCTTGCTCTCATTGTTCACCCTCTGGTTACCATGCCCCCTCCTCCACCCCAGGCCTGTCTCTGGATCTCCATAATGGTTGGCCTTTGGCCCTTCAGCTCAGCTTGAACTGCACTGACTTCCCCAGGTGCCACCTCTCATGCTCACATGGGTGTTTTCTGAGCCTGTGTTTCATCCCCTTCTGTACCGCAGAGCCCAGTACATGCCTGGCTCGCCTCCATGCTCAATAAATGCCCACTGGATCACTGAGGCTGCAGCCTCCTCAGGGTGAAGCTCTTGTTTTTTCCTCTTTTTACTCCTCTCAGTCCCTGGCACACTCTTGGCTCCCAAGAATGCTCAGCAGCAGTTGCTGGGGGCAGGCCACTGATATTTCTCCCAGACAGGGCCTCAGAGACTCTCAAATGCAAGTGCAACCTGCAGTTCCTTCTAGGAGAGAGGCTGAGGCTGCTTCAGAAGATGCCATCATCCACTCAGTTGTCAGGCCAAAATCCTAGGCAGGGCCCTTGATTCGTTTCTGTCTTTGTTCGTTCCTTATACCTGATCCATCAGCAAATCCTATCAGATTTACCTCGAAAATATATTCTAATTGGAGCACTCCTCTTTCTTCTGCTACCATTCTGGTTCAAATCACCATTGCCCCAATCCTGGACAATCGCTGCAGCTTCCCTATGGGTTTTCCTGCCTCCACTCCTGCAGTCCTACAATCTACTCCATACACAATAGCCAGAGTCATCTTTAAAAAAATGCAAATCAGATCATATCAATTCCACCCCACTCCCTACTTCAACCTCCATTGCTTGTTCATTGCAATACAATGTACTCTTGTCTAAGTGGTTAGTGAGACTCTGATGCATTGAGGTACCCTTCCCTGAGCTCACCACCCTCCTGCCACATTGGGCTTCTATCAGTCCTTAAATCAGCCAGGTTATTGGCTGGTATAGGGCTTTTGAACAACTTCTCTTTGCCTGAGTGCTTTTCCCCAGATCTCCCCATGGCTGACGTCTATCACTCAGATCCTAGCCAAACGTGACCTAGTACAAGAGGTTTCTCCAACTAATTCACCTTACGTAGCCTCCTCATCCATGTACCCTCCCTGTCGCCCAGTTCCTGTTTCTTACTCTGTTATATTTCCCCTAAAGCAATTAAGGATACAGGAAATTATTATTTTTTATTTGCCCACATGATTTTGTCTGTGGCTCCTTACCAGAACACAAACACAAACACAACAACAGGTGCTTTGTTTGACCCCACTTTTTTTTTTTTTCTAGCCAGAAAGCTCCTGGGACATGGTATACATTCACCAAATATTTGTTGAATGAAATTTTGCCCCTTTCTTATAGATCTTATTTCTCTCTTTGATTACAGATCTCCTCTGAGTTGAGGGTCTGAAATCAACTTTCCTGGCAAGAGCATGTCTAAGAGCTTTTAGGGGTCAGTTTTTTCCCAGCACAGAGGGGTCTGGCTTTCAGACTTAGTAGCCAGCAATGGGCAGGAGGAATCTACCTAGGCTGGCCAGAAATTACACAGCAAAGCCTATGCAGTAAAGGAAGTGCTATCCTAGTGAATGTGCAAAGATCCAGAGACTTTATAGAGAGCTAGCCAGATAGAGGTGCTCAATACAACATTTTGAATTAGCAAATGAACATTAGTGGTTCTCAAACTTTGATGTGTGTCTACAGAGCTTCTTAAAAATAAAAGATGCTTTGGTTGTTCTCCAGTCTGGAGACTAAAAGCCTTGTCTGTAAGTCAGTTGTTGACTATTGTATCAAATCTGTGTATGGTTTTTCACAGATACACAAAGCATTTTTCCCACCTCCTTATTTGATTCTGGGCCTAGGTTTTGGATCACAAGGACTATATCTTCTCTGGAGAATCCCAAATGCAGCCCCAGTTACCCGATCAAACTCAGGAGTTATGGGGGGCAAGAGAGCAAAAGAAGGTTGCCTGTGAGGCCATTTACCGTAACTCCAAGATGCTGGTCACATTTCGAGAGGGAAAGATGCGTCGGATGTAATTGAAGTCACCCACATAGAGGCTCCCATCGATTCCAACAGCCAGAGCCACTGGGGCCAGCAGCTTGTTGCCTTCAGCAAGGCCGTTGCAGCTGGGACAGGAAATGCTCCGGCGGCGACCATTGCCCATGATGCTGGTGATGATGGCAGGCTGCTGGGTCAGGAACTGGTTTTCCCCAGTGCCTTTGTGTAGGATTCCTGTGGGGGTTGGAGAATGGGAGGGGTTACTGAAGCCCTCTGGGGAAGACATGTGTATTGGCCAACTGGGAGGGAGGGGAAGAGACAAATTAGGAATCTTCAGTGCTCGGGGAGCTCTCCAACTTCTTCACAATGTGGAGAGAGCTGCAGTGGGAGAGGTGGACCCCAAATGCTGTGGCATTGGGTAAAATGACACTTGGGAGGATAACCAAAGAAGCTTGTAATCCCAGCTTCCTGGTAGGCTGGGGCAGGAGGATCATTTGAGCCCGGGAAGTCGAGGTTGCAGTGAGCTATGATGGCACATACACTCTGGATGACAGAGCAAGACCCTGTCTCTATTAAAAAAATAATAAATATTTTAAATATTTAAATAAAAAAATAATAAAAGAAGAAGGTAGGAAAATCCATGCATATTTTGGGCACTTGATGAAAAAATGACCCAGGGAAGGGGAGGTGTGATCACTTAAATGCTGAGGCTAGAGACAAGGTTCCAGAGAAGTGGCAAGGCTGTATTTGGGAAAGAAGATGTGTTCACGTACCACTTTTAACATTGAGGATGTGGTGTTTGTCTAGGGACCAGCCACCGAGGTTGGAGGGGTCCAGCTCGAATCCCTGAAGGAGGGCTGTCCTTTTCTCCCAGAGAATTAGACTGGGACAGGTCTCATATTCAAACCCGACAGACACTGAAAGATAAAAGGGGTGGGGCAGAGTGAGAGAAAAGAGAGAGTTTACTTGATTACTCCAGAGCTCTGTAGCAAGAATGAGAAGCACGTGTTCGCAGTAATACAGATTCTGTTCCAAAAACTCACTCAAAGAGGCAGGCTGATTGCTTTTCTCCTTGTGATGCTACAATATTAAATTCAGATTTTTGAGCTGAACTCAACCTTGAAACTTTACACAGTAGTACTCTGTGGGAATGGAAAGACCTTTCCAATGAACGACTGGCTTTCAAAAATGACCCTGGTGACATGGAGGGAGGAAAGGAATCATTTGAAAACCTGACACAATTCCCCTTTAGAGATGGACAGGAGACTGCTTCTCTCAGCCTGCTGTTCACAGCATGCATTTATTATATTTTGTGTTATTTATTTCCACTTACTAGGAGAAAGCCCTTTGGGATCGTACTGGCTCATTGACATGGAGATTCTGGGAGCAATAGCTTGTGTAAATTAAGACACTTGGTGTGTTCACTCAGGATTCCAGAAAGTGCCAGGAGAGGCAGGCACCAGCAGGAGTACAGCCTGCCAGTTACATGGGGATTCAATGGGGAACAGAATCCAAAAGCTGTTTTTAAAAATCCTGCATTTGCCACATGGACAAATGGGAGAGAGAGGTGGAAATGAAGGACATTAGTCCTAGCTTGGCTCCAAGCTCACGCTTCCTTGGGGCTCCATTTTCCCCACGTGTAAAATGGGTTAAGTGAAGCCTCAATTTCTCAGACAGATGTGGTAAGGAGAGATGAGATGAAGTGCTGAGATGCCATACATTTTTAATTGGAATGCTGCTCTAGAAATATGAGGCATTGCTATTATTGCTGTTCCTACTGCATTAAACTCTTAACTATGTGTGTCACCTTTGGGGATTCTCTGCAGCTTTAAAAAATTCCTGAGATATAGAAGTGTCAATATGAATGGAGGATGCATTTTTATCTTTAAAAAACTCTATGTATTTCCTAGCTTGTCCTCTGAAAATGCCAAGAAACAAAGGCCAAATGACCAGCCCCAGCAGCAAAGAGAATTGCTAGTGCCTGGCTTGTGGCCTTGATATATTATTTCTCATTAAAAGGAATCAGGGCTTCTGGAAGAAATGGCTGGAGCAAGAAATGAACACAATGACACCAGCCTACTTTATCATACTAGATAGCAAGGAAGGAATCAAAATCTATTAGGGTCATGTCAAAAGGATTTGGGAATGAGCTTGAAAAGGTGCCCACTGACCAAAGATGGGGCCATTTGGCCATTAGTGAGAATAATAACTTCAATGGATTGAAACATACTGGATGCATTTCAGTCCATGAGTTCATAATGGTATTTAAGAAACATTAATTTGCCACCCCTGGACAATGAATCAACTCATTATATTGAAAACTAGTAAATAAAGGGAAATAATCAAGCATTTATCTATTCTTTCCTATTTGAACTGTACTTTAAATAACCAAGTAGTTAAGGAGAAAGCATCTCTATATAGAAGTATTTCAGCTAATAGATGAGGAAGGAAGTACAGAATTAAACTATCATTTTGCAATCCCTAATGGCCAGACAGACTAGGCAATGAGCATCAATGGCTACTGAAATCTCTAAAAAATACACAACTTGACTTTAGGTGCCTCTTGATGGAAGGACACAGCCACACCTATCAAGTTGTTCTGCCAAAACAAAAAATCAAAAAATCAAACCTGAACCTGAGAAAGCTTCAAAACCCAACTATCAATGGTCAGGAGATATAGGGAACAGAGGAACAGGCCAAATAGCCGTAATTATGCAATTCGAGAACCAACCAATTAATCAACCAACCAACCAACCACGCTATATGGGAAATTGTACAACCCAATTTCTTCAACAAATAAATTATAAAGGTTAGAGAGAGAGAGAAAGATAAGGAAAGATGAAAGAACTTTAAAAACAGTTTAAAAGAAATCAACCAATTGCAAAAGGTGGATCTTAATGGGATCCTGAGACAAAGTATTGATAGTTTATGGTATTTGTCAGGCAATTGAAATACTGAACAATGATGGGCTATGTGATGACATTAGGGAATTATTGTGTTTTTTTGTTGTGATGATATTGTTTTTATGTTTTTAGAGATACATTCTTAAATATTACAGGTGAAATGATGTGACGTCTAGGGCTTGCTTCAGAAAAATACAGGAGAAAGGGGAGTAGACGGGGGTATGGAAAAACAGGCCTCATCATGAGTTGATAATGGCAGGAGCTGGAGTGTATGGAAGTGAATTACAATATTTAGTCTACTTTTTAATATTGGCTGTCATTTTGGTATTAGCTACAGATATATGTATATGTATATATATGTGCATATATACATATATATATCTGTATATATGTATGTGTGTATATATATATACACACACACACAAATATACATATATTTGATTAGCCAGTGTTGTATATTAAATACACTAGTTACTCTGGGAACTTCTTACTACCTTGGTTAAGTTAACACCACTCACTGATGGAGCAGACCCCCAGGGCTGTATTCTGAGCAGGTGTGACCTGTTAGTGGCATGATCTTGGGCAACTTTCTTACCCTCTCCCTCCTGCCCCATATGCACAATGGGGTTATGAGGGTGCCTACTTGAGGGGTTATTGAGAGGTTACCCAACAAAAGATTTAACACAATTCTCTCTACACAAAAGGAACGTCTGATACACATTGGCTACCAATTATAGTGAAAATTTCTGAGGTTGCTAGTTTCCTACTTTGGTAACTTATCTTTACAGTTTTTAAAATACACACGACTATTGGTGAAGAGAACACAGGATTCTGGATTTTAATTAATTCCTAGATAGCTTTCCACAAGTAGGAAGATACAAGGTAGGTTAAGATTAATCTACAGCTCACAACTCTGATAACGGTAGGACACTTCTGTTACGAAGATCTTTCATAAGGAGGGAATCGTGATTCCTTCAAAAGGCAAAGCCCTGGAACATAGCATGTGACTTTCTGATCTCCTCAAACCCTGTTTTCTGATTATTCAGGGTCATTCTGTGCCATTTACAAGTGCTCCGTCTGGAAAATGAACTAGCCCCTGACCACCTCTCTCCCAACATCTTGAATATTTTCTTTTCCACTACACTCCAGCTACACTGGCCTTCTCTCTGTCTGTCAAACACACCCTGCTCTTCTCTCTGCCTGAAATCCTCTTCTTCTGATTTTCATGTGGTTCCTTCTTGTCATTAGTCTCTGCTTAAATGCTGCCCTGCAGAGGAGCCTTCCCTAAATGCTCACCACAGTTGTCCCTCCTCCCCAATATATATCATTTACTTTTATTTTCTTATTAGCACCTATCTTGCTTGATATTTCTTTGTTTCACTTGTATTTATTATCTCAATACCTCACCAAAATGTAAACCCCGTGGAAGAGGAATCTTGTCTGTCTTCTTGGCCATCGTGTCCTTATCTACTGAAATGGTGCTTGGCATATCCTCGGAACTCAATAAATATGGGTCGAATTAACACATGACTAAATCCATTGATCAATAAGTGGTTGAAACCAAAACATACCAACAGCATCTGAGAGTCCATACACCCTTTGGCCATACGCATCTGTCTTGTCCCAGATGAAGGTGTAGGCCAGGTTGGGAGAAGCCTGGAATGACTTCTGGAAGAGATGCCCCTCGACAGCCACCATCAGGTGAACCCTAATGAGGTTCAGGGGCACTGTGGACTGGGTCATGGTGATCTTCAGCAGTGACTTGTACCCTGCAGTTCTAGAGCTCAGATAGCGAAGTTTCACATTGGAACCAGGGAGCTCGATTTCTTCATGAAGAACCTGGAGAGGAAACACATGGCAGACACACACCTAAAACACACCTGTGCAGGTAAACTGTAACCCCGATACTGTCTGTCTGCTATGTCCCTCACTGAGGCATCACATCTTATGTGGGTGCAAGAACCACTTACCACCACTGAGAAAGAAAAACAACAACAACAAAAACTTTATCTTCCACCATAGAGTGATGGGGCTGAGGTTATGATTTTTGGATTAATAATTATTCTTGGTCACTGTTGTGTTTCTTTTTAAAAAGCCACACTGTTGGCAAAAGATGTAAATAAGAACAGCAGGCTTTATTGCTAGCTGCATGCAAGGAGGCCACGAGAGGCTGTAATTATACGAACCTACAACTTCCACTGACAATCCGTATAAAGCAACAGGGAGGCAATAATGTAATATGCCCTCTGTCGTAACACCGATGTAGATCATTAAAGCGCCTCTTACCATGTATCTCTGTGACTAACAGGAACAAAAAGCAATTTGCAGGTGGGTTGCACATATGTATGTTGTTTTTATTTTATTAAAAGCTCTGATGACTGCCAAAGTCTTGAACGACTATCTGCAGACATCCAGAACAGCCAAGAGGGATTCAAACTTTCATCTCTGGTGGCTATAAATTTTATTATGCTCCCACTTTTTTTACTCCCCTACAATATTAGTTTCTGGTCCACTCGGGGAGAGGCAGTGTCCAGTTGGTTTTCGTTAGGGAAGTCCTGAGAGTCCCGCCCTGGCACTGCCATTCCTACCTGGGTCTCAGGCACGATGGGATTCTGCCCAGGGGCAGCACTAAAGAAGGTGGACAGTGGGGAGGAGATGATGATTGGATCAGGCCGGACAAAGCCACTGAGGTCACAGCTGGGGATGGAGTTCTCCTCGGTCTTCATCACCAGGGTGTCCATGGCGTAAAAGCTGTTCCACGGCAGCCACACAGTGCGCTCCTGGCTCATGAACGGGGCTCGCTCAAAGTGTAGAGTCAAGGAAGCACCTCCATTTGCGATCAGGTCGAACCTGGAGAGGGAGTAAATGAGCTGATGAGGGGGTAGACTCACTTTTAGACAAGGCAGGATGCCTCTCCTCCTCCCCTGATGGCCATGCGATGGGCAGAGCACAGAGGAGACCATGGGCTTTGGAGGCAGACAGGTGGGGCTGGAACCCAAACTCTATCACTTACTAGCTGAGTGGCAATGGGCAAGTTACTAACCCTCTCTCAGCCCAAGTTTCTTCATCTGTAAAATGGGAATAATTACACCAATACACATGGCATGACTAAGAGTGAAACATCATGAGTGTAGAGCAGAGCTCAACAAACTATGACCTATGAGCTAAATCCGGCCCACCACCTGTTTTGGTAAATAAATTTTATTGGGCAGGGCATGGTGGCTTACGCCTGTAATCCCAGCACTTTGTGAGGCTGAGGTGAGTGCATCACTTGAGGTCAGTAGTTCAAGACCAGCCTGGCCAATATGGTGAAACCCTGTCTCTGCTAAAAATATAAAAATTAGCCAGGCATGGTGGTGGGTGCCTGTAGTCTCAGCTACTCAGGAGGCCAAGGCAGGAGAATTGCTTGAACCTGGGAGGTGGAGGTTGCAGTGGGCCGAGATTGCGCCACTGTACTCCAGCCTGGGTGATAGAGTGAGACTCTGTCTCAAAAAAAAAAAAAAAAAAAAAAAAAGGGTTCATTGGCATACAGTTACACCCATTTGTTTATGTATCTTTTAGGCTGCTTCCCTGCTATAATGGCAGAGCTGAGTTGTTGGTGAGAAGCCACATGGCCAGCAAAGCCTAAACTGTTTACTCTCTGGCCCTTTATAGAAAATGTTTGCTGGCCACTCGTGTAAAGCACTTAGCACAGTCCTAGGCTAATAGAATGTTCAATAAATAGTGTAATTATAACGATACTACGTTAGGACACAGAGAGGAGCTCATTACAGCATTCTTCTAATCAGCCTCTGCTCTGTGGCTGATTTCTTTGCCAATGGTTCTTAAGCTATATTTCTGTTCGTTTCTTAAGAGCTGGATGGAGGTGTATTACCTGTAAAGTAGAATAAAGGTAGCTCTTTCCCAATTAACAGAAAACAAGGACGTTAACAGAGAGGTGTCCTAATGTTAAGCTTTATTTTACCTCCCCTCTAGAATTTCATCTTTTTTTTTTTTTTTTTTTGGGATGGAGTCTCGCTCTGGGGCCCAGGCTGGAGCGCAGTGGCATGATTTGGGCTTATTGCAACCTCCACCTCCTGGGTTCAAGTGATTCTCCTGCCTTAGCCTCCCAAGTAGCTGGAATTACAGGCGCCTGCCACGATGCCTGGCTAACTTTTTGTATTTTTAGTAGAGATGGGGTTTCACCCTGTTAACCAGGATGGTCTCCATCTCCTGACTTCGTGATCCGCCTGCCTCTGCCTCCCAAGGTGCTGGGATTACAGATGTGAGCCACTGCACCTGGCCTTAGAATTTCATCTCTTTGAGGGCAGTGGTGCTGTCTGTCTTGCTCCCTTCAGAATCCCCAGCAGCTAAGAGTACTTGGATCACAGTAAAAACTCGGTAAAAATATACTTGACTCGCTGGTTTCATCCAATCTTAGTAACACATTTGGTCTTTTTTAGTAAATGTGAATGAACAGGGAGCATAGGAATATTAAGACAAATATCAGAGCATGTACAGTACAATAGTTTACTTATTAATTACTTTATTTATGTGCTTATTTATCGGGCATGCACACTGCTGGGGATAGTTCTGCATAGAGTACAGAAGAGAGTCAAATGTCTTGAAGTAAAATTGTTCCTAGTTGGCACGGTAGAATCAACATGAATATTTGGGGCACACGCCACTATGCAACAGATTGTGGGATTCCTCAGAGCATTCTCAAGCACGTCCTGTGACTTCCACAGCTTTACAACCTGAACAAGCTGAAGAGTAACTGATCCAGGAGGTTGGATAGATGATCTGGGAAGTGGACTTGGGGCATAATTACTCAGGAAGCAGTGGAGAGGGATGCAGAAGAAAGGGAAAATAGCACATCAGGGACTCAGAAATGTCTCCTTCTGTTGTTTCATGGGACTTCACAGCAATTGACTCAAGGATGTCAGTTCTTCAAGAACACTGGCCTGGGGGCGGTGGCTCACGCCTGTAATCCCAGAACTTTGGGAGGCCAAGGTGGATGGATCACTTGAGGTTAGGAGTTCGAGACCAGCCTGGCCAACATGGTGAAACCCCGTCTCTACTAAAAATACAAAAATTAGCTGGGCGTGGTGGCGGGTGCCTGTAATCCCAGCTACTCGGGAGGCTGAGGCAGGAGAATCACTTGAACTCAGGAGGCGGAGGTTGCAGTGAGCCGAGATTGCGCCATTGCACTCCAGCCTGGGCAAGAAGAGTGAGACTCCGTCTCAAAAACAAACAAACAAACAAAAAAACCCCACCGGCTTCTAAGAACGAACAAGGGCCAGAGTAATTTTGCAAGGCACACATCTGCCATCCTGTGCTTTAAAATAATTAGATTTGGCTACAGAAATGTATGAGTGAGATATCAGAAATTTCATGAATATTGAAGATTTGATATGAATCCTTAGACTCCTTGTTTGGGTTTCAGAGGTGGGAGAGTGAAGTTAGGGCTCCTGGGGGCTGGTAATTGTTGAAACTGCCTATAAGGCTACCTTAGGGCAAGAAAGAAAATAAGGCCAGACTCTTCGCCAGAGAAAGGTAAAAAATCCCTGTTCTTACTTCTGTGATACATCCAAGATTTTCCAGAGTGCATTTTACAGAAAGAGTGTTGGATCAGATTGGTAGCCACAGTTCCCTTTTCATTTAAAACAGAATGCCATAATTGTGTGTGTGTCTGTGTGTTTTTTAGCCCAGAGTAAGTTAGTGTTTTCTCCCTCCCATAGATTTCTTTTCTTCTTCTTTAAATTTCTACTCTATGCCCAAATGGATTAAGGAAATGACAGAGCTTTCATCTTGATGGAGGCTGAACGGGTACACGTTTCCAATCAGAAGATAATAGGGAAAGGTTGCCTCCTTCACACAGCAGGGTGACTGCTAAATGTATTTAATTAGACTTCTCTGATTACACGCCACCCCCTCCAAACAGTAGCGAAAACAACACAACTCCTAAAGCCACAGATGAAAGCAGAAGGGGATCACCACAGGACACTATGTCATGTGGATTCCTGTCACCCTGCACTGCCTTTGATTTAAAACAGGAGTTCGTTTCTAAGAGCTACCTTCCCTTCTTTTTCTAGAACCTGCCCCCACCCCAACACACACACACACACACACACACACACACACACACACACACACACACACACACACACACGTGCATTGACCTGACATTAAAAAAACGAGGTGGCTGTGAGCTGTACTAGGTAAGCTGGCTTTCCTATTTATTTTCTGTTTTTGATGTCACATCAAAAAGCATGAAATGTCTTTGGGGGAATCCTCACTAGGGGACAGGCCTGGTGGACATTCCAGTCCACCAGGGGGAATCCTGTGGTTCCAAGCCAACAGCACCGTCTGTCCCTTTGCACACACGTGTGGTCCTGAGTAGGTCCGAGCCCCACAAAGCTACTCACGTGCCATCCTGGCGGGTGATGGTGTAGCCGTATTTTGGGTACTTGACAAAAGACACGTTCACACCGACCAGGGGAGTTCCATCTGTAGTTACTACTTGGCCTCGGATGAGAGAAACCAAGCTGAGAAAGACAGAAACAGAGGTCTTTGAGCCACATGCAGGAGAACAGAGACAATTCCCCACTGCCTCTGCTCCCTCATCCTCATCTGGTCCCTCAGGCAAGGAGAAGGCTTTCAACATTAACTTCTGGCTTTGCACAATCACGCTAGTGACATTTTGGGGTGAAATCCATGGGCAGCATCTCCCGTCACTGAGCTGGGCCCAGGGGTCTCCTGGGCACCCGCCTTCCACTCTTGGCCTTGCTCCATTTCTTGACATTGTTTGGCTTTTGTTTGGCCTGAGCTTCAGGCTGTCCCTCATCATTCCCAGGTGCTCTTTAGCCTGGCACCGAGAGTGCCATACTCGGGTGAGAGCTTCCACATCTGGCTACTTATTTCCATTTTTTGGCTTTGGAGGATGGCCATGTTACTCTTCTAGAGGCCAGAATGTCAGAGTGGGTAGAGGGGAGCACAGAGAGTTTTATGGCTGGGAAATACACATGCATTGTCTTTTGCTGCCCTCTAAGAGCAAAATTTCTCATAATCCATGAGGGTCTGAGGAAACGAGAACTTTGGAGATATATATAGCAAAACCCTTCAATATACACATTCAATAAAAATGTGTATATATCTATATACACTTTTTTTCTGCTAGAAATATATTGGATTCTGGATTCTGTGTTACTACATATTTCTCTTATGTCGAATTCCTGCTATCTTGAAGGGTTTTGAAATCCTACCAATTTATTTCCAGTGTTACAGAACATCTCCCTCTTTCCAGACACAGTAACTAGAACTTTCCCACAAATCCCGGTTTCCAACCAGCTACCCCTGGGAAAGTCCTATAAAGCCAGAGAGATGCTACAATATTGTGCTCAAAGTCCATGGAGGGAGAATGTGCATGCCTCCTCTCATCTGAATTCTCTTGACTTCACAGAGAAATGGGACAATGAGAAGCTCCATTTCTGCACCAAGCCCCCAGCAGACTGGGCAATTTGGCAAAAGAAGAGAGGTTCTCAGGCTCCCAGCATCCTGGACACACTCCCAGTTTCTGAACTAGGTGATCAACTGACCCGTCCTTTGTCACAATCTTGTCAAAGTCGGCTCGATTTTTGGATGCACTTACTTTTGCATTCCTGGGTGTCCTGAAAACCGGAGGGATGCTGTCTCCACGCATCTCTCTTTTTATTAGCAATACCCCCAGCTGTTCAACTCCAACCCTTTGATGATCTCAGGAGTGTTTAGACTGTTCCACTGACAGCTCTAATTGTCTGCTACTGGCTGCCTAACAAATGAATGCCATTTTTAGCTGGTTTTAACCACAATGCTAGACTCTTTTAAAGTGGAAAACTAATTTATGAAAATAATCCTTTTGTTCAATTCCATTTTCTTATCTTAGCTCGGACTAAGATTTCTTTAAGACCTTACCAGACACTACTTTAAAATCAGTGATGTGTGTTGACGACCACAAGGTACACAGTGCTCGTGATGAGAAAACAAAATTGAAAGTACATTCCACAATGGAGTCCCCCCACCCTTCCTTTTTCTACAACTGCTATTTCTTTTAAATCATTCCTGTAGCAGAAGGCTTTGCAGTGTGCCATAGGAATAACAGGAGTAGTGCTGCCTGTGATTTCTATCCTCTATTTTTCAAATTCTTCCTTGCTGCTGGCTTCCTATCGTTTCCAGGCAGTCAATTTGCAGAAAAGATTCAGCTAAGACATACTATCAGTTCATTTCTATTTATGATTATTGATGTGTAACAATTATCGCATTATCTAGATAGTGAGATCTGCTCTATAAATTATAGTGGTGGAGTCAAGGCATTTTAGTTATTTTTGTATGCCATTATCTAGGGGAACGCCCTTTTAGAAATCTTGAATTTTCGAGTTCTTTTTTACTCCTAGCTTTGTCCTTCGTTATTTGTAAGATGATAATGTACTGGAATTCACACGCTTACTGAACTTCAACCTATGTCTTGGAGTTACATTTCATATTTCTGAATTATGTATCCATGCAGACAGCCGGAGAGCCTGGGCTCATTTGGGAAGTGCCATTTATTGTTTACATTTAAAGCTTCCGAGACGCTTTCTCTAAAGCAACTTTCTTTCAGGTCTCCTGGGCTGGCATAGTCTACCAAATATTCTGGGGTTCCTGACTGTTCACCTGTATTTTGGCTCTAGCTCAAGGTGCCTTCTGGAAGTGGTAACCATTGATGAGGAGAATAAGATAAAACCAGAAGGGCCAGGTGGAGAAAGCATGAAAGGGAGAATATCAGGAAATGACTGGATTTAGGGTAGAAATAATGATAGGTTAATGAGGAAGCAGATTGAAACAGGCCTTCAGAGGATGCATTTTCAGTATAAGCAAACTACAAACCCCACTGAAATGCTTATGGCCCAGTGCAAGCTCTGCCCAGTCACGGGTCTCTAGCAAGATGAATTATGTTCATAATTAAAAGGAAGCATACTTACAGAATCTGTTCTAGAGCTAGGATTTAACAAGCAGAGTAAATGCTTTTTATTTATCAGAGATCTGTGGTTTCTTTTATTTTCTTGAGAGGTTCTTCTACTAAAAGAAACAGTAATAATACTGTGTATAGTATATGTTAAAGTCAAATAAAATAGAAAGATTAATCTCTAAATTTAAAATGTTTTATTTGGGAAGCAAGAATGGCAATTCAGGGCATATGCATGGGGGTAGTCTTCAGGATGTCTGAAGATCAAAGAGAAGTTTGGAGGTTTTATAAGGAGAAATGTTACTTATTCTTTTGAGAGAAAGTTCACTGGGACTGGTAAAGTTTTGGCGATCTGGTGAGTTCTGACTGGTGAATGATGGTGGTGGGTAAAACTAGTCTTAGAGTCATAGTAGGTTGTTTCAGTCGCTATTAGATCAACTGGTTTCCGGTTACAACAGACAGTTTCAGTAGCCAGGCCTGGGGAGAATTACATTTCTAGGGCAATGTTATGTGCCCAGAGTGCTTTTTCTTCCTGGCTTCTTGCCTCTGCTTTAGTTGGGTATGACAAGAATGACCCAATTTGTCTGATCAACTTTTACGTATTTAAATAGTGTTATCCTAATTTTATTAATCAAGAAAATGAGGTTTACGAGCCCAACATGATATCGCTAGGAGGTATCAGGGCTGAAATAGAAGAGGGCTGAGATTATTTTTACCTTTCTATTATTTCTTTTTCTATTTTATTTTTAGTAAAAACGACAACAGAGAGAAGCAAAAGTTGTTGGCCTAAGGTGACCTTGTTAAGACACTCATATTCAAAAGAGCTGCAGGAATTGGGGCTCTCCAACTTTCCAGAGAGCTCTAAGAGGCTGTAGAATCAGCTGTGCTGACACCCATTCCTTCCCCATCCCACCCTCGCTGGGCTGTCTCGGTTGGGGACCGATGAAAGGCTCATGAGAGGGGCTCCGAGAGAATCACTTATAAAGTTAGGTGCTTCTGTAAGAAGGGAAGTCTAGTATTTCTTCCCTGCTTGGAAGCCGAGAGAAGTAGCATACATCCAGAGTTGCTCCTGGGCCTACCTGAATGAGGCTAAAGAGAAATAAGACAAAGATGGCACAATGGGGGTCGTCAGGGCTGCAAAGGGGCCAGGACCATCCTACCCAAGTTCCTAGTATCTAGAAGTTTTGTGAAAAAGGACCTGACCAGCAGTTTTTATTTCTTGATGTGAAGGACCACAGAGATGGGGCGGGGCATCCCCAATTAGACCACGCTCCTCCTTCTTGCATCAGCATACACCATCGACATCTGGACTTGGACCAACTGAGAGGAAGATCAAGCATGGCCAAGCCATAAGAAGACCCCCAGCCTCTCCTACCCCTCCTCTCTACCCTCAGAATCATACGTAGTGCATAGAAAAGAGGAGGGGATGGGGTGGTGGGGAAGTGTCTCCAAGACAAACCTTCCCCTTGCTCTCTTCTCCAGGAGCACAGTTCTAACTTGTCCTGGGGTGAAGTTGAAGACAAAATGAATCTAGAACTTGACCCTAGAATATTCTAAGCCTCAAATTAGCAACTAAGAGCAATAATAAACTGGAGAGAATGAGGGGTGAAATGCAGTGGCACAATGGCTTGCATGCAATAGGTAATCAGGAGAGGCAATAGATGGGATTGTTGTGTGGATTAGAGATAATCTACACAAAGTCTCTGGCTCATCCTAGGTGCTCAATAAATCCTTGCAACCAACATCTTCTTGACTCTAAGATGCCACCAAATGATAGGTTATGTTATCAAGTTAATAACAGCTTTCAAAAACACTCTATTGAATGAACTATTTCAGCAATGCTCGAACAAAAGCCACTATCAGAGGCATTTTAAAGGGAGATTTAATATAATGACAATAACATCATAAAATAACAGATTTTAAAAATGATCTAAAAACCAGGGAATCAACAGGTGTCTCCAGCAGGTTCTGGGTTAAAGATGTTGACATCCTGCAAAGACACTAGGGCTCTGTTCTGGAGCCCAACACAAAGTGAGGAAAGGGCACTTCTCTGAGTCCCCCTTGGAGGGAGCTGCCTCTAGGGGGGCAGATTCCAGGCCAATTGGGTCCCCGGGAAAGCTGGAGAACTGCCTCTGGCTCCAACAGGAAGAAAATCAGAGACTTCAGGAGTTTGCAGGGACAGAGGGTGCCTACCTGCTGTTGAAAGGGTTCTCTCCAGGAATGATGTGGGTGCTATCCTTGCCTGCCAAGAGCTTGATACGGTCATAGAAGGACTTCACTGCGGGCCAATCCGTCTGGCCCTGCTGAATGATGTCCAGTGGGTCCCGGGACCCCCGGCAGAGCAGGCTGTTCTGACAGGCTGACTGCAGGCAGCAGTCAGGGTCCAAACAATCCACCAGGCCATCTGGAAGGGCAGAGGCAGAGCCAGAGTCAGCAGATTTCATGGCATAAAGCTGTTTGGAGACACTAACACCTTTGTTACCAGCACAGGCATGAGCAGCATCAAACGTACCCAAGGGCCTGAGGTGGCAGGTTTCACACAGCAAGCCTCATCCAATTCCAATCCATACACATAGAAAATAAAAGACTGAAAGGAAATAATTTAAAATGTTGACAAATGGTTATCCTCATGTAGCAGATTAGTGTGTTTCTCTTCTTTATTGTGCTTTTCTGGAATTTCTACTTTTTTCTACTATGAACACGTATTATTTGAGTGGGAAAATAAAAACAAAAACTTCGCTTTTAAACAACACAGCACAGCAAATTACCCACGGTCAGTTCCCAGGGGTCCGTGCTAATGGGTGCACAAGTAATCAAAATGCATGGAATTTCTGGCTGGGCATGGTGGCTCACACCTGTAATCCTAGCACTTTGGGAGGCTGAAGCAGAAGGATCACTTGAGCCCAGGAATTCGAGACCAACCTGGGCAACATAGTGAGACCCTGTCTCTATTAGAAATACAATTTTTTTATCAAATTAAAAAAAACTAAAATGCATGGAATCCCTTAAATCTCACTTTAACGGAGAAAAGTATTCTATCCCACTCTCTCTAAGCCAGGAAGGGAACTGCTGACCAATTGGAAACCTGGGTGCTGAGAGTATTACATTTTCTAGGAAATGTGGAGAAATGGCTTTGGCTTGGGAATCTGGAAATTAAGCCTGCAGTTTCCGCAGTAGTTTCTGGTTCTGTCTTCCTGCACGCCCTCAGGACTCGGAACATTATTATGCACTTGCCTAGAGTCCTGTGCCTCTATCCCTTTACCTGGGCTGATTCCTATTTACTCAACTACCATTCAACAAATATTTGAGTGGTCTCCATGTGCTGGAAATGAGAGAGAGCAAAGAACCATGGAGACTGTCTTTAAGGAGCTAATGGTAGAGTGGGGGAAACTGACAGGACTGACTCATCCTTTAAGATCAAGTTTAGGTTGGCCTCTTCTTCCAGGAAGCCTTCTGGATGATGCCCCTGGCCAGGTTATTGCTACAAACTGAATGTCTGTGATCCTTCGAAGTTCAATGTTGAAAACTTAACTCCCAATGTGATGGTATTAGGAATGGGGCTTTTGGGAGGTAATTAAGTCATGAAGGTGGAACTCCTATAAATGGATGAGTGTCCTTATAAATGAGACCCCAGAGAGCACTTCAGTACTCTTTCTGCCATGTGTGGACACAGCAAGAAGACTGCAGTCTATCAATCAAGAATCAGGGCCTCACCAGACACTGAATCTGCTGGTGCCTTGATCTTGGACTTCCCAGCCTCCAGGACTGCGAGAAATAAATGTTTGTTGTTTAAGCCCCCTAGTCTATGGTATTTTTGTTGTAGCAGCCCAAACTGACCAAGACAGTTAGGAATCCCTGTTCTGTACATCCCTGAATCAGAGGTTCTCAAAGAAGCATTCTGCATCAGAATCCTGCAGGAAGAATAAACGGCCCACCCCACATCTCCCCAGGGAGAGCCTCCAGGAGCAGGCCCTGGAATCTGCATTTTAAACATGATTCTCAGGTGATTCTAACACACAATACGATTTAAAAACCATTGTTAATGCCAACTTTCTTATAGTAGAATTAATGACCTCTTAATGCTCGCCTCCCTATCTGGAAAATGAGCTCTTTGAAGAGAAAAATGATGTCTTATTAATTTTATATTCATTCCTCTCTTAGTACCAAGCACAGAATCGGGCACTCAACAGATGTTTGTTGAATGAATAAAATGACTGTTTCCCATTCCTCACCTGTCTGTGAGGGCTGAAGATGGGAATGTTTAGGGCAGTGTTTGCTCCTTGGAATTTCTGATAAGAACGAATTCGTTAGTCAATCCTTATTCACTCGGCTGGGAGCGGATTGAATACACAGTGGAGAAGCTTGGAGAATAACTTGCTTGCACCTCCTGGATTTGATAGCAAGGCATTTTTTTGGACCATAATTAGAACCATGGAAACACGCACTCAAACCCTGGGCTGTGCCTTGACAAACACTTGTACTGGAACGCTGAATCAGAGGCCTGGCTGGGTGCTTTAAATTTACTACAGTGTAATTTTTTGGCATTACCCTTTTCGTTTGGTTCCGCTAATGAAAATGAAATATGTAATTTCACCAAAGTTCCACTGTAATTTAGCAATTAATGTGCAATTATTTTAATGCATTACTTTCTTTTTAGCAAACAAACAAATTAGGAGGTTGCATGTTTTGCCTGGCTTTAAATTACTAAAACTAGCCTCTCATTTTCCACATGGGCAAATGTTGCTCATGTGCCTCGTAACACATTTAGATTTACACAATTTCCTAGAAATGCAGACACAGGAGGGTGAGCAGGCATGCACACTTTAGATTGAGAGACTTTCAAAATCAAGGCTCTGAACATCTCGGGCTGATATGCTGGCTGAATCGGATACTCCCCAGTTCCCCGGAGCCTGGCAAACCTCAGACCCTAGAAACAGCACTGGAGATTGTATCTTAGTAGCAGGATGATATCCAGGCATTGTTTCAGATCCACATTCAGGCTGTCCAATCTGGAGGACCATTGGCAGCATAAGAAAAAGAAGAAAAAAAGTGCATAGAATTCTGCCTTGAACATCACTGTCCACGGGCTGCCTTCAAAAGACAGAAGGGCTCTACCACGGAATGCCTGTTTCAGATTTAAAAAATAACCTGCTGAGATATGCTGGCAGGGCTTCCTTCAGCAGCCACAAGAAGCTTCTCAGGTGAGAAGAAACCCACTGCTGTTAGCACTATAGATTTCTTTAAGGTCACAGGCCTCTTCCAATTAGGGGTATCATCCATCTCTGGTGGCCTTTCCCTCCTGAAGCTGGGGAAATATTTCCTCCCCCTCCAACCCATTTACCACCCGCTCCATATAACCGCCTTGAAGACCTCTTTGGGCTTGAAGAATAACTTAAGACAGTTTTCCTATTGAGTGCTGAACATTTGCCTCCCCCTCCCCCTCCAGCCTGTCACTCTTTCCGGGCTTGTGACTGCTTCAGAATTGTGAACTTCAAATTTCCCCACTGTTTTGTTGATCCTGGGCTTTTGATTCAAGGGCCTGTCTGGCAGGAGATGGCCTAAGCACATCAGCAATAGCAGATGACAAATGCCAAAACAGAAAGAAAATAGGATACAAATGATTTCCTCCTACATATTTACATTTACCTGCTCCAGAGATTGTGCATTTGGGGTTCTACCCGTTATTAAGTAGGAGCCTACGTTATGCCTATAATGACCTCATCATGCTGCGTGATTATGGGCTGCAGCCGCCAAACACTTTCAGACGACACTGTGAACTTTAAATTGGCACTCCAATCTCCCAGTGGCCTGTCAGTCATGAGAATCGCGTCTTTATGCCAGCAAGCCCCTTGGATGGAGTCTGACATTGCAATCTTCAGTAAATTACCCTGTCACTGACAATCTTGCAGTTATCTCGCAAACAATCAAGCAGGCAATCAAACTGTTCTGAATTGCCAGTTCAGGACCTGAGAGGTGGCCGATGTCTCCATTCAACAGCAGAGGGAAAGCGGCCTGGCCCTCCTATGACAATGGACGATTTCTTTATTTATTTATCTACCTACTTATTTGTTAGTCTGGTTGGCTTTTTCCTGGGGAAGGGGGTGAGGATGGTAGGAGAGGTTTGCAGAGTCCTCAAAAAGGGCCCAATACTGACTCAGCGGTTATGGGAAAGCGACTTAGGCCTTCTGAATCAGCCCACACTGCGGTGGCTCATGTCTGCTTAATCTTACTTCACTCAGTGAAACGGGGCCAAAAAGAATTATCTAGGTGTTTTCTGTCAGAACGGACGCTAAATCACAGCTCTGGTTCTAGTCTACTCATACACGTCATAAGCTAATTGTAATGACAATTTCAGAGAAATGTGATCATGGAGAAACTTTCTGGGAATGATACCAAGGCATTCTATTTATTGCTTTTGATAAAGCAAATCAGAGAGATTCTTCCATAACAGTTCTGGCAACGTGAAACAGGTTCATTAATGCTGAATTGAAACCTTTGGATTAGAAGTCCCAAGGTAAAAAGCCAAAAATTCTACACAGCATCAGAGGTGACAGCCTGGCCTCTGGAATCAGATGGATTTGGGTTTGAAGCTCGTCTCTGCTAGTTCCCTGGCTGTGTGAGCTTGGAAAGGTAATCAGCCTTGCTGGGTTGTAGTTTCCTTGCATTAAAAACTGAGTTATAATTGTACATATGCCATAGGGTTATGTGATGAAGAATAAATAAATTTATATATATATATATAAATTCAAATATATATATATATATATAAATTCAAATATATATATATATATATATATATATATATATATATATATATATATATATGTCAGTCTGGTATATAGTATATGTCCAATGAACTATAACTATAACCAGAAACTCCCTGAAGTCTTCCACTTTTTCATTTTAAAAAAAAAGATGCAAAAGTAAATGAAATTAATATTCCCTTATATTTAGAGTCATCCACTGGTGTAGGCTATGGGCTGGTTGAATCTTGGCAAAAATACTTAATTTCCAAACAGTGATAGGTTAATAATAATAATTAATAGGAATAACAAATGCTATAGATTGAGCAGAATTTACATTTTTTTTTTTAATTTAAAGATTCATGGAAATCCTGCAAAGCAGAATAATGTAACTCTTAAATGTCAGATTATAGAACAGGGTATCTGGGTTT